>NC_000010.11:37921342-38225624 GCF_000001405.40 Homo sapiens | reverse complement strand
TATTTATGATAAAAAGAAATGTGCTTTTGTTTCTTTGTTCCCAATTAATGTACATTAATTTTAAAATGCATTAAAGCAATAGCAAAGAAAATAAAGAGATGCCATAGAAGTCTCTTTCTCTTCATGTTTGCATGCACAGATACACTGCTTCCTAAGGATATGTAAGGAGAGATGTGGATTTTAATTTTAGAATCAGATTTTTCAATTGTACCTAAAATATAAGCAGCAAAAATTTTATTAATCTTAAACTCAAGCAAATTCCAATCACAGAAGCAGAACTAATTAAAACATGTTTTAATTTAATATAATTCCTAGGTTTCTCCTAGCAATCCTGTTATTGTTTCCTGATCCACCTGAAGAAATGAAGATACGTGGAAAAACAGTCATTGCCCAAGATTGCCTTCCATTTTATAAATGCTCCATTTATGCTGAAACAATCTGAATAGACACGGTACTTTTTTGTGCATCTGGTTGGAAGACAGAAACTCTCAAAACTTTTCTATTCAGCTGTTGGATCCACAACTTGCTGTTGAGCTGTAAATCCACATCAGGAACCCAAGGTACAAACTGAGAGCTGGCTTCTCCCTGGTAATCTAAACAGATGCTTACTGAGCCTGAGATGCTATTTTCACACCACCTTCTGCCAACTGCTGCTTTGGCAAAATAAAGATTGGCCACCAATCTACCAACACCAGCTCACTTTAAGATCTGGTATGTCAGCATTCTCCATCATACTCTGAGACATAGTTTGTGGGAGACGTGACCCTGCAAATTAGGAGCTTAAAGTGTTTGAGGGAGACCACATAAATCTAGTGAGAAGTGAATTAGCAATATATGAGAGCATGTAATTTCATGTCAAGGCGGGTGCTGTGAACTTGATTACATTAGTATATAAGTTAAAGCAGCTGGGAGAGGCAGACTAGAAAATATAGTTGTTGAGCTGAGTCTTGAGAGAAGGGCAACTGCACCTTCCACTTTCCGCGTGCAGCATTCTCAACGGCACATCTTCCCCAAGCTTTCCCATTGCTCATTTTCCTCCAGTGGAAAAGAAGGCGGCCGGGCGCGGTGGCTCACGCCTGTAATCCCAGCACTTTGGGAGGCCGAGGCAGGCGGATCACGAGTTCAGGAGATCAAGACCATCCTGGCTAATACGGTGAAACCCCGTCTCTACTAAAAATACAAAAACAATTTTTGCCTTTGCTGGGCATGGTGGCGGGCGCCTATAGTCCCAGCTCCTCGGGAGGCTGAGGCGGGAGAATGGCGTGAACCCAGAAGGCGGAGCTTGCAGTGAGCCCAGGTCGCGCCACGTCACTCCAGCCTGGGCGACAGAGCAAGACTCCGTCTCAAAAACAAAAACAAAAACAAAACAAACAAAAAAGGAAAGGGCAAAGTCCACATGCTGAAGCAAGAGGGACTGCTGGACTTAGAAAGTTGGAGAAATAGGTGGGCCCAGGATAATATTGGTGAGAAGGCTGCTTTTTGTTGATTTAGTTACAGAGCTCTTGAGCTCATCATGAATAGAATTAGGGTTGATGCAGAGCGGCTATAAGCATAGACTTGGGAGCCAGGCTGATTGGGAATATAAGTCCCAGCTTCACCTTTTATGAGCTCTATGATCCTGGACACTCCACCTCTTACTATTCAGTTTTCTCATCTGGGAAAAACCGATAACAGTACTGAAATCCTAGGATTCAGAAGAGTTCAAGGATTAACTCAGGTTAAGATAAGTGAAACAAGGGAGAAGCAACTGTTCAGACAAGAAATAAAAGGAAATTGACAAGGATTTCAATTTGAATCTAAGAATCATTTAGGGTATCTGTTACAATTTTAGATTCCCAGGCCTCAGCCCCAGGAATTGAGATTCATTAGTTCTGGGGCCCAAAAGGCTGTTTTATAAAAAGAAACTTAGAAAAAGTCACCAAAATAACTCAGTTTCTGTATGCCCTTACCAGTTCCCCACTAATGTGAACATCTCGTGTTGACATGGTACATTTGTTAAAACTAAAAAGTCAAGGTTGACACATTACTACTAACTCCAGACTTCATCAGGTTTTCCACTCATGTTCTTTACCTGTCCCAGGATCAAATCCAGGATACCATACTGCATTTAGAGAAGCTGCATTTTTCACAAGCTCTTTCAGCTGCTAAGAGGGAGGTGGGTGGGGATCACATCTTGAAAAACATTGGGACCTTTAGAGGAATGAACCAAAATTGCTGCATCCCCAAGTTGAGGAGGTGAAATGCAATTTTGAAGAGGAGAATTGGTGGAGGAGATGAATATAGAGGGCTGATTTTAGAGGTAGAGATGGAATCCTCTCCATTAGATGAGAGGGTGTTACCTTCAGAACAAGGCATCAATGCCAGAGAAAATAGGTTTTGGAAGGAAAGGGTACAACCTCATCCTCAGGCTAGATTGAGAATACATGAGTAGGGTTGTGAGTAGGTCAGAATCAGCAAGTGCAGCAAATTGGGAACAGGTATTTCAGAGAACCCACACAGAAGGCTCACATAAAGGGAATTACAAGGGGTCAGTTAGCTTGCAAGCTACATACAACCCGGATGTTCCAGAACCTGGTGCTGATGCTTTGGCAGTGGGTCACAATGACAAACATCAAGCACTGCCACACTGGAAAGTAGCAGAAAAGGTAAGGGTGAGGCTGGAATAATCTATTTTGTTTAAGGAGGGTTCTAAGAGTCTTGGGTGAAACAGGGGTTGGAAGAAGAGGTGGATAAAACACTTGAAGCTCTGCTTGTGAGTCAGTTGTCACACTGAGGAGACACAGGAGTCACCAGCTTGAGGTGACAGGTAAAGGTTTGTAGAATTGAGAAGCTAAAGATGAAGCAATATATTTTTTTAAGAAGCAAGCAGCCTATTTTGGGTATCCATAGAGGTATTTTGAAGGAGATACCACTCATATTTTACTAAAGACCTTAGGTTCTGGGACTGTCACTGAGTTTTCCTAATCACAGTCCAATTGTTCAGCTTCCTTACACCAGTTATAAGAGTCACCTAACCTGTTCCTTTTTAAAGAATGTTAACCATTTTCCAATGGACTCAAGATTCTTATAACGTCTATACCACTTTTCTTTCCCAGTTAGTTGTTCTTGCTGTACCCTGGAAATCCTAAACCACAAGATGATATTCCTTAAATTTCACATTAAGTACATGTTCCGTCACTGGCCAAATGCATTTTTTGTGTTAATTCTTTTTTTATATACACATATTTTCCATTATACTTTAAGTTCTAGGGTACATGTGCACAACTTGCAGGTTTGTTACATATGTATATGTGTGCCATGTTGGTGTGCTGCACCCATTAACTCATCATTTACATTAGGTATACCTCCTAAGGCTATCCCTCCCCACTCCCCCCACCACACAACAGTCCCCAGAGTGTAATGTTCCCCTTCCTGTGTCCAAGTGTTCTCATTGTTCAATTCCCACCTATGAGAACATGTGGTGTTTGGTTTTTTATCCTTGCAATAGTTTGCTGAGAATGATGGTTTCCAACTTCATCCATGTCCCTCTAAAGGACATGACCTCATCATTTTTTAAGGCTGCATAGTACTCCATGGTATATATATGCCACATTTTCTTAATCCAGTCTATCACTGTTGGACATTTGGGTTGGTTCCAAGTCTTTGCTATTGTGAATAGTGCCACAATAAACATACGTGTGCATGTGTCTTTATAGCAGCATGATTTATAATCCTTTCGGTATATACCCAGTAATGGGATGGCTGGGTCAAATGGTATTTCTAGTTCTAGATCCCTGAGGAATCGCCACACTGTCTTCACAATGGTTGAACTAGTTTACACTCCCACCAACAGTGTAAAAGTGTTCCTATTTCTCCACATCCTCTCTAGCACCTGTTGTTTCCTGACTTTTTAATGATCACCATTCTAACTGGTGTGAGATGGTATCTCATTGAGGTTTTGATTTGCATTTCTCTGATGGCCAGTGATGATGAGCATTTTTTCATGTGTCTTTTGGCTGCATAAATGTCTTCTTTTGAGAAGTGTCTGTTCATATCCTTTGCCCACTTTTTGATGGGGTTATTTTCTTCTTGTAAATTTGTTTGAGTTCTTTGTAGATTCTGGATATTAGCCCTTTGTCAGATGAGTAGATTGCAAAAATTTTCTCCCATTCTGTAGGTTGCCTGTTCACTCTGATGGTAGTTTCTTTTGCTGTGCAGAAGCTCTTTAGTTTAATTAGATCCCATTTGTCAATTTTGTCTTTCGTTGCCATTGCTTTTGGTGTTTTAGACATGAAGTCCTTGCCCATGCCTATGTCCTGAATGGTATTGCCTAGGTTTTCTTCTAGGGTTTTTATGGTTTCAGGTCTAACATTTAAGTCTTTAATCCATCTTGAATTAATTATTGTATACGATGTAAAGAAGGGATCCAGTTTCAGCTTCCTCCATATGGCTAGCCAGTTTTCCCAGCACCATTTATTAAATAGGGAATCCTTTCCCCATTTCTTGTTTTTGTCAGGTTTGTCAAAGATCAGATGGTTGTAGATGTGTGGTGTTATTTCTGAGGGCTCTGTTTTGTTCCATTGGTCTATATCTCTGTTTTGGTACCAGTACCATGCTGTTTTGGTTACTGTAGCCTTGTAGTATAGTTTGAAGTCAGGTAGCATGATGTCTCCAGCTTTGTTCTTTTGGCTTAGGATTGTCTTGGCAATGCGGGCTCTTCTGTGGTTCCACATGAACTTTAAAGTAGTTTTTTCCAATTCTGTGAAGAAAGTAATTCGTAGCTTGATGGGAATGGTGCTGAATCTATAAGTTGCCTTGGGCAGTATGGCCATTTTCACGATATTGATTCTTCCTATCCATGAGCATGGAATGTTCTTCCATTTGTTTCTGTCCTCTTTTATTTCATTGAGCAGTGGTTTGTTGTTCTCCTTGAAGAGGTCCTTACATCCCTTGTAAGTTGGATTCCTAGGTATTTTAATCTCTTTGAAGCAATTGTGAATGGGAGTTCACTCATGATTTGGCTCTCTGTTTGTCTGTTATTGGTGTATAAGAATGCTTGTGATTTTTGCAAATTGATTTTGAATCCTGAGATTTTGCTGAACTTGCTTATCAACTTAAGGAGATTTTCAGCTGAGATGATGGGGTTTTCTAGATATACAATCATGTCATCTGCAAACAGGGACAATTCGACTTCCTCTTTTCCTAATTGAATACCCTTTATTTCTTTCTCCTGCCTGATTGCCCTGGCCGGAACTTCCAACACTATGTTGAATACGAGTGGTGAGAGAGGGCATCCCTGTCTTGTGCCAGTTTTCAAAGGGAATGCTTCCACTTTTTGCCATTCAGTATGATGTTGGCTATGGGTTTGTCATAGATAGCTCTTATTATTTTGAGATATGTCCCATGAATACCTAATTTATTGAGAGTTTTTAGCATGAAGGTTGTTGAATTTTGTCAAAGGCCTTTTCTGCATCTATTGAGATAATCATGTGGTTTTTGTCTTTGGTTCTGTTTATATGCTGGATTATGTTTATTGATTTGCATATGTTGAACCAGCCTTGCATCCCAGGGATGAAGCCCACTTGATCATGGTGGATAAGCCTTTTGATGTGCTGCTGGATTTGGTTTGCCAATATGTTATTGAGGATTTTTGCACTGATGTTCATCAGAGATATTGGTCTAAAATTCTCTTTTTTTGTTGTGTCTCTGCCAGGCTTTGGTATCAGGATGATGGTGGCCTCATAAAATGAGTTAGGGAGGATTCCCTCTTTTTCTATTGATTGGAATAGTTCAGAAGGAATGGTACCAGCTCCTCCTTGTACCTCTGGTAGAATTTGGCTGTGAATCAGTCTGGTCCTGGACTTTTTTTGGTTGGTAGGCTATTAATTATTGCCTCAATTTCAGAGCCTGCTATTGGTCTATTCAGAGATTCAACTTCTTCCTGGTTTAGTCTTGGGAGGTTGTATGTGTTGAGGAATTTATCCATTTCTTCTAGATTTTCAAGTTTATTTCCATAGAGGTGTTTATAATATTCTCTGATGGTAGTTTGTATTTCTGTGGGATCAGTGGTGATATACCCTTTATCATTTTTTATTGTGACTCTTTGATTCTTCCCTCTTTTCTTCTTTATTAGTCTTGCTAGCAGTCTATCAATTTTGTTGACCTTTTCAAAAAACCAGCTCCTGGATTCACTGATTTTTTGAAGGGTTTTTTGTGTCTCTATCTCCTTCAGTTCTGCTCTGATCTTAGTTATTTCTTGCCTTCTGCTAGCTTTTGAATGTGTTTGCTCTTGCTTCTCTAGTTCTTTTAATGGTAATGTTAGGATGTCAATTTTAGATCTTTCTTGCTTTCTCTTGTGGGCATTTAGTGCTGTAAATTTCCCTCACACACTGCTTTAAATGTGTCCCAGAGATTCTGGTATGTTGTGTCTTTGTTCTCATTGGTTTCAAAGAACATCTTCATTTCTGCCTTCATTTCGTTATGTACCTCGTAGTCATTCAGTAGCAGGTTGTTCAGTTTCCATGTAGTTGAGCAGTTTTGAGTGAGGTTCTTAATCCTGAGTTCTAGTTTGATTGCACTGTGGTCTGAGAGACAGTTTGTTATAATTTCTGTTCTTTCACATTTGCTGAGGAGTGCTTTACTTCCAACTATTGGTCATTTTTGGAATACGTGTGGTGTGGTGCTGAAAAGAATGTATATTCTGTTGATTTGGGGTGGAGAGTTCTGTAGATGTCTATTAGGTCCACTTGGTGCAGAGCTGAATTCAATTCCTGGATATCCTTTTTAACTTTCTGTCTCGTTGATCTGTTTAATGTTGACAGTGGGTTTTTAAAGTCTCCCATTACTACTGTGTGGGAGTCTAAGTCTCTTTGTAGGTCTCTAAGGGCTTGCTTTATGCATCTGCGTGCTCCTGTATTGGGTGCATATGTATTTAGGATAGTTAGCTCTTCTTGTTGAATTGATCCCTTTACCGTTATGTAATGGCCTTCTTTGTCTCTTTTGATCTTTGTTGATTTAAAGTCTGTTTTATCTGAGACTAGGATTGCGACCACTGCCTTTTTTTGTTTTCCATTTGCTTGGTAGATCTTCCTCCATCCCTTTATTTTGAGCCTATGTGTGTCTCTGTCTGTGCGATGGGTCTCCTGAATACAGCACACTGATGGGTCTTGACTCTTTATCCAATTTGCCAGTCTGTGTCTTTAAATTGGAGCATTTAGCCCATTTACATTTAAGGTTAATATTGTTATGTGTGAATTTGATCCTGTCATTATGATGTTAGCTGGTTATTTTGCTCATTAGTTGATGCAGTTTCTTCCTAGCCTCGATGGTCTTTACAATTTGGCATGATTTTGCAGTGGCTGGTACCGGTTGTTCCTTTCCATGTTTAGTGCTTCTTTCAGGAGCTCTTTTAGGGTAGGCCTGGTGGTGACAAAATCTCTCAGCATTTGCTTGTCTGTAAAGGATTTTATTTCTCCTTCACTTATGAAGCTTAGTTTGGCTGGATATGAAATTCTGGGTTGAAAATCCTTTTCTTTAAGAATGTTGAATATTGGCCCCCACTCTCTTCTGGCTTGTAGAGTTTCTGCTGAGAGATCTGCTGTTGGTCTGATGGGCTTCCCTTTCTGGGTAACCTGACCTTTCTCTCTGACTGCCCTTAACATTTTTTCCTTCATTTCAACTTTGGTGAGTCTGAAAATTATTTGCCTTGGAGTTGCTCTTCTTGAGGAGTATCTTTGTGGAGTTCTCTGTATTTCCTGAATTTGAATGTTGGCCTGCCTTGCTAGGTTGGGGAAGTTCTCATGGATAATATCCTGCAGAGTGTTTTCCAACTTGTTTCCAGTCTCCCCGTCACTTTCAGGTACACCAATGAGACGTAGATTTGGTCTTTTCACATAGTCCCATATTTCTTGGAGGCTTTGTTCATTTCTTTTTACTCTTTTTTCTCTAAACTTCTTTTCTCGCTTCGTATCATTCATTTGATCTTCGATCACTGATACCCTTTCTTCCAGGTGATCAAATTGGCTACTGAAGCTTGTGCATTCATCATGTAGTTCTTATCCCATGGTTTTCAGCTCCAGCAGGTCCTTTAAGGACTTCTCTTCATCGGTTATTCTAGTTAGCCATTTGTTTAATCTTTTTTGAAGGTTTTTAACTTCTTTGCAATGGGTTCAAACTTCCTCCTTTAGCTTGGAGAAGTTTGATCGTCTGAAGCCTTCTTCTCTCAACTCATCAAAGCCATTCTCCATCCAGCTTTGTTCCTTTGTTGGTGAGGAGCTGCATTCCTTTGGAGGAGGAGAAGCACTCTGATTTTTAGAATTTTCAGTTTTTCTGTTCTGTTTTTTCCCCATCTTTGTGGTTTTATCTACCTTTGGTCTTTGATGATAGTCACATACAGATGAGGTTTTGGTGTGAATGTCCTTTCTGTTTGTTAGTTTTCCTTTTAACAGTCAGGACTCTCAGCTGCAGGTCTGTTGGGGTTTGCTTGATGTCCACTCCAGACCCTGTTTGCCTGGGTATCAGCAGCAGAGGCTGCAGAACAGCGAATATTGCTGAACAGCAAATGTTGCTGTCTGATTGTTCCTCTGGAAGGTTTTTCTCAAAGGGGTACCCGGCCATGTGAGGTGTCAGTCTGCCCCTACTGGGTGATGCCTCCCAGAAAGGCTAGTCAGGTGTCAGGGATCCACTTAAGGAGGCAGTCTGTCCGTTCTCAGATCTCAAACTCCGTGCTGGGAGAACCACTACTCTCTTCAAAGCTGTCAGACAGGGACATTTGAGTCTGCAGAGGTTTCTGCTGTCTTTTGTTCAGCTATGCCCTGCCCCCAGAGGTGGAGTCTACAGAGGCAGGCAGGCGTCCTTGAGCTGTGGTGGGCTCCACCCAGTTCAAGCTTCCCAGCCGCTTTGTTTACCTACTCAAGCCTCAGCAATGACGGGCCCCCCTCCTCCAGCCTTGCTGCTGCCTTGCAGTTCAATCTCAGACTGCTGTGCTAGCAATGAGCGAGGCTCCATGGGTGTGGGACCCTCCGAGCCATGTGCGGGATATAATCTCCTGGAGTGCTGTTTGCTAAGAGCATTGGAAAAGCACAGTATTAGGGTGGGATTGACCCGATTTTCCAGGTGCCATCAGACCCAGCTTTGCTTGGCTATGAAAGGGAATTCCCCTGAAGCCTTGTGCTTCCCGGGTGAGGCGATGTCTCACCCTGCTTCGGCTCATGCTGGGTGCACTGCACCCACTGTCCTGCACCCACTGTCTGACAAGCCCCAGTGAGATGAACCCGGTACCTCAGTTGGAAATGCAGAAATCACCCATCTTCTGCATTGCTCACACTGGGAGCTGTAGACTGGAGCTATTCCTATTCGGCCGTCTTGGAACCACCCCCTCACCAAATGCATTTAAGAGTTCAATAGACGCAAGGTGCAGTGGCTCACACCTGTAATTCCAGCACTTTGGGAGGCTGAGGTGGGTGGATCACAAGGTCAGGAGTTCGAGACCAGCCTGGCCAATATGGTGAAACCCTGTCTCTACTAATAATACAAAAATTAGCTGGTCATGGTGGTGGGCACTTATAGTCCCAGCTACTCGGGAGGCTGAGGCAGGAGAATCGCTTGAACCTGTGAGGCAGAGGTTGCAATGAGCCGAAATTTCACCACTGCACTCCAGCCTTGGTGACACAGCTAGACTCCATCTCAAAAAAAAAAAAAAAAAAAAAAGAGTTCAGTAGAAATTGCCTTAGAAACCTGTATCCTAGGGGGCAGGCTTTAGTGAAGGGCTCCTAGATCTTTTGCATTACTTGCTGGCAGAATGTTCCCAACTGGGCAAATAAATGTCTGGCCATTAGACTTAAGGTCATCTAATCCTTAACTTGATAGATTCTGGTTGTTCTCTACAAATTTGCATAGAAACTGGCACTTACCTGGGAGATTTCTCTGCCAGCTGTCAAAGATATAGTTCCATATTCAAGGATGCTGTGTGAGGAAAAAATGAAGCCACAGAAATCTTAAATGTGGTTAGGGAAAGGGCTGGGTGATAAAAGATTCTAGCTAACCAGCACACTGCGCAAAATTAGTTTCCAGAAACACTGCATAACCTGAATACAGAATCAAGAGTAATTTGGTTTTTGGTTAAGATTGGCTTTGGCATGTTTTTTTTAAACCAAGGAATAGTGTATTTGGAAATGTGGGAAAACTACATTAAAAAAAAAAACTGAACCTTGAGTTGTAGTAAAATCAGGATTTAGTGTTGTTTGATTTCAGTAACGTATGGGCATCTAGGTTACATAAAAAGAAAATGTGAATAAAAGACCAGGAAAATTTCTCTACAAACATTGAGCCCTAAGATTAGATAGTTCATCTCAAAATAAACTATATTAAACTGCCAATAGGCAACTGCTTTTGTGCTACAAAAATGACTGTTTCACTTGGTTCAAATACATATTTCAGATCTTTGTCTTTTCTTTGTATTGAAGATGTAAAAGTGTTAGTTCATGCTCTACCAGAGTAAAATTTCACTGGTGTCTGTATTACAGACATTAAAATAACCCAAAAAGTCAAAGTAAATTTGAGCTTTGGTACTCAGATAATCCTTTTCATAGTCATATGTTAAAGAACTAATCTTTCCCAGGTATCAAACTCTATGAAAACTGCCATCGTTACCACCTACTAGCAACTTAGTTTCCATGCCCCATAACATTTGTTGGAGAACCTGCCCACTTTCAGTGACATTTATATTCTTATTCTAAGCTGACCCAATTTTTCATTTATCTAAATGACTGTATTCCCTTCTAGAATTCAAGCCAAAGGAGAGAACAATGTTAGTGTTCCTTATTCTATTGATTTTCTCACTATGCCACTAAGTATTGTGGCCAGGGGGTTATTTTAAGCGTAATAAATTATCTTAAAATTGAGGGCCAGTCATGGTGGCTCATGCCTGTAATCCTAGCACTTTGGGAGGCCGAGGCGGGTGGATTGCCTGAGGTCAGGAGTTTGAGACCAGCCTGGGCAACATGGTGAAACCTGGTCTCTACTAAAATACAAAAAATCAGCTGAGCGTGGCAGCGTGCACCTGCAGTCCCAACCTGGGCAACAGAGCTAGACTGCATCTCAAAAAAAAAAAAAAAAAAAAGAGAAAACAAGTATTACATCTTAAATACAGGCATGGATTAAACCAACTTGTGTATGGTCACGGCAACTTACAAAAATGCTTTAAGCCATATCAGTACTGATTTAAACCATTTAAGTTAGGCAGAGATGCAACACTATGTGAATAGAAGTGTTATAAACACACTCACCACATTTTAATTAAATAATTTACTAGGTTTTCTTTTAATATAAACATGAGAAATGAAAACCACATCAGTTGTAGCATTTATCTTTTGAAAATAAAACTGCAATCAATACTTCAATCTCTAAGCTCTGCATTCCATAAGTGATACTTTTTCAGGAGGTAGGGTTCCTAAGGTTTATGGAAGTTCTTTTTAAATAGCAGGACATGAAATATGATACCTGCACTCAGGCTAACATGTGGGATAATAAAATGTATTACATCACCTACTACTATTGGGGTCCAATTCCTTCTAATTCGTTACATGTGAATTAACACAGATCCTCCTCTTTATCACATCTAGGGAAAATAATTTGAGGTGATCATTGCAGATAAAAGCCTTGCAAAGAGCTACTTTACAAGAGAAAAGGGCACTTTGTAAAAACACAAGAATTCCAAAAGTCTTAGTGTAATTTTAAGCTTTGATCCTTGTAAAAGTAACAATGCTAGAAATATTTACAAAACATAATTGAAAAGCTTGTTGTATTTCTTTTACGTTTATTTAGTTTTGCCATTTTTTAAGGTGACACGGTCTCATTAAGTTGCCAAGGCTGGAGTGCAATGGCTATTTACAGGCACAATCACAGTGCACTGCAGCCTCCAAGGTTAGGCCTCAAGTGATCCTCCCATTTAAGCCTCGTGAGTAGCTGGGACTACAAGCATGCCTAGCTCCTGAATATTAAGCTTTTAATTTTTTGTTTCAGTCCTTCTTGAAGATAGCAGATATTGACTGAAACAAAAAGTTAAAAGCTTAACATTCAAATTCTGTAAAATAAAGCCAGAGGTGGTGGTACACACCTATGGTCCCAGTTACCTGGTAGGCTGACATGGGAAGATTGCTTGAGGCCAGGATTTTCAGGCTGTGGTGCGTTATGATTGTGTCTCTGATTACTCATTGCACTGTAGCTTGGGCAATATAGCGAGGCACCATCTGTTAAAAAGAAGAAATACAATTACACTTTCAAATGATATTTTGTAAAGATTTACAGCATGTATACATATGCTGCAGTCCTCTGGAGGGCCCAGGCACACTATATTAAAGCTAAAAACTGCCCTGAAAGTTTCAGGGTACCTCATATTTTATTATTTTTATATAACCACTGGACCACCATTCTGCTTGGCACTGTGAAAACATCTTTGAACACATTTACTTAACAATAAGAAACTTTATCAGCAAATGAGAACCATTATAGTTCACAAGAAATACACTATAGACCTTCATAAAAGTAGATAATCAATAACCAATACTTTCTCTTTTTATGACCCTAAACATGCTAAACTGCTAATAAGAAGGGCTTACAAAGGATATGAATGGCAAATGCTGTCTGGCAGCTTTTGCTTGATGATCGCCAGTAACTAGTAGCTTCCATGGTAAAAGTAGGAAGGAAGAGCCCTTCCATACCTGACAATGTTGGGTCTGCTCCTAGTGGCTTTAGGAATTGTTAGACTCCCATGTTTTAACAGTGATACTGCACTGATTCCAAATGTGTATGCAGCAATATTGGGGAAAAGAGAAAACATAAAAGAAACAGAAAAGTTATCTTTAAAATCTAAAAAGTTAAACTATTGTTTTAAAAGCCTTACGTAGTTCACAGCTATCAGTCCACATACTAAGCAAATATCTGTGTGTGGGTAGAAGGAGTCTTCACTTTGGAGTGGTTTTTATAACTCTGTTTACATTAAATGGGACAGAAGAATGTAAGAGTGTGTTGTTGCCCTGACAAGGTCCCATTCTTTACTATGAAGTGCCATTTAGTTGTCCTTGAGTTAACTTGAATTGAGGTGTTTCTTCTTTTGAAAATATCAACTTTTCTAGTTCTTTAGCAGGAGAGGTGATATTTTCCTGCCTTTTTTGATGAGAGGTTCAGATCACATCAAAATGAGGGTTTACACTACCCTTCTTTTCTTCCTTCAGAAGAGGATGGCCTTAGCACGCTGAAAATGAATTAAATCATCAGCACTCAAAGACCTGTTCTTGGCAGCACTATAGAAAACTTTGTCTTGTTCCATCCTTGAAAAAGCCTAAGAATGTCAAATAGAAAAGAGGTACAATTTTAAAAAGGGTTCCAACCTTTTAACTATCACCACTGATGACAAGCCATGCATGCAAACTCCTTCAGATAGCTCAGTTACAGCTACCTTTTTTTTTTTTTTTGAGAAGGACTCTTGCTCTGTCACCCAGGCTGAAGTGCAATGGCACAATCTTGGCTCACTGCAACCTCCGCCTCCCAGGTTCAAGCAATTCTCTGCCTCAGCCTCCCGAGTAGCTGGGATTATAGGTGCCAGCTAATTTTCATATTTTTAGTAACAACGGGGTTTCACCAGCTTGGCCAGGCTGGTCTTGAACTCCTCACATCATGATCCACCCGCCGCGGCCTCCCAAAGTGTTGGAATTACAGGCATGAGTCACAGTGCCTGGCCCAGTTATAGCTACTTGGCTGAGGTTTACACCGCCAAGTTCTGTCAACTCGCTAAGATAATCTCCTTTCAGGGCTAGAATTAGATTGCTGGAGCAAAGGGGAACTTGTTTTATTAAGTTACTTAAAAATTGGGCACCCAAAGATGTCACAGTATTGTGACAGGCTTCTAAGAGCAGTATCATCTGTTACCTGTGTACTTGTTCCTTAAGCATAATGAATGTACACTTTTGCAAAAAGTTAGTTTATTAATCTATTCAAACTCTACCCAATCTATAGTAGTTATTATATACTCAAAGCAAATTTTAATGATGCAGGCATGTGCTGGATTGTATTGGAACATCAAAGAAGTCTAATGACTAAAGCATCAAAAGGCACTACTTCACTTGCACATTAATTATGATAGAAAATGTATTATTTTAAAATACTTCCAAGGTACCACAGAACATGCCTATTTTAAATGCTCGTCCTTGTCAGCTGTAACTTTGCTGTGTACTTACCAAAAGTCACAAGCCATAAATATTACTTTGTCCCATAAAAGTTATTTCCAGTAAAATCCCATGTACTTTCTGCATCCAGTACTTGAGACACACACACCTTATACAGTCTAAGTGCAGGTCTCTTGGCTTAGGCACTAATGCTTTTTCTAACAAACCCATGGGACTGACTGCACTGTGGTATATACAGTAGAAAATGACATAAATTTGCAAACTGAATAATAAAAAATAGTCAAGAGTGGTAAGTGCATTATGTATGTAGACATTGCTCAGAATACAATAACAAGAAATCATTTACATATGATTATTTGAAAGGGTAAAGGTTCAAAAAGGAAAGATTACAAATGAATTAAATTTGATTAAAATATTCTGAATTAAGGTCATAAAAGGGAAGATAATAGCTATAATTTTCAAATAATGTGGATCCTTGTAAAAACCATAAAATATACAGGAAATAGAACGCCAAAAAGTAACAAGATCTTCAGTATGTTAGTTAATTTTGAAGCTTTCCATTTTTCTAATCACTGCTTAATATGACCTAGTCACAGATGTTGGCATTGGTGTTTGACTGAAAACCCACTTAGTAACTTCGTAGCCTTACCTCCAGCTTCCATGCTCTTTCTCTGTCAAGAAGATAAACTAGCGAATACAGGCTGTTGTCATGTGCCATGGTTCGAAGATTGAAGTAGAATCTGCTATAAACACTGCCAGTAACGCTGATATTGTAATTAATTAGCTTCAAGAATTCCCTTTCCAACTCATTCCTGGGGAAGGAGAAACACAACAAAACCAACACAGGACAATGTTAGTTCAAAAACATTATTCTCATGTAAAAAATGTGGCAAAGGCATCATGTGCTCTACTTTATTAGAACACATGAAAGAACTCACACTGTACAGAACCCTATCGATCTAAGAAATACAAGAAAGCATGCAACTTTCCCAGTTCTCTTTGAAAACTTAGAAAAACAAAAACAACATGAATGTAAAAACTGTGTTAATAAACTTGATTTTCCCACGTGCTTTCAAAGACATATTCGAATTTAATATGGAGAAAATTGACATAATCTTAAGAAACACAGTAAAGCCTTCAGCTTTTTCATTTCTTTGAAAATATGAAAGGATTCAATGGAGAAAACCCTTATAAATACAAACATCCGTGGTAAGGTCTTCAGTTGTTCCAGTTCCACATGAAGATAAGAACTCATTTCTGAAATAAAACCTATGAATGTATAGAATGTGGAAATGCCTTCATTTACATGATATTTGCTCCAAGATCCATGATAACACACTGTAGAAAGACCTTCTAAATATAAGAAAGCATACTGGATTGGAACCCCAGTAGATTACCAAATACAGAAAAGTTTTCAGTTTTAACAATTTCTTCAACATTTATATGAAAATTTCTCCTACAGGGAAACCCTCTCAGTGTTGTGAAACTGGAGAGCCTGATGCAAACTGATTATGGCATAATCTTTAAAAATGTGCATAAGTAAATGTTATACTACTTATAAATATTTTGTTTCTCAGTGATTCTTCATTTGAAAGGGTCTCTGTCCTTACTTCCACTTCTTTTGTAAGAAAACATTGAAGTCAGAATTTTGTAGATACTCCTTAAACAATATTAAATGAATTTAATAGGCAGTGTTTTTTGTTAAGTCAGTTAATAAAATTTTTTTCTGTTTATTTAAAAATATCACACTGAGCTATTAGGATAGCTCCAAATTCTTTTTTGAAACAAATACAGGCTATGCGGGTGGATTCCTACACTAATGTCCAAAGAGGGCACAGCTGCTTGCAGTCCATTCTGCATCTAGCACCCCAAGTTTGGGTTGAGGAGAAAGGCGACACCCTTCTCTGCCCTCGTGCAGCTGACTCAGGGCTCATTCTTGAGGGTTCTATTGCACAACTCAGACTCCATGCTCACTCCCAAGGCATCACAATAGTGATCAGATGACAGAAATGATGGATGCCATTTATTATCTGTCACTATTACGGTGCAGGAATACTCTTTACACTTCAGATGGTAGAAAGATCAAAGAGAAACACCTTGGCTAGATTAAACCCCTTTTATGACATGCCTTTTGCTAGGATGCTGGCCTTACACAGTGTTTCTCCTGAGTTGGAAATGAAACCCCAAGGTGCTCAGCATCTGTCACCCCTGGCCAGAACAGAATGTGGGGATGAGTTGAATGTACTGAGAGGGGAACAAGCTGGGAGCAGCCCTCTGCCACGTGATTATCCAGCTGTCCTGGCCAAAGATTTTTGTTTGTTTGTTTGTTTGTTTTGAGATAGGGTCTTTCTCTGTCACTCAGACTGAAGTGCAGTGGCATGATCCTAGCCTTTCAAGTAACTGGGACTACAGGTTCATGCTGGGCTATTTTTTTAAAATTCTTTTTGTAGAGACAGGGTCTCACCTGTTGCCCAGGCTGGTGTTAAACTCCTGTGATCAAGTGATACTCCCACCTTGGCCTCCCAAATTGCTGGTATTACAGACATGAGCCACTGTGTCCAGCACTTTGTCAAATGTTTAAATAAATATAGAACTAGAGTAATCTTACCACTTTCATAGTAATCCCTGTAAAGACTTAACTTTATAAAAACAATTAATACCTCAACAACATATTTGGTTTCTTGGTTTTAAAGTTTTATCCATTAGCTAAGTCAACAAATGCTTGATATTCTCTGGTATGGAAAGCAGTTAGGATATAAGCAGATATGTGGTTTTCTCATTTGTTTAACTGAAAACCCCACTGAAACTACTTCTAATATTACTTTCCTATTCATATAACCATAAGACTATAGGAATGTAAATCATATAATGCTTTAATAATCAGCTAATCAGGACTTAATTTACTATAGAAATATATGTACCTCATAATCTCATGTTTTTCCGTAAACATATTTTAAATGTGTAAAATACAGTATTTTATATAATTAACATGTTTATTAATAGAGGCTTAGTTATTGAAGAAAGCCATTATGCCTTACAGGATATGTATCTTCTTAGTTTTTTGTTGTTTTTTAAATGGCTGAATAGCATACCCTTTATAGGCACAGCACATTTTCTGAATAGGAGCTGCTCAGTTTAACTTATATGTATGTGTGTGTATGTGTGTGTGTATGTGTATAAATACATATAAAATCCTCCTAGCTTAGCTCCCACCCGTAAGTGAGAACACGTGATATTTGGTTTTCCATTCCTGAGTTACTTCACTTAGAATAATGGCATCCAGCTCCATTCAAGTTGCTGCAAAGGCCATCATTTTATTCTGTTTTATGGCTCAGCAGTATTCCATGGTGTATATATTCCACACTTTATTTACCCATTCATTGATGGACATTCCACATTTTTGCAATTGCAAATTGTGCTGCTACCAACACGCATGTGCATGTGTCTTTTTCATATGACTTTTGCTTTGGGTAGATACCCAGTGTGAGATTGCTGGATTGAATGGCAGTACTGTTTTCCATAGTGGTTGTACTAGTTTACATTCCTATCAGCAGTGTCAGTGTTCCCTTTTCACCAAGTCCATACCAACATGTATGATTTTTTCAATTTTTAAATTATGGCCATTCTTGCAGGAGTAAGGTGGTATCACACTGTGGTTTTTATTTTCATTTCCCTGAAAATTAGTGACGTTTCTGAAGGAAAATGTATTCTAACAAGACAAACAGATGTTGAAAAGTTTTAAGAAAAATCTGATAAACACTAATTTTTAAATGGTTCAATTCACAGTCCAAAAGAGATCATTACAATCAACAGCAGAGGGACAAGATAAATGTACATTACACACTTTGTTGCAACGTTTTACAGTTTCTGCTCAGAGCATAGATCTGGGTGCTTCTGCATTCACAAACAGCATTGTGTAGAACTGGAGCTGGCTTCTGCCACCACTGCTTCTGGAGCTCACATCTGTGGAAACCTGCACATTTCTCTGGATATTCTCTGACCTTGTAACTAGAACTAGAGCCCCACTGGATTAGCTGAAGGTTTTGAAAACAATTTAGCTGCCTTATAGCAGAGCTAAGTGTTCATAATTACAAATTTTGCTCCCTTCAAGAAACCAGTGTACAGACTGATTACAGTAGTGATTAAGAGCACTTTAGCTTCTGCAACTTTCAAAGTACTTCTATTTTTTTCAAATTCGTTTTCTGTTACATCCTTTGCTAAAATGGCTACTAGCAATATCACCGTGACAACTCAGTTTCTACTATTAGCAAAGCAGTAATTTAGCAGCCATTTCAAAACCAACTGACCATCACTAGTGAGTCTCTTCTTAGTCACAAGAATCCTCAATTCACTTGTAAATATACAATGTAGTAATTCTGAATGAAAGTCTTTAAAAATGTTTTTGGGGTATATTATAGGTGTATATATTTATGTGGTATATAAAATATTTTGATGACTATGACGTGTAATAATCACATCAGGGTAAATGAAGTATCCATCATGCCTCAAGCACATCTTTGTTTTACAAATATTTCAATTACACTCTTTTAGTTACTGTAAAATGTATGATTAAAAATTCTTGAGTGTTGTCACCCTGTTGTGCTATCAAATACTAGATCTTATTTTTTCTTTCTAACTACATGTGTGTACCTATTAACCATTTTACTCCTTATCCCCCATACTACTTTTACCAGCCTCTGCTAACAATTCTCCTACTCTATATCTTCATGAGTTAAATTGTTTGAGGCCAGGCACAGTGGCTCACACCTGTAATCCCAGCACTTTGGGAGGCCGAGGTGGGTGGGTCACAAGGTCAGGAGTTCGAGACCAGCCTGGCCAGCATGGTGAAACCTCATCACTACTAAAAATACAAAAATTAGCTGGGCATAGTGGCACGCGCCTGTAATCCCAGCTACTTGGGAGGCAGAGGTAGGAGAATTGCTTGACCCCAGGAGGCGGAGGTTGCAGTGAGCCGCCGTAGTGCCACTGCACTCCAGCCTGGGTGACAGAGCAAGACTCCATCTCAAAAAACAAACAAACAAACAAAAAACTGTCTTAATTTTTAGCTCCCACAAATAAGTGAGAACATGTGAAATTTGTTTTTCCGTGTGTGTCTGGCTTATTTCACTCAACATTTCCACCCATGTTCTTGCAAATAACAGGATCTCATTCTCTTTTATGGTTGAATAGTACTCCATTGTGTATATGTACCACATTTTCTTTAGCCACTCATCTGTTGATGGAACCTCAGAATGCTTCCAAATCTTGGCTGTTGTGAATAGTGCTGCAATATACATGAGAGTGCAGGTATCTCTCTGTTATACCGATTTCCTTTCTTTTGCATATATACCCAGCACTAGGATTGCTGGATCATATGGTAGTTCTATTTTTAGTTTTGAGGACCTCCAAACATTTCTCCATAGTGGTTGTACTTAAATTACATTCCCACTAACAGTGTATGAGGGTTACCTTTTCTCTATATCCTCACCAGATTTGTTATTGGCTATCTTTAGAATAAAAGCCATTTTAAGTGGGGTGAGATGATCTCTCATTGTAATTTTGATTTGCATTTCTCTGATCAATGATATTGATGTTGAGTATCTTTTCATATACCTATCTGCTATTTGTATGCCCTTCTTAGTTTTGAAACAGGATCTCACTTTGTCAGTCAGGTTGGAGTGCAGTGGCACAATCACAGCACACTGCAGCCTCAACCTCCCAGGCTCAGGTAATTTTTGCACCTAAGCCTCCCAAACAGCTGAAACCACAGGCACGTGTCATCATGCCTGGCTAATGTGTCCTCTTTTGAGAAATGCCTATTCAGATATTTTGCCCATTTTAAAGATCAGATTATTAGATTTTTTTTCTATGGAGTTCTTTGAGCTTCTTAAATATTCTGGTAATTAATCCCTTGTCAGATAGTTTTCAAATAGCTTCCCCCATTCTGTGTGTTGTCTCTTCACTTAGTTGATTGTTTCCTTTGCTGTGCAGAAGCTTTTTAACTTGATGTGACCTAATTTTCCCATTTTTGCTTTGGCTGTCTGTGCTTATGAAATATTCAAGAAATATTTGCTGAGTCCAGTATTCCAGAGAGTTTTCCCAATGTTTTATTTGTTTCATATTTCAGGTCTTAGATTTAAATTTTTTTAATTTTTAATGTTTTAAAAAATAGAGACAGAATCTCACTGGTGTGCCCAGGCTGGTATTGAACTACCAGGCTCAAGCGATTCTTTTATCTCAGCCTACCAAAGTGCTGGGATTACAGGCGTGAGCCACTGCACCCAGCTGAGATTTAAATCTTTAATCCATTTTGATTTGATTTTTGTATGAGGTGAGAAATAGAGGTCTAGTTTCATTCCCCTGCGTATGAATATCCAGTTTTCCCACCACCAATTATTGACGAGACTGTCATTTTCCCATTGTATGTGCTTTGGCACCTTTGCTGAAAATGAGTTCACTGCAGATGTATAAACTGGTTTTTGGGTTTTCTATTCTGTTCCATTGGTTTATGTGTCTGTTTTTATGCCAGTGCCATGCTGTTCTGGTTACTATAGCTATAGAGTATAGTTTGAAATCAGATAATGTGATTCCTCCAGTTTTGTTTGTTTTCTGCTCAGGATAGCTTAGGATATTCTAAGTCTTTTGTAGTTACATATAAATTTTAGAATTCATTTTTTATTTCTATTTCTGTGAAGAATGTCATTGTTTTTTGCAGACTTGTGGAGGTACCACATTGGTGGTTTGAGATCACACCTGAAGGAATTCTTCTGAATTAGCAGACAGGGACTCACTTCCCTTACTTTCCCACAAATGAAGTCTCTCTGTTCTAGGCTGCCTGGAGCTCAGAGAGGAGCAATACAAGCACCCCTGTGGCCACCACCACTGGGACAGCACTAGGTCTAAAGCTGGCACAGCACTGTGGTGGGCCAAGGCCCACTGTAACAACTACCCGCTGCCACCTATTTTGCTCAAGGCCCTGGGGCTCTACAATTAGCAGGTAGTGAAGCCAGCCAGGCTTCTGTCCTTCCTTTAAGTGCAGTAAGTTCCTCTGGTCCCTGGGTGGGTTCAGAGGTGCTGTCTGGGAGCCAGGGCTGGAGTCATAAACCTTAGACATCTACCTGGTGTTCTGCTCTACCATGGCTGAGCTGGCACTGAATCCACTAGGCAAATCCATTCCCACTCTTCCCTCCCCTTTCCCCAGGCAGAGTAGTTTGTCCCCACGTACACCATCAACAGAGTCCCGTGGGGATTACTGTCAGGTCACCAGTGATGCTCACTCAATGCCCAAGCACTTCAGTCAGCTTGTGGTGAATGCTGCCTGGCCTGGAACTCAAACTTCAGGGCAGTGGGCTCCCCTCTGGTCCAGGGTAGGTCCAGAGATGCCATCCAAGAGCCAAGGCCTGAATCAGGGACTCCAACAGCCCACTTGGTACTCCTCTCCACTGTAGCTGAGCTGGTATCTAAGCTCAAGAAAAATCCTCTTAACTCTTCCCTCGGCTTTTCTCAAGCAGAGGGAGTCTCTCCTCACAGCCACCACAGCTGGGAATGTCCTGGGTCACACCTGCAGCAAGCACATCTCTGAGTCTCATTCAAGGGCCATGGCATGTACTACCTGGTCACCACTGATGATTCTTCAGGGCCCAAGGGCTCTTTCATTGGAAAGTGATGAATCCTGCCATTACTGAGTCCCTTTAAGGCAGCAAGTTCCCTTCTGGCCCAAGGTTTGTCTAGAGATGTTATCCTGAAGCTGGGACCTGAAATGGGGGTCTCATGACTCTGACCAGTGCCCTCTCCTACTGTGGCTGAGCTAGTATCCAAGTTGCAAGACAAAGTCCTCTTTCCTCCCCTCAAGCAGAAGAAAGAGGTCTCTGTCAGAGCTGTGAGTTGCACTGTCTAGGATTGGAGGAAGGGTGGGCAAGCACTCCCTAGCTGCCCCAGCTGCTGTCTCTGTAGGTCACATGCCCCTAAATACACTGTCTCCAAGCACAGCACAGCATTCCTTGTGGCCTAGATGGACTTTCAGATTTATTAAGGACCCCAGAGTATTTTATCCCACAGTAGCCAGTAGCCTTTCACAACTCAAGTTCCAACCACTGGCATGAAAAATTCCTCTCTGGCTAGGGCTAGTCTAAATGTTTCCTCCGTGGGTGGGCATTGGATGAGTGCAGCCTTGTTTTGCTTTCTGCTATGACAAGGCAGCACTGAATTTAGTGCAAAGTCCCACAGTTGCTGTGCTCTCCCTCCCCCAAGCATGTAGCCCCTCTCCTCACCACAGGTCCACAGCTGGGACATGGGGAAAGGGTGGCATCAGCAATTCAAGACTGTCTTTTTTCTACACTATTCAGTGCTTCTTTCAGTGATATGAAGTTAAAACCAGGTACTATGATTGCTTACCTGATTTTTAGTTCCTATGCAGGTGGTTTTTTTATTTAGATAGTTGCTAAATTTGCTATTCCTGAAGGGAGCACAATTGGCAGAGACTGCTATTCAGCCATCAGGTTCCACCTCTGTGATTCCATACATTCTGAAAGACAGTCTTAACTGGAGAAACAGGCAAATGTAAAAAAAAAAAAAAAAAAAAAGAAAAACAAAAACCCGAAACCTCTTGCCACTGCCTGTCATGATCTTGATCTTCATACGGTGCTCAATGTCATCAAGAGGTGTTCCTTCAGGTTTCCCTAAGTGTCACCCACAAAGCCATTCTCAATCTCTAGTGGACACTGTGAGAGCCTCTGCTCAAAATGCCTCCCTGGCTCTCTCTACCTACCAGCTCCAAGGCCCTTCCCTTTAAAGCAGTCATGAGGCTAGACTGGAAGAAAGACCCCATGAAGCTTCTGTTTCAGCATCATGTTGGTGCCATCTGTGAGCAACCCCATGACTCAGCAAGATTTCTTACACTCTCACAGGTAACTCGGGGCCCCCAAAGTGCTGCTGTGGTTGTATGAGTGCCCCGGGAACCTCTTGAGTGTGGTGAGCACTGGGTGATGCTCCAGCAATGTTTCTCAGACTGCCTGAGGGGAACACTGGAACTTCTAACTCATCAGCCCAATTTCTAAACACATGCAACACTCCTATTGGGGATGGGATGGGGCACAGGGATCTGTGGCTATTCTGTATCTCAAGGTTTCTATAAAACAGAACTTCAGATAAAAGCAGGGGGAACACCAGCAAAGGCAAATTCACAATGTGTAACTCAGGGTGAAACTACACATTTTTCACAGTCCAGAGGCCCTAGACCTGTCACTGGCCAAATAATTATTTCAAAGGCCACACATGTGCCATTTGCCTAGGTGCTGGGGCAAATACCTGCATTTCAGTTCCCCTGCTCCAATCTGTGTGCAATGCCTCTTACGTCTACCTTCACTGGTGGTCTGCATGGTTTGATGATGACCCACAGTCTGTCACTGCTCACCTGTATTACCCTAGGTGCTTCTTAACCCTCTTCACTGCCTTCACTCTGCCTCCCAATTATGGCTTAGTGTCCCCAAAGCAGCCAGCATAACCTCTTCATTTAGAGCATGGCACTGCCCTGCTCAAGATCTACCATGAGCTTCCCATCAAACTGGAGTAAAACCTTAACTTCTTCCTATGGCCTACAAGCCAAAAGGCCCTGTGAGCTATGGTACTGCCTGAGGGGCCTCATCTCCACTGTTTCCCTCATTCTTCACTCTGACCATGCTGGTCACCTTGCTGTTTGTTCCTCAAACACATAAGAAATGCATTTCTGTCTGTCTTTACAGTCATCCTGCTGCCTGTAATGTCAGCACTCTTGTCCGTTGTTCCTTCAGTCAGGTCACTGTTCAAATGTCAGCTCTCTAGAGAGGCTCTTCCTTATCATTTTACCTAAAATAGCCCCCAATCACTCTGTATCCCTTTATCCTGCTTCCTCTTCCTGCTGTTTCATACTACCTGAGAAAATACTTAAGTTCCATCTTCCTAGAACATAAGCTCATAAAAGCAAGAACTGTGATCCACCTGTCCTCTCCTCTACCCCAGCACTTAGAAGAGCGGCACAGGGTCAGCATCCAGTGAGTGTTCATGAATCAAGTCACTGCTTGGCAGCATTCAGCACTGTGACCACAGCTTCTCCTATCTTGAACTCTTTCTCCTTTTATTATCCTTTTCTGCTTTTCCTCTTCCCACTCTAGTGGCTACTCCACTGGGGGCTTGTCCCTCAAATGATAATAGTCCTTACCAAACTATTTTCTGTCCATTTTATCTGTTTTCGAGACAGGGTCTCACTCACTTGCCCAGGCTGGAGTGCAGCCTCCACCTCCTGGGCTCAAGTGATCTTCCTGCCTCAGTCTGCCATGTGCCTGGTGCCACAGGCATGTGTCATCATGTCCAGCTAATTTCTTAATTTTTTTTTTTGTAGAAATGGGTCTCACTTTATTGCCCAGTCTGGTCTTGAACTCCTACACTTGAGCAATCCTTTCAACTTGGCCTCCCAAAGTGCTAGCATTACAGGCGTGAGATAATGTACCCGGCCTTACTTTTTGTTTTCTTAAGATACAGGGTCTCAGGCTGGCGCAGTGGCTCACGCCTGTAACCCCAACACTTCTGGAGGCTGAGGTGGGTGGATCACGAAGTTAGGAGATTGAAACCATCCTGGCTAACACGGTGAAACCCCATCTCTACTAAAAATACAAAAAATTAGCCGGGTGTTGTGGCGGGCGCCTGTAGTCCCAGCTACTCGGGAGGCTGAGGCAGGAGAATGGCATGAACCTGGGAGGCGGAGCTTGCAGTGCGCAGAGATCACGCCACTGCACTGCAGCCTGGGTGACACAGTGAGACTCTGTCTCTAAATAAATAAATAAATAAATAAATAAATAAATAAATAAATAAATACAGGGTCTCATTAGCTGGCCCAGACTGGACTTAAACTGCTGGGCTCAAGTAATTCCCCCACCTCAGCCTCCCAAGTATCTAGGACTAAAGGTGTGAAACCACCATGCCCGGCTTGTCCAATTTCATTCTACACACTTTCTTGGTATTTAAACAGCTTCTGTTGCTCTTCATTCTGTAGCTCTATGTCAGATTCATGCTCTAGTCCTGTATATCCAAATGATGACTACACTCTGCTACTCTGCTCTCTCAAAGGCACATCAAGCTTAGCCCATGTACAAAACTCTCCCTTTTCCAATCCAGCTTTCCCTCCTGCATCACCTATCTCTCTACATCTGGAAGCACCACTCCTGCTTCCCTCTAGCACGTGCTAAGAGTTCCAAATGACTTGCAGCTCCTCGAGAAGGCCTGTATCTGGTCCAGCGCCCTTTCAGGGCTTTCATTCCAAGTGCACAGCAGGAGCCTTCTCCTCTAGACTCTAGCTGGTTGCTAAAGAAGTATTCACATAAGTATTTTTTCATTCCTGGCCATGAAGTTGACTTTCCTCCATAGGTCTGTTGTGGGGAGGAGTAAGACTATTTTTAATAATTTGAACAGAATCTATTATTTAAAATTATAGTTTTACAAAAGGAATTCTGTAGGGATAATGTAAATGTAATGACACAGCTATGGTTTGGTAGACCAACTGGAACCACATTCCTGGGCAACTTCATGAGAAGGCACAGGTGATCAGCAGGGATATATTAACCCACATCATCCAAGGAACAAAGACTTGAGGGCAGCAGCTGTCAATGACAACATGCATCAGAATTGCCTGGGGATACAGCCTGGGACTCAGCTTAGACCTACACCAGCATCCCTTCCTGCCCGTCGGCCAGATGGTTTTGTTACTGCTCCCCATTCCAAACCCTCCACAAGCCCTGGATGTGTGTGCACTGTGTGTGCATGTGTTTATTGAAGTGTTGGGGGAGAAATCAGAAATCCCTCCTGCTGCCTTTAATAGCAATTGCTCTGTGATGAGAAAAGCAATTGTGAGATTTTAAGCCATAATGATGATTCAACTAAAATGTGTGTATTTGCTTTCATAAGTTCCTCTCGAAATTCTGAGATAATTTCAGAAACCTACTGTTATTTAAAAACAGGACCACACCACCCTGTTTACAAGAAGAATTTCTAAAGCTGCTTTAGAAATAGAAAATATCTTACCAAACTTACAATTGCAAATTCAGCTGTTAGCCTTATGGCTTTAAACAGAATACAAACAAAACTGAAAACCAATTTGTGTTAAGGATCATATTTAAAATATTCCTCCAAAACGTCTTCTCACTGAAAGAAGAAAGGATGTAATGTAAGTATCCATTGAAGAAAAAACCTGAGGTGTTCTTAAGACAGAAGTGTTCACATTTGTGCCCATGTGTCACTTAACGATAATTTTGATTGGTGAGATGTCTTTTAGTTTTTACAATATGAACAGTAGAATCCTGAAATACCATAATGATTTCATACTCATCAACATTCACTTAAAAATAATTGAGCTTAAGCTCAGAAAATGTTTGTGTTCTTTTTTACCCTTTCCCCCACATAATTCCATCCAAATGTAAGCTATTACTAGGCTTTAATGTCTTACTGACCGTATGTCATTCTTCTCTGCAATAAACTTTGAAAAAATATAGTTTCCTGTAACCATGAGGCTCTAAGCCTGTGCTGATAAATACAACAGTCACTAGTCACATGTGGCTATTATGCACCTGAGAAAATACATTTTTAAGTTTTTACACCATGTAAGTTGATTTAAACTTAAATTCTTTTTTTTTTTTTTTTTGAGATGGATTTTCACTCTTGTTGCCCAGGCTGGAGTGCAATGGTGTGATCTCGGCTCACTGCAACCTCCACCTCCTGGGTTCAAGCGATTCTTCTATCTCAGCCTCCCGAGTAGCTGGGATTACAGGCGCATGCCACCATGCCCAGATAATTTTTGTATTTTTAGTAGAGACAGGGTTTCATCATACTGGTCAGGCTGGTCTCAAACTCCTGACCTCCAGTGATCCCCCCACCTCAGCCTCCCAAAGTGCTGTGATTACAAAGGTGTGAGCCACCACACCCGGAGAACTTAAATTATTTTTAACCCTCTTCATAAAAATCATGCTTCTGTGTTAAAAGTATTTACATATACTTATATAGCTTGATACTACTGACAATTATCTTTTAAAAAGATATGTTTTCTGTTATTTGGATAGTGTATTTGCTCATATTATCTCACTAATTAAACATACCTGCAGATCAGTTCTTATTCCAGCATGTACTTTTTACAACACTTTTAAAATAAGATGACTAGATGCCACATGAAATGAGGAACAAGACTTAAAGAAAGATGCCTTTGACTGCAGGCATGAAACAGATACAAATCTATGATGAAAATACAAACTCAGGAAGGGCGTGGTGGCTCACGCCTGTAATCCCAGCATTTTGGGAGGCCGAGGTGGGCAGATCCCGAGGTCAGGAGATCGAGACCATCCTGGCTAACACGGTGAAACTCCATCTCTACTAAAAATACAAAAAATTAGCCTGGTGTGGTGATGGGCGCCTGTAGTCCCAGCTACTTGGGAGGCTGAGGCAGGAGAATAGTGTGAACCCAGGAGGCAGAGCTTGCAGTGAGCTGAGATCACGCCCCTGAACAACAGCCTGGGCAACAGAGCAAGACTCGGTCTCAAAAAAAAAAAAAAAAGAAAAGAAAAGAAAATACAAACTCAATAAAAGTGACACTTACTGGGCCAGGTGCAGTAGCTCATGCCTGTAATCCCAGCACTTTGGGAGGCTGAGGTCAGGAATTCAAAACCAGCCTGGCTAACATGGTGAAACCCTTCTACTAAAAATACAAAATTAGCCAGGCGTGGTGGTGGGTACCTGTAACCCCAGCTACTTGGGAGGCTGAAGCAGGAGAATTGCTTGAACCTGGGAGGCAGAGGTTCCAGTGAGCCAAGATGACACCATTGCACTACAGCCTGGGCAACAAGAGCGAAACTCCATCTCAAAAAATAAATAAATAAATAAATAAGTGACACTTACTGTAAATGGGTGTAACCGTTCATCAAATATGCCCAAAGATCTATCTGCATCTCTATAAAATAAGAATGTGTATTACTTCAAAAACTGTTAATATCTTAGTATAATATCCATTTAGTAAAATAATGCCTCCTGTGTGCCTATGTGCTTTGGTGTTTACTTCACCAAAGCAAACAGTTTTTACAAATTCTCCTTGATACTGACTTGCAGAGGGTTTCCTGACCTCTTCTTCCTCAGCATAGCATGTCCTGTACTGTGCAGTCTTTTATACCATAACCAGTCAGAAATGCCTGTGAGTATTGACCCTCCCTAACAGGCAATGGCAATAAACCAAACACATTGTCACTCCTCTAACCACACACTGAAACACAGAAATGTTTTACAAAGTAGTAGTGGTGGACAATACTCTCCTTAGAACTTTAACAAATTTAAATGTGATTCAGATTTGCTAGCTTCCCTTAAACTACTGAAAATAATAAATATATCATGAGAATATACTGCAGATAACTAAAGAGAAACATCAATTTCATTTAAAAGTACAACCGGCCAGCGCAATGGCTCACTCCTGTAAAATCCCAGCACTTTGGGAAGCCAAAACAGACAGATCACTTGAGCTCCTTTAGGAGTTTGAGACCAGCCTGGGCAACATGACGAAACCCTGTCTCTACCAAAAATACAAAAAAAATTATCCAGGCATGCTGACATACATCTGTGGTCCCAGCTACTCAGGAACCTGAGGTGAGAGGATTGCTTGAGCTGAGATCATGCCAATGGACTCTAGCCAAGTGACAGAGTGAAACTCAGTCTTAAAAAAAGGTGCAACTATCATTCTCAAAAATAAATGAAGCTGTCACTCGTTCACAAGGAAATGTGTCACAAAATGTGTCACAAGGAAAATAAGTATTTGTTTCCAAAGACAAAAGTTGAGCTTTCCTGAGGACTTTGAAAAACTTGTTCCTTCTACTGTAAGCTTGACAGCTTCTCAATACTTAAAGATGTTTTAAAATAAGATTGGTGGTTAAATTTAAAAAAGTGATTTCTGACACAATAAAACATAAACCAATATTTTCTAAATAACTAATGCATAATATTATAAATGCAAGTATGTGGGGAAAGAACAATTTATTGTGCAAGAAAGATCAGTGAGTACTGATGGAATACATTTGCTACTATGTAAAATGCCACTATAACTAATTTAAGAAACAAGCACTTGTAAAGTTTTGATTTAGTATTAAAGAATACCCAAACTGTCTTAAAGCTTTAAAAATACACCTTTTACCAACTATATATTTGCATGAGGCTAGGTCATCTTATTGCTTCTTTAAAGCAAATTGCAAAGAAAGAGAGAATCCAGCTGCCTTCTATTAAGCTCAACACTACAGATTTTCAATAATGTAAATACATGACACACTTTATACTAAACGTTTTATCATAGAAAAGTTATATTTTCATCTAAAAATTTATGTTAACAATATTGTTCTCAAGGAATATTTTCTATTGCCACAACCTGGGTCATGGGTTACTACTGACATCTAGTTGGTAGAGGCCATCAATGTTGCTAAACTTTTTGTAATGCACAGGACAGTCCTCACAGAGCATTATCTAGCTCATGATAGCAATAGTGTTAAGTCTGTGAAATCTAAACTAAAAATAGATTTTGAAAAAATATCAATTTTATATTTCTATCACAGTAAATATAAATATAATCAATATAAAATCATACTCATTGGGATACTCAATCATTTAAGAATTTATAAAGTCTCAAGGACCAAAGAAAACACAAATAGTTTGCTTTGATATTTTAGTAGGCACAATACAGCTTATGATGTCTAGAGCTGTGACCTAACGCTCAGCTTGATATCATGCAAAGTAATTAGCCAGAATAACAAGACAGGTTTTAGAAAAGCTCACCTTTGCTTGATATGTTAATATATCACCAAGGTCACACTGTGGAAGGGAAAAAAATTCATAACAATAAATGTTATCATTTGTTAGGCTTGAAGACATTTTTTAAAAGGGGGGCAGAGGAAACACTCCTAGCGGCTCTGAAATTCAAATCTTATAGTTCAGAACAGTACCATAAGGGCACTTTCTTGTTTTTGTTTCTTAGCTTTTCGCAAAAATATGAGAACCAAAATTCAAGGCAGTATGCTTTTAGAAGACATGTTTCTGTTGATGATTATAATATATAAATAACAACATATTTCCCTGTTATATGCTCTTCTACCCACAAAACCTTTCATCCCATGCAATTTATTTTATGCATTTATTTATTTTTTGACCCAGAGTCTCAATCTGTCACCCAGACTAGAGTGCAGTGGCGCAATCTTGGCTCACCAAAACTTCCACCTCCCAGGTACAAGCAATTCTCATGCCTCAGCCTCCCAAGAAGCTGGAACTACAGGTTTGCACCAATACGCCCAGCTAATTTTTGTATTTTTAGTAGGGACAGGGTCTCACCATGATGGCCAGGTTGGTCTCAAACTCCTGGCCTCAAGTGATCCACCTGCCTCGGAACTCCCAAAGTGCTGGGATTACAGGCATGAGCCACTGCACACAGCTTCATGCAGTTTACATCTATGTGTCCATATGTTTAAGACATACAGTAGTGTTTTCTTTTATAAGGTGTTAGGTCCTGCATTTAATTTAGTTCACTATCTCCTCCCACCCATTTTAAATTATTTCCCTAAAAATACATAATGAAAGTGCTTTATAACAAAATTATTTGAAATCACTTTTGCATAATTATTAAAAAATATATTAGTAAACATAAGCACACAGGAAATCAATGATAGGTGCAGTGATCCTAAAATAAGCTGTGCTAACAAGGCAGTGTAACACGACACAGTATAATGTGAACGGCAGGTACCTTCAACTAGTTTAACTGAAATATTTATGAACAGATACACCTCTTCAGATATATGTAACTGTATTCCTAAGTTACTCACAGATGCTGCATATCACAAAACAAGAGGTTCTCTTGCATAAGTTATGTGCTTCCATTTGCCCTCAGCATCTAGAATGAGGCTCAGAATAACTGAGGGAAGGCAAATCTGAATTTTAATAATAGGTCTATACAATATTAACACTTTTTAAAAAGCCTGTAACATTAGCATTTAAGATGAATATGTCTATAGTGCTTCAAATAGTTTTCATCTCTAAAATCATTTTAAAATCACAGAATTTGAAGTTACATGCTGGAAAGGACCAATGACCTTATATGACATTTAATCCAAAACTCATTTTACAGATTAGGGAAAGAAACCTTAAAACTGACTTGCCCAAGGTCCCACTAAATAGGAGCAGTTTCTCGTCCTAAATTCAAATTAAGCAGTGTCTCTCAAACTTTGCTGCACATTAAAATCAACTGAGGAGCTTTAATAACTGCCTTATTTTCAACATGAGACTTTTTGATTTAATTAATTAGCATTGGGTAGGACTTTGGGTATCAGAGTTATTGTTAAAAATTTCCCTGGTGATTTCAAAGTGCAGCAAAGTTTGGAATGATTGAGTTGGTGTGAAAATCAGAACCTTCTGAGATGCTTTTCTTCACATGACGATGCCTCACATCCATTCCAATTTTCCTAAAGGGCTTCTCAGTACCTAGAGATAGAGGGAAGGTTGAGGTGGGAAGACACAAATGTTTGCAGACATGTATTTTGAAAACAAACCTTGCAAAAGTGATCCCAATGAGTTCCATCTACCCCATTGACAACAGTGCACTACTAACCCGTAATAAACATTTTTCAAAATCTTTTCTTGAAGCCAATGTGCCCTATTAATTTGCTCAATAAACCTTTATTTCACTAATAGTGAATATACCAAATGATAATTTCTCAAACTTGTTGATGGGAAATTAAAACTTACTTTACTTTCAGAAGTAGACTTCTAAAAATTAGAATAATGAGGAAAAAAGCATGAAATTTGTTTGAGCAAGATTAATGGAGTAATGTTTAAAACTCCTTTTGAATTGTATACTATCACATCAAAACTTTTGAATTCAGAAGAAGCCAGGGACATGAGCCAGAGTGACCTGTTGTTGTTGTTGTTGTTCTTGTTGTTGTTGCTCAAGGATTTAGAGGCTTAGCTGAATACAAACATTTACCGATTACTCAATAGGTCCCAAAGCTCAGGACTTGAGACAGGGTTTGAATCCAGTTTTTACTGAAACACAATTTTATCTCTACTACTATGATAAGGGAGAGAGGGAAGTGACATTATCATGAGTGTAAAGTTGCCTCTTTGTTGTTGTTGTTGTTGTTGTTGTTATTGGTTTTAGAAATGGAGTTTCACTCTTGTTGCCCAGGCTGGAGTGCAATGGCGTGATCTTGGCTCACTGCAACTTCTGCCTCCTGGGTTCAAGTGATTCTCCTGCCTCAGCCTCCCAAGTAGCGGAATTACAGGCACCCACCATCACACTCAGCTAATTTTTGTATTTTTAGTAGAGACAGGGTTTTGCCATGTTAGCCAGGCTGGTCTCGGACTCCTGATCTCAGGTGATTGGCCTGCCTTGGCCTCCTGAAGTGCTGGGATTACAGTCATGAGCCACCATGCCTGGCCGCCATGTTTTTTTAAATTATACTTTAAGTTCTGGGATACATGTGCAGAACGTGCAGGTTTGTTACATATGTATACATGTGCAATGGTGGTTTGCTGCACCCATCAACCCATCATCTAGGTTTTAAGCCCCACATGCGTTAGGTATTTCTCCTAATGCTATCCCTCCCCTTGCCTCTGACCCCCTGACAGGCCCTGGTGTTTGATATTCCCCTCCCTGTGTCCACGTGCTCTCATTGTTCAACACCCACTTATGAGCGAGAACATGTGGTGTTTGGTTTTCTGTTCCTGTCTTAGTTTGCTGAGAATGATGGTTTCCAGCTTCATCCATGTCCCTGCAAAGGACATGAACTCATTATTTCTTATGGCTGCATATTATTCCATTGTGTATATGTGGCACATTTTCTTTACCCAGTCTATCATTGACAGGCATTTGGGTTGGTTCCAAGTCTTTGCTATTGTAAATAGTGCAGTAATAAACATATATGTGCATATGTCTTTATAGTAGAATGATTTATAATCCTTTGGGTATATACCCAGTAATGGGATTTCTGGGTCAAATGCTATTTCTGGTTCTAGATCCTTGAGGAATCACCACACTGTCTCCACAAAGGTTGAACTAATTTACACTCCCACCAGCAGTGCAAATCATTTCTATTTCTCCACATCCTTTCCAGCATCTTGTTTCCTGACTTTTTAATGCTTGCCATTCTAACTGGCATGAGATGGTATCTCATTGTAATTTTGATTTGCATTTCTCTAATGACCAGTGATGATGAGCTTTTTTTCATATGTTTTTTGGCCGCACAAATGTCTTCTTTTGAGAAGTGTCTGTTCATATGCTTCACCCACTGTTTGATGGGCTTGTTTTTTTCTTGTAAGTTTGTTTAAGTTCATTGTAGACACTGGATACTAGACCTTTGTCAGACGGATAGATTGCAAAAATTTTCTCCCATTCTGTAGGTTGCCTGTTCACTCTGATGATAGTTTCTTTTGCTGTGCAGAAGCTCTTTAGTTTAATTAGATTCCATTTGTCAATTTTGGCTTTTGTTGCCATTGCTTTTGGTGTCTTAGTCATGAAGTCTTTGCCCACACCTATGTCCTGAATGGTATTGCCTAGGTTTTCTTCTAGGGATTTTATGGTTTTAGGTCTTATGTTTAAGTTTTTAATCCATCTTGAGTTAATTTTTGTATAAGATGTAAGGAAGGGGTCCAGTTTCAGTTTTCTGCGTATGGCTAGCCAGTTTTTCTAACACCATTTATTAAATAGGGGGTCCTTTCCCCATTGCTTGTGTTTGTCAGGTTTGTCAAAGATCAGATGGTTGTAGATGTGTGGCATTATTTCTGAGGCCTCTGTTCTGTTCCATTGGTCTATACATCTGTTTTGGTACCAGTACCATGCTGTTTTGGCCACTGTAGCCTTGTGGTATAGTTTGAAGTTAGGTAGTGTGATGCCTCCCGCTTTGTTCTTTTTGATTAGGATTTTCTTAGCTAATACAAGATCTTTTTTGGTTCCATATGAAATTTAAAGTAGTATTTCTAATTCTGTGAAGAAAGTCAGTGGTAGCTTGATGGAAATATCATTGAATTTATATATTACTTTGGCCAGTGTGGCCATTTTCACAATACTGATTCTTCCTATACATAAGCATGGAATATTTTTCTATTTGTTTGTGTCCTCTCTTACTTCCTTGAGCATGTTTTGTAGTTCTCCTTGAAGAGGTCCTTCACATCCCTTTTAAATTGTATTCCTAGGTATTTTATTCTCTTTGTAGCAACTGTGAATGGGAGTTCACTCATGAGTTGGCTTTCTGTTTGTCTATTATTGGTGTATAGGAATGGTTGTGATTTTTGCACATTGATTTTGTATCCTGAGACTTTACTGAAGTTGCTTATCAGCTTAAGGAGTTTTTGAACTGAGACAATTGGGTTTTCTAAATAGATAATCATATCATCTGCAAACAGAGACAATTTGACTTCCTCTCTTCCTATTCAAATACGCTTTATTTCTTTCTCTTGCCTGATTGCCGTGGCCAGAATTTCCAAAATTTCCAATACTATGTTGAATAGGAGTGGTGAGAAAGGGCATCGTTGTCTTGCACTGGTTTTCAAAGGGAATGCTTCCAGCTTTTGCCCATTCAGTATGATATTGGCTGTAGGTTTGCCATAAATAGCTCTTATTATCCATCAATACCTAGTTTATTAAGTGTTTTTAGCATGAAGTGGTGTTGAATTTTATTGAAGGCCTTTTCTGCATCTATTGAGATAATCATATGGTTTTTCTCATTGGTTCTGTTTATGTGATGGATTACATATATTGATCTGCATATGTTGAACCAGCCTTGCATCCCAAGGATGAAGCTGACTTGATCATGGTGGATAAGCTTTTGATGTGCTGCTGGATTCAGTTTGCCAGTATTTAAATGATAATTTTCATGTTTGATGTTCATCAGGGATACTGGTCTGATATTTTCTTTTCCTATTGTGTCTCTGCCAGGTTTTGGTATCAGGATGATGCTGGCCTCATAAAATGAGTTAGGCAGGAGTCCCTCTTTTTCTATTGTTTGGAATAGTTTCAGAATGGTACCAGCTCCTCTTTGTACCTCTGGTAGAATCTGACTGGGAATACGTCTGGTCCTGGACTTTTCTTAGTTGTTAGGGTATTAATTACTGCTTCAATTTCAGAACTTGTTATTGGTCTATTCATGGATTCAACTTCTTCCTAGTTTAATCTTTGGAGGGTGCATGTGTCCAGGAATCTATCCATTTCTTCTAGATTTTCTAGTTTATTTGCACAGAGGTGTTTATAGTATTCTCTGATGGTAGTCTGTATTTCTGTGGGATTGGTGGTGATATCCTTTATCATTTTTTATTGTATCATTTTGATTCTTCTCCCTTTTCTTCTTTATTCATCTGGTTAGCAGTCTATCTATTTTGTTAACCTTTTCAGAAAACCGGCTCTTGGATTCATTGATTTTTTGAGGGGATTTTTGAGTCTCTATCTCCTTCAGTTCTGCTCTGATCTTAGATATTTCTTTTCTTCTGCTAGCTTTTTGAATTTGTTTGTTCTTGCTTCTCTAGTTCTTTTAATGGTGATGTTAGGGTGTTGATTTTATATCTTTCCCACTTTCTGATCTGGACATTTAGTGCTACAAATTTCCCTCTAAACACTGCTTTAGCTGTGTCCCAGAGATTCTGGTATGTTGTGTCTTTGTTCTCATTGGTTTCAAACAACTTCTTTATTTCTGCCTTAATTTCATTATTTACTCAGTAGTCATTCAGGAGCAGGTTCTTCTTAATAGTCATTCAGGAGCAGGTTGTTCAGATTCCATATAGTTGTGCAGTTTTGAGTGAGTTTCTAAATCTTGAGTTCTAATTTGATTGCACTATGGTCTGAGAGACTGTTACGATTTCCATTCTTTTGCATTGGCTCAGGAGTGTTTTACTTCCATTTAAGTGGTCCATTTTAGAATAAGTGCTGAGAATAATGTATATTCTGTTGATTTGGGGTGGAGAGTTCTGTAGGTGTCTTTTAGATCTGCTTGTTCCAGAGTTGAGTTCAAGTCCTGAATATCCTTGTTAATTTTCTGTCTCACTGATCTGTCTGATATTGACAGTGGGGTGTTAAAGTCTCCACTATTATTGTGTGGACATCTAAGTCTCTTTGTAGGTCTGTAAGAACTTGCTTTATGAATCTGGGTGCTCCTGTACTGGGTACACATATATTTAGGGTAGTTAGCTCTTCTTATTGCATTGATCCCTTTACCATTATGTAATACCCTTCTTTGTCTTTTTTTATCTTTGTTGGTTTAAAGTCTGTTTTATCAGAGAGTAGAATTGCAACCCCTGCTTTTCTTTGCTTTCCATTTGCTTGGTAAATATTCCCCCATCCCTTTATTTTGTGCCCGTGTGTGTCATCGCACATGAGATGGGTCTCTTGAATACAGCACACCAATGGGTCTTGACTCTTTATCCTATTTGCCAGTCTGTGTCTTTTAATGGGGGCATTTAGCCTGTTTACATTTAAGGTTAATATTATTATGTGTGGATTTGATCCTGTCATCATGATGCTAGCTGGTTATTTAGCATATTAGTTGATGCAGTTTCTTCATAGTGTCATTGGTCTTTATATTTTGCTATGTTTTTGCAGCAGCTGGTACCAGTTTTTCAATATTTAGTGCTTCCTTCAGGAGCTCTTGTAAGGCAGGCCTGGTGGTGACAAAATCCCTTAGCATTTGCTTGTCTGTAAAGGATTTTATTTCTCCTTCACTTATGATGCTAAGTTTGGCTGGATATGAAATTCTGGGTTGAACATTCTTTAAGAACGTTGAATATTGGCCCCCACTCTCTTCTGGCTTGCAGGGTTGCTGCAGAGAGATCTGCTGTTGGTCTGATGGGCTTCCCTTTGTAGGTAACCCGACCTTTCTCTCTGGCTGCCCTTAAAATTTTTTCCTTCATTTCAACCTTGCTGAATCTGATGATTATATGTCTTGGGATTGCTCTTCTCAAGGAGTATCTTAGTGGTGTTCTCTGTATTTCTTGAATTTAAATGCTGGCCTGTCTTGCTAGGTTGGGGACCTTCTCCTGGATAACATTCTAAAGAGTATTTTCCAACTTGGTTCCATTCTTCCCATCACTTTCAAGTACAACAATCAATCATAGGTTTGGTCTTTTCATATAGTCCCATATTTCTTGGAGGCTTTGTTTTGTCCTTTTCATTCTTTTTTTCTCTAATCATGTCTTCATACTTTATTTCATTAAGGTGATCTTCAATCTCTGATATCCTTTCTTGTGCTATTGATACTTGTGTATGCTTCACAAAGTTCTTGTGCTGTGTTTTTCAGCTCCATCAGGTCGTTTATGTTCTTCTCTAAACTCTTTATTCTAGTTAGCAGCTCCTGTAACCTTTTGTGAAGGTTCTTAGCATTCTTGCATTGGGTTGGAACATGCTCCTTTAGCTTGGAGGAGCTAGTTATTACCCACCTTCAGAAGATTACTTCTGTCAATTTGTCAAATTCATTCTCCATCCAGTTTTGTTCCCTTTCTGGTGAGGAGCTGTGATCCTTTGGAGGAGAAGGGGCATTCTGGTTTTGAGCATTTTCAGCATTCTTATGCTGGTTTTTTCACATCTTCATAGATTTATCTACCTTTGATCTTTGCTGTTGATGACCTTTTGATGTTGATGGGGTTTTTGCATTGTTGTCCTTTTTGTTGATGTTGATGTTGATGTTATTGCTTTCTGTTTGCTAGTTTTCCTTCTAACACTCAGAGGCCTCTTCTGCAGGTCTGCTGGAGTTTGCTGGAGGTCCACTCCAGACCGTTTTCCTGGGTATCACCAGCAGAGGCTGCAGAACAGCAAAGATTGCTGCCTGCTCCTTCCTCTGGAAGCTTCGTCCCAGAGGGGCACCCGCCAAATGCCAGCTTTCCTGTATGAGGTGTCTATCAACCCCTGCTGGGAGGTGTCTCCAAGTCAGGAGCCAGCTGCCATTTTTAATTAAAGTAAAAGTGACTGACAATTGAATTAGTGAAAAATGCTAGAGCATTTGAAATAAAATTGTTTATAAGCTAGTTATGTTTATAGAATGAAAAGTAAAGTTAAAGATGAATACATTAATATTCTAAATTAGCACTTTCCAAATTGTGTTCTAAAAATAAATACTCATAACCCAAAGAGGTGATAATGATGTACACTAGACAAACCCAGTGGAGCTGGTGGTGGTGTTGGTTGTTGTTCCTTTTAAAATAAACTTCATTTCAGGATGCTCTCAAAGCACATCTTTGTGGTCCATGAGGTGCTCATGCACAATGGGAGAAAATCAAATGCAGATACACTGTGGTGCCAGAAGAGAAAAAGCTATTCCTTCTTCCAAGACTAATGTCCAAAGTAATACACATTGATTTAGGCCTACAATGCACTGAAAAACTAATATTTCACAAAAATCACTCAATAAAGGGAACCTATCCTTCTCATTGCATTCAACATTGCCTTAAGGCATAAAGGCATCAAATAAATAGCTACACTTTTTCTGGGATTGCTTATTTGCTGTTTTTTCCTTCCACCATGGCATCTAAGATTAAAAGAGAAATTGATACTTAATATTTAGAATCTGGATATCAATATATAGTTGATTCCAATTTCTTAAACTGATTGCTGAAGAGTACAACCAAATGGCTGAAATAATTTTTGAATAAAGGAGTCTGTCCCTTAGCATTATAGTTGTACTGATGATTTTAGTGTCATTGTAAGATGAGGCTGGCTGGCAGTGCTGTCATCAAGGAATATTGTCGAACATGGACTGTATTGCTGAGTAAAATGCTCACTAGATACCTGAAGGGGAAGGGAAGTATAAGTTAAACTTATCAAAGTGTACTTTTTCATTGGTTAAAATGTCAAATTTTTCAAAGTACTAGGATATTTCTTATACTCCATGAACTGCCTGAGTGTGGTATCATGTGCACTCTATAGAAAACCCACTGGAGGCTCTTAACTTCCACAGATGATGTTTGAGATATGGTTTATAAAATGCTGCCCTTAATATGGTACCTATCATCAAACCTAACAAGGATTTTATTAATTTCCTTTATAAATAATGAGAAAAGTTTAAAGTAAGATTTGATTGTTTTTTTCTATAGTGGCATAAAACAGCTGAGAATTTCTATTTCTGTTATTTATTTACTACAGTAAAATGTAATGTATTAAATAATATTGGTACAAGACCATTTTACTGCAATGAATACAAGACTAATACATTTATTAAGTTACTAATCCTAAATGTAATATTTCAGGCAATATTGTGACAAAACAAGTGTTTCAGATTCAGAGGCTCTATGTACCAGGTCTGCTAGTCCACCAATAAGTGAGGAAGACATAGGTTTCTCTAGTCCTGTTTTCTTATGAGGAGGATAAAAAGAGTGTCACTTAAATATTCTCTCACACCCTGAAAAGAGATGACAACTTAAAAAATTTAACTTTCGCTTCATGTTTAAATAAGACTGACATGACATGACTCAAATAGGACTCTCAGAGAATACTTTCCATTCATTTCAAAACTTGATTAATTTTGTTCTATAAATCATCTAACCTGCACCTAGGCATTTTCCTGCTCTACCCCGTTCTCTGCCTGGAATAATGCTTTTCGCCTTCCTTGTTTCAGCAAGCTTGACTCCATCTACCCTCTTGGATCTCTTTGCCAGTAGCCTCACCAAAACATGTTTTTTTGTACACTAACTGGTTACAAGATACTAATTCCAGCAGAGTATTCCCTTCATGAGAAAGTATGTCTCTCCATAAGAGTAAGGGAGGGCCCTAACTGTTCCTACCTCCAGCTGCTCAGCACAAAATTTTGAATAAATCAAAAAGTTCAACAAGTGCTTGACAAATTAATTCAGTTATAATTTGGAGGTAAATCTTACTACATTTAATTACAACAAAAACACTACTAACAGTTTACTATTTATAGGTATTATTTAAGATAGTCAAAAATAGACAGAAACAAATCTAACTTCAGTCAGCATAAATCACAGAGTATGAAATTGTATAGTCTTTAATGAGAAATGGAAGGGTTTACTTAGTAGTTTTAAGGTTTAATGACAAAAACTAGAAAATAATCATACCTCATATTTTAGTAAGTCAAAACCAAAGCCTTACCATCAAAGGTCCAGTACCCGTTGGACGCCAATGCCCAACCACTGACTTCTTCCACTGTACCTGCTGCCCATCATTTTAACACATTAAAAACACTAAAGCTGTTTTCCTTGTAGAGGTCTTTCACCTCCTTGCTTAGGTATATTCCTAAGGTTTTTTTTTTTTTTTTCTTGCAGCTGTTGTAAAGGGGTTGAGTTATTGGTTTGATTCTCAGCTTGGTTGCTGTTGGGGTATAACAGAGCTACTGATTTGTGTACACTAATTTTGTATCCGGAAACTTTTCTGAATTCAATTATCAGTTCTAGGAGTTTTTTTGGAGGAGTCTTTAGGGTTTTCTAGGTATACGATCATATCATCAGCAAACAGTGACAGTTTGACTTCCAATTTACTGATGTGCATGCCCTTTATTTCTTTCTCTTGTGTGATTGCTCTGGCTAGGCCTTCCAGTACTATATTGAATAGGAGTGGTGAGAGTGGGCATCCTTGTCTTGTTCCAGTTCTCAGGAGGAATGCTTTCAAATTTTTGCCACTAAATATTATGTTGGCTGTGGGTTTGTAATGGATAGATTTTATCACATTGAGGTATGTCCCTTGTATGAAAATTTTGCTGAGGGTTTTAATCATAAAAGGATGCTGGATTTTGTTAAATGCTTTTTATGCATCTATTAAGATGATCACGTGATTTTTGTTTTTAATTCTGTTTATGTGGTGTATCACATTTATTGACTTCCATATGTTAAGCCATACCTGCATCCCTGATATGAAACCTACTTGATCATGGCAGATTATCTTTTTGATATGCCATTGGAAACTACAAAACATTGCTGAATGAAATCATGGATAACAAACAAGTGGAAAGACATCCCATGCTCATGAATGGGTAGAATCAATATTGTGAAAATGACCATACTGCCAAAAACAACCTACAAATTCAATGCAATTCCTATCAAAATACCATCATCATTTTTCACAGAACTAGAAAAAACAATCCTAAAATATGGTACCAAACAAGAACCTGCACAGCCAAAACAAAACTAAGTAAAAACAACAAATCTGGAGCCATCACATTATCTGACTTTGAACTATACAATAAGGCCATTGTCACCAAAACAGCATGGTACTGGTATAAAAATAGGCACATACACCAATGGAAGAGAATGAAAACCCCAGAAATAAACCCAAATACATACAGCCAACTTATCTTCAACAAAGCCAACTAAAACATAAATTGAAGAACATAAACCCTATTCAACAAATGGTGCTGCGATAATTGGCAAAGCCACGTGCAGGAGAATGAAACTGGATCCTCACCTTTCACCTTATACAAAAATCAACTCAAGATGGATAAAGGACATAAATCTACAACCTGAAACCTTAAAAATTGTTGAAGATAACATCAGAAAAACCTTCTAGACATTGGCTTAGGCAAAGACTTCATAACCAAGAACCCAAAAGCAAATGCAACAAAAACAAAGATAAACAGGTGAGACTTAACTAAAGAGCTTCTGCACAGGAAAAGGAACAATCAGCAGAGTAAACAGACAACCCACAGAATGGGAGAAAATCTTCACAATCTATATATCTGACAAAGGACTAATATACAGAATCTACAAGGAACTCAAACAAATGGGCAAGAGAAAAAACAAACAATCCCATCAAAAAGTGGGCTAAGGACATAAATACACAATTCTTAAAAGAAGATATACCACTAAAATGCTCAACATCACTAATGATCAGGAAAATGAAAATCAAAACCACAATGCCATACCACCTTACTCCTGCAAGAATGGCCATGATCAAAAAATCAAAAAATTATAGATGTTGGTGTGGATGCAGTGAAAAGAAAACACTTCTCTACAATGCTGGTAAAAATGGAAACTAGTACAACCACTATGGAAAGCAGTGTGGAGGTTCCTTAAAAAACTAAAAGTAGAACCACCATTCAATCCAGCAATCCCACTGCTGGGTATCTACCCAGAGGAAAAGAAGTCATTATACAAAAAAAGATTCTTGCACATGTATGTTTGCAGCAGCACAGTTTTCAATTATAAAAATATGGAACCAGCCCAAATGCCCATTAATCAACAAGTGGATTAAGAAATACCACTCAGTCATAATAAGGAATAAATGAATGGCATTCCCAGCAACCTGGATTGAATTGGAGACTATTATTCTAAGTGAAGTAACTCAGGAATGGAAAACTAAAGATCATGTGTTCTCATTCATATGTGGGAGCTAAGCTATGAGGATGCAAAGGCATAAGAATGAAACAATGGACTTTGGGGACACAGGGAAAAGGGTGGGAAGGGGGTGAGGGATAAAAGACTACAAATTGGGTTCAGTGGATACTGTTCAAGCAACAGGTACACCAAAATCTCAAAAATCACCACTAAAGAATTTACTCATGTAACCAAATACCACCTGTTTCCCCCAAACCCTATGGAAATAAAAATATATAAATAAATAAACTACGGCATTCTTCCCAGCAACTATAAAATAAAATGAAAACTCAAGTTTATGTTTTCCTCTCTCCTTTTTGGCAGGACAAATTTTAGATATGTTTTTAAATAATAACTTTTTTCTTTTTCTGAGACAGGGTCTCCCTTTGTTGCTCACGCTGGAGTGCAGTGGTGCAGTTACAGTTAACTACAGCCTCAAACTCCTGAGATCAAGCGATCCTCTGCCTCAGCCTCCTGAGTAGGTAAAACTAAAGGCACATGCCACCATGCCTCGGGCTAATTTGTTATTTAACCTTTCTGTAGAGATGAGTTCTTGCTATGTTGACCAAGCTAAAAATAAACAAATTTTAATTAACTTAAATATTTCTAACACTTTGGGCATTCATGAAAACAGCTCCATCTATGTTGTGAGGTAATTGGATAATATGGCAGTGTAAGTTTGAATAAAAATATTAAACAAGGCCTTAGGAGAAAAGTATAATACGCTTATTATAGATACATCAATAAAAAAATTGTCTGGGTTAATACCATTAATTATATTGAAATTAAACTTTGATTCACATGTAAATATAGGTCTTAAATTTGGATTAAATATAATACATTGACCACAAATTTATTTCCTCTGCCTCTGGAAATCTCATTACTCATACATAAAATACAGGTTACACACAGGATCAGGAGAAAAGGTTGACAGAGATGATTTTTAATAAATGCTGGGACATAAAAAGTACATAAAGTAGTGGTAAATAACACAGAAGCACAACTTTGGTCCCTACAGAAAGTGACTGGAAGAGAAGCAAGCCAGTTTGTCTTGTAGAAGTAAAGGCAAGCTGTGAACTTACAGGCAAATGGAACTTTGGAAAGTAGGGTAAAATGTAAAACAAAAGCCAGCAAGGTCAGAAAATCTGTGGTTAGAGCCCCAAGTCCACCTGTCCTCCCATCTGATAAGAAACAGATGTGTGTTCTCTGGATATACCAAACCTGAGAATTTCTAGGTTCAGAAATATCACAGCTTAAACCTGAGATATAAAGAAAACTGTACACCAAAAATAGAACTCCAACTTGCTTCCCTAACTCTGCTTTTGGAAAGCAAGTAGACATTCTTTTACTTCCCAGGCAGAAAATTGGGAGATCCTTTCTCAGAAGAAACTGAACTGACTCTAGTAAAGATCCCCAGATAATTCACTGAAGTCTCGCAAATGAAAAGCTAGTTTGGCTTCCAAAACCTCACACTGAGTGCTATCAGTTAACAGAAGTCCTGCTTCCAAATAAAGCCAGGGACCATCACACATTGGAAGGAAGCCTCCAACAAGAGAGAGCAAAACAACAGAAAAAAGGGATTCATGGACCAGTCAAAATCAGGAGCAAAACTTTTTTAAAAACCTAAAACTTAAAGTATAATAATAATAAAATTTAAAAAAAAACTAAAAACACACTGAAAAAGATATGAAATGCAATAGAAATATTAGAGTAAGAAGTCACAGAAACTGAAAAATCGAAGAGGAAAAATTAAAAAACAATGCAAGTATACTGGTCTAAGCAGCCGAGTATCTGAATAACAAGACTATCAGAAAAAAAGGAACAGAGAAAATTTAAAAATTCCCAAGAAGAGATAGTCTTCAGACATAGTAGCCTCAATAAAATGAAAAGATTCCCACCAAGCTGTTATTAAGAAATTTCAGACTCTCAGTGAGCAAGAAGCTTCTAAAAAGCTTCCACAGATACATAAAACTTGGTCATAAATAATGTATCTCACAATGGCAATAGAGTCGAGAACAACACTGTAATGAGAGCACAATTGTGAAATATCTTCAGAACCATAAAGTTTAGATTCAACCTAGAAGTTTACTCTCTATCAAAAAGGAGGGATTTTAAGACTGGCCAGATCCCTAAACATCTTTGCCCAGGAAAATGTGCTCAAGTACAACCAGAGAGGATAACAGGACAGCAGGAAACAGAATCTAGGACTCAGGTGATCCCACACAAGATGGCAGTTATGTGAGATCCCAAAAGACTTTAAGGCGCTAGCACAGAAAAGCAGACATCGAGCATATCTAGGGAAAGCCACTCTATATTGAACTAGAATGACAAAATGCCAAAGAAAGTTGCCCCACTACCGACGGCAAAAAAAAAAAAAAAAAAATGGAACAGATGTGTTTTAGCAGATGGAAAGTATCTTTGAAAGGCATGTGATAAATGCTACAACACTTGAAGGGAAAACAGCTGTTAGAAAACAGGCAAACAAATATAGTCAGAAAATTAGCTTCATGCTAAAAAATAATGGATGTGAAAGCAAACAGACCAGCCAGTGGCTACTTATTGCATTTGTCTGGGTAAAGCAACATAGGCTAGGGAAAAAGAGATGACCCAGAAAAAGTGCAGAAATGCTCAGATTTCAGAACTGTTTCAGAGAAGGAATGAAGGACATATAATGCAGAGGCACAGCGAAAACACCATATGACTTAGCAGTGAATAGAATTTGCATAGTCATAATCATGTAAATATTACTGATTTAATTAAAAAGTGTGCTACAATTGGAAGAAACAGAGGGAGAAAAATAAGGTCATGGTGTAGTGAGGAAGGTATGCTTTCATCTGCTATGACAAAGTCAATAGACAGTGCTGATAGCTATTCTATTTTTCATATTTATTATTCTGTATTTGTTATTCTGTTATTTGTTATTTCTTAGCTATTCTATTTTTGTTATCTGATTAAAAATATGATTAAATATTTAAGGCAGATCTTTATGACACAACCAGACTATTGAAATTTAACTTAAATGTCAGAAATTCTTAAAAGGTGGACACACTAAGCTGAAGACTTCTCTGGATAAATTCGATACTTAGGAAAATACAAAAAGAAGTCCATGCTATCACCACTGGGTCCCCATTATAATTTAAAGGAATCAAGAGAGACATATTTTTATATCAAACTATCAATTTCTTAACTTTTTGACTGTTTACGTACACGCTCTGTATAGTTGCTTTTTCTTTTTTCTTGTACTAAGAATGAAAAAAAAGGTCACTTCTGATACAAATACTATAAAATAAGAGTAGTAGTTAATGTCTTACTGAATACTCCTAAATGAGGAAAAATTCCATTTAAAAATTACTTTCAACAATTTATATTTAAATTATCTGGCATGATAAATCTCATAAAGTAAAATCTAAAAACTTAGTTTTACTTTTTGAACCCAGTTTGCTCTTTGTTTCTATTACATACACATGAAAGAATCCTTGTGTACAAAAGAAAAGGGGAAAAAATGAGGCCAGATGAAAAAGTTAGCTAATAAAAAAGTTTAACTCTTGCATATATGAGCCATGAGTATTTTCTCATTTACCAGAATCCTAACAGCTCTATGAACTACTTTCTGGCCAGGCACCTATCTCTAGATGCACCAGAATCGCTGTAAGCATCTCGAACCGCACTTAGTGATCATCTACTAACATGTCACTAAAAACAAAACAACTGGAAAGTAACCTATCTTAAATTTAAATTTTAAAATGACTATACAAACCTGATTGGACATGGTGTCTGCAGCAAAGAAAATCTTTTTTTTTCTCAAAAAAAAAAAAAGGCCAGCATAATAAAAGCTCTAAGAGGTCATGCTTTGTTTCCTACACCACCTCCACCTTTGATGCTGGAAGGGCCTTGCAGGCAAACATTCCTTCCACTGAAGAGTGAGGGACATGGAATAGCTATTGTTTTACCTCTTCCATGCTCTCTATGTGTGAGAAGCCCATAGCTCTGGAAGGAACTGGGAAAAACAACTCTGATATGGTTTGGATATTTTTCCCCCTCCAAATCTCATGTTAAAATGTGACCCTTAATGTTGGAGACAGGGCCTAGTGGGAGGTGTTTGGGTAATGGTGGTGGATTCCGTATGAATGGCTTGGTGCCATCCCCATGATAAGAAGCAAATTCTCATTCTGGTAGTTTAAAAGAGTGTGACACCTTCCCTCTACCTACCTCTCCCTCCCTCTCTCACCATGTGGAACCACCTGCTTCCCCTTTGCCTTCCATCATGATTGTAAGTTTGCTGAAGCTCTCACCAGAAGCAGATGTTGAAGCCATGCTTGTACAGCCTGAAGATTTATGAGCCAATTAAATTTCTTTTTGTTGTAAATTACCCAGCCTTAGGTACCTCTTTATAGTAATGCAAAACTGAACACAAATTCTAACCAGAAATACCTGACTCAAGACAGGCAAAGTCTACTCAAACTACAAAAAGAAAGGTTACAAACTCCCATATTTTACTGTGCTGCATTACTTCCCATATTATTATAGATCCTCACTTGTATTCTTGCTGCTTAAATCAACTGGAAAACTTGGCTGTGTATGGCTTTTTAGCAAACAAGTGAGGATTTAACATAACATTAAGGAAAATAAGCAAGAGTGGGGCATGTTTAAATTTATACTACATTAGATGAAAAGGTTAATAACTTAAAAGTTTCAAGAAGCATAAACTTGGATGTGATAAACACATGTGATCAGGGGACTGTGCAAGAGGAGTCCAAAATCACAGATTCAATCTCTGCTGATGAACAACTATGTTTTCTTTTATTTGTTTAACTGGAAACCAAGCTGAAGCCTAAGTTCTATCTTTAAAATGTACTCTTTGGAGCAAGGGAAAAGGGGCAAAGAATTATAAATAAAGATAAATCTATGACTCCTCCATCACATGACAAATTGCATTGATAAAAAGATGGCAAAATGTATAAACAAAAAGTTTACATGATTTCACTAACACAGTAACAACTTAAAAAAAGTATATCACATATTAAAATAAGACAAGTAAATATGTGAAAAGTTGAAAAAATTAAACCAATATGAGTTTCTAAATACTTTCTATAATACAGCTGATCAAAGAACAAGACTTTTATTTTTTTTCTTGGCAGAAAAAACAATGTTGTCTCACCATCTATTTGAGATTTTCTCAGGAATATTGTGCTTGCCTCTGGATGGTCAGAAGGGTTGGACTCCAAAGGTAAATCTATAGAGGGAGAGAAGAAAAAAGATGTGATCATTTATAAAAATTTATCATCTCATTTATTTTACTGCTGCATTTAGGCTATTTCACTACCTCTATTTTTATTCTTATTTATCCATTGAAATTGAATGTATAGACATAAGACGAAGCCAGGCAAGATGGTGCATGCCTGTATTCCCAGCTACTCAGGAGGCTGAGATGGGAAAATCCCTTGAGCCCAGGTCAGGAATTTGAGGCCAGCATGAGTAACATAGTGAGACCCTCCTTTATTTAAAAAAAAAAAAAAAGGCAAATTTGCCTTTAAGTTGTGTAAAATCAACTTCATAGAATAAAACAAGAGAGCAGTATGTTTTAAAAGACAGGTCTATTTTATTGGCAAAATATAAGATGTATTCTGGAGTGTTTAAAATTTTTAAAAAGTAAATTCAGCATATCTATCTCTTCCATGTCATTCTGAGTACATAGAACCTTAGTTCTGTTGAGTAGCTGTCTTCCATAGTCAGATGAAATCTCTAAGTCTTCATTTCTTCATTAGCAAAACATAGGGAGAACATACATATAGGCCTTATTTGTATTGCAAAGGGCCAAATGAGACATACGTAAACTGTGCTGTAATCCTAAAGAATGACAATAAAGAGCCTTTTTTGGGCTCTCATCCAACACTACCCATCTATTAACTGGTGTGTAAAATCACTCAGAGGCTTTCCTTACACCACCAAGTGGAGTATGTTTACACAAATAGTTACATGCTTTGTGTATAAAGGTATAATGAATTCATTCACATATTTGTTTATTCTAAATTCTTAAATATCTTGAAAAAGTCACACTCATCATGAGTCTTAATTATTCTACCTCAGAAAAAATGAGCCCAACCAAAGTTTTTTTTTTCACTTTAAGTTCTGAGATACATGTGCAGAATGTGTAGGTTTGTTACATAAGTATACAAGTCCCATGGTTGTTTGCTGCCCATATCAACCCATCATTGAGGTTTTAAGCCTCACATACATGAGGTATTTGTCCTAATGCTCTCCCTCCCTTTGCCCCTCTACACCCGATGGGCCCCAGTGTGTGATGTTCCTTTCCCTGTGTCCATGTGTTCTCATTCTTTTTGCTTAGGATTGTCTTGGCTATACAGAGCCCAATCAAAGTTTAAATAGAAGAGCTATAACACATTTCCTCTACAGTAATAATATCTCTGGCATTTAAATGAAACCAAAGAGCCAAAGGATTTAATATCTTTGTGATACAATGTTTTCTATTTTGAAAAATTTAGTTTTTATTCAAGAACTGTATTGTTACCCAGAATTCTTTTTACTTAGATTCATCCCTTTGCAAAATTTTAGAGGCAAACCAACTAATTGTTTTCTCTTTTCTACCACCTCCCATCCCTCTGCCTCTCCCAGCAGTGTAGACATTGAAAAACTCCAACTTTCTTATCTTTGAACAGGACGCTATTGTCAGGAGGGGTAAGGACAAAGGGGGAGCCATGGCAACAAACACTCTTACACAGGCAAGGTCTGACATTTTAACCTTAAATCTTTATATTACACATTCAAAGTCTATATTTACATTTTATGTCTTTTAAAAGTTTTGACCACAAACCATCCCCACCTCTCTTTTAGAACAAGGAGGTAAATAATGTCTGTTAAGTCACCAGAATAAATCTGCAGACACACTTTGTGTTAAAGTAAGAATTTTAAAGTAATCAGAGCCTCTGCGGTGTACATGGAGGCCCTCATCAGCTTCACAAGTCACCTCACCAGGCTTTACAGCAGCAGCCACAGGCACTCCTGCTATCATGTCCCCAGCTGCTGCCTCATAGGTCTCAGACTCACAGGGACACACTGACCCCTGGTTCTGGTCCAAATCAGGGCTGGCCCTGGGGCACACACAACAGGTCAGTATGTTACCCATGGGGCACTTCTACTCCTGTCTGCCACTACCTATGCCTCTGCTCACAGCTTTGGCCTCACACTCCCGTTGCCCTAGGCTGAGGCTGTGCTGCACTTGCAGAGATGGTCTTGTCTGCTGCTTGCCTGCCGACACCACAGCCTGGCCCCAGCCACAGCTTGGGCCAATGCCTGTACCCTGCCACCTCCCATGAGTTGACTTCTCTTGGAGGGTGAAGACCAGCCAGCTTATTTAATAGGTGTGAACCCAACAAGCACTGAGAGACACAACTGCCTGAAGAGAGTACAGATGGAGCTCCTCCTCCTTCTGCAGTCACCTACAGACTGAAGCACACTAGCCCAGGTGGAAGCCCAGGCTTGTGGCTCACAATGCCCCACCCCACACTTCACAATGCCCTCCCTGACAGCTCACAATGCCCCACCCTGGCTGCCCCACCTCCCCTACAGCTCAGAATGCCCCTGCCTGGGCTGCCTCACCCTGAGGCTTATGATGCTGCTGCTCTCCTGGCCCCTTGCACAGTGCCAGTGGGACTAAGATTTTCATTCATCACCGGCTTCCTGAGCTTTTTAGTCCCAAGAAAAGCACAAGGTGGTTCCTTACTTGAAGCCATCTTCCTCTATGAGTTCTATACAAATCCTCAGTTAGTAGAGTGGGTCCCATTAGCAACCAAGTTGAGCAACTTTTATTTGCTGACTGAATGTAGATACACCTGAATTGTTGACTGCTTTTGTAACTAAATATTCCTCTCCTGTCTTCCAATGAGTGGTAGTTTTTGTCTGCAACTTGACCATAGCAGTCCCTGGGGCTCTAGCTCTACTCTCAATAAAGAGTTATGGCTGTGTGTCTTGAATGACACCTTAGGACCCATCCTGCCTCCACCTCTTTCTCCAAAAAATAGAAACCTGACTTGTCCCTCCAAGTTCTGAAATGCTGAAACTTACCAACTCCCTTTTCTCCCCTCTGTTTCTTCCTTCCACAGGAAAAACTTTCAGATTATTCTCTCTTTTACTAACAAAGCACTAAGCATGATTTTGTCATACAAAATAGAGAGCCATAAAGTGGGGTACCACAGTCCTAATTCAATAAAGATGAATACTCAACATCTGGCAATCAGTATGTGCCTGACAGTATTCTAACTGTGCTATGCTCATTTAACCCTCAGAAACAATCTCATTTTACAGGTTTTACAGAAGACACTGAAATGGAGAAAGTAAGTTATCTCCCCAAGGTCACACGACTGCTCAGGCTGGGGCCACAATTTGATCCCAGGTAGTATGAATTCCCCCAATTTCTCAAGCAGGATTATCAGAAAGTGTATTGGTCCATTTTCACACTGCTATAAAGAAATACCTGAGGTTGACAGGTAATTTATAAAGGTTGAGTAATTTATAAAGGAAAGAGGTTGAATTGACTCATGTTCCACATGACTGGGGAGGCCTTAGGAAACCTACAATCATAGTGGAAAAGGAAGCAGGCACTTCTTACATGGCAGCAGGCCAGAGAGTGTGAGCATGTGAAGGAGCAACTATCAAACATGTATAAAACCATCAGTTCTCATGAGAACTCACTCACTATCATAAGAACAGCATGGGCGAAACTGTCCCCATGATCCAGTTATCTCCCACTGGGTCCCTCCCTCAACACGTGGGGATTATGAGATTACAATTCAAGATGAGATTTGGGTGGGGACATGCCCAAACCATATCAGAAAGTAAAGGTAGAAGTCAAGCTTGGAGGGAAAGTGACATTGTAGATTAGTATATTTTTAAAAGAAAAACATTTCTTGATGTGGATTTTAAAATGCCTCCCCTTCATTCAACATTAAGTCCCTTCTACATACCAGGCACTGTATGTGTGAAACAGTCCTAACTCTCAATTAGTGTAGGCAGATACACAAACAAAGGCTTAAGGAGTTCAGTTTTCTGAGACTACACTGCTGGACAGGGTATGAACCTAGGATACAGACCCACCCATATTTGATCCCAAATTTGTTGCTGGGATGGTTTTAATTTTATTCTGAAAATTTGAGTCATTGAATCATACAAAGGTGAGGCATCTCTGTCAGATGTGTGTATAGTGGTCTGTATAATAATGAAGGACTAAAGGAAGCAACAAGACCAATTAAGAGACTTTATCTAAAAGAAGAGTAATGATAAAGGCAGTGGCAGTGACAAAAGTTGAGGAAAAAGTTTTCTGATCATTTGGGAGATGGAATAGGAAGTGCTTGGTCATGAGATGTGAAAGAAGAGGGGAAGCAGAGGGAAAACAGAGCGCTCAGGCTCTGCTGGGGAAGACTGAGTATGTAGCGGTGCCTTCCTCCTGGCAGAGAATGTAGGAAGAGAAATAGGTAAGGAGGAAAAGATAGTTTTTTACTCTCAGTGTCACATAAAATGGAATTCTATGGTCAAAAGTTGAATATAAATCTCTGTAGCCTAAGTCCATTTGTGACATCCCAACATATATTTTCAAAAATAACACACATACTAAATCAAACCATTAAGAGTAACCGGGGAAATTTCCTAAAATTTGCATGCTAATAATATCACCATTTTTCATTTATTACTTTCATGGAGCAACTCTGAATCTATGGTTACAGCAAATGAGGCATCTTGTATAAAATAAAACTAATACATGAAACAAAACATTTAAAATTCTATTGTCCTCAGAGAATAGAGAATGCAACTGAAGCCATGGGCATGGAAGTGATTGCCTTGAGAAGCTCTGTATAGTAAGAAGAATTGGGAAGAAAAAAATACGGAGAATAGGGTGATTTCCATGGCATTAAGTGAAGCTTGCAAATGTGAGCACTGGGAGTCAAGACACCTGCATATAAATCAGGAATGGCTGCCTCTGTAAGTCATTAGAAAGGAGATGATGTCTGCTTTTCATTTCTATAACAGCAGCACCTAACACAGTGCCTGGTCAATAGGTACTCAACGTGTATTATCTCAATGCACAGAGTCAAATGTTGCCAGGAGGGCAGGAAAGCTACAAATCAGCTATGATAACTTAGTGATTGGGCTTGTGTGTGTGTGTGAGTGAGCTGGATGTCAGGAAGTGGGTAAAGTATTGAACTGGAGGTGAGAAAACAATGACACAAACTGAGGGCTTCTCTTCCCAAGTATTTGGCTGAGAAGAGAGATGTAGTAGTAGTCAAAGGGAGACATATGGTAAAGAAAGCCTTTTATTCCAAGATTCAACAAAAAGGGTGAGTATACTTCTATATTAAAGGGAAAGAGCCAATACAGAAAATACATTTTTGAGTTTAGAAGGGAAGGAAGAACGAATGCACAAGGGCCCCCAAAAGGCACAAGTGCATGCAATCCGGATTGGGGCAGATTAGCTTTGGACTTCTACAAAAGCAAGAAGGGATTTATTTAAAATCATGCTTTGAATAAAAACTGACTTTAGATATACCTATGAATGTACTTAACAGTATTGCTTCCAAAATTAATGTTAATTCTATATTAAATAAAGTTTGTATTTAAAAAAAGAAAGGGAGAAAGGACCATGTCATTCCAGAGGTATTTCTGGTAGAGGAAAGGTTTAGGAAGAGATCTTTTGATGACCTTTATTTTAATAGAATTTTCAAAAAAACTACTGTGGGAAAAAGGATACTATGTATAGAAAAGTCTACACTTCTTGATACATCTAACAAAAAAAAAAAGCTTGATACACTAAACAAAACCCAAATAATGTCTTCCCTAAAAGTGGGTAACTTGAAAAGCAATTTGAGCATAAATCAAGGAGTTCAATGACAAGTATATCAAAAAGTGAAACACGGGTTTAATTTTTCCCACAAAGAGTTAAAAGAAATAACAACAACTTTGGGGGAAGAGGAAAAAATAATTAAGAAGAAAATTATATGCAATTCCAAAATGTGTGAATATTTACAAACTCTAACATAAGTTAACTACAAAAAGGACCAGAAGAATCATTATCATAGGAAGCAATGGGTAATTTCAAAAATCAGGGAAGAAGCGATGATTCATATGTAATTTAATTTTGTTGAAAATATTTCAGTAAAGTTCGAGGACAAAAATAGGTGATACGTTGAAATGCGGGAAACCACAGTGGAAAAAAAAAAGAATTCAAGAAAGTTCAGTTTCAGTAACCAATATCTAGTAAAATTAATAGTGTCTGAAGACCTAGAAATATCATTAGATACCATTTTGGATAATTCTTGTAGACTTGAGATGATGTCTATTTAAAGTTACAAAATAGTGCCTGCGCTTAACAACAGACACACTCGAAAACAGATATCCATGACTTTTATTTTTTATTTTTTTGAGATGGAGTCTCACTCTGTCCCATAGGCTGGAGTGCAGTGGTGCAATCTCGGCTCACTGCAACCTCTGCCTCCTGGGTTCAAGCGATTCTCCTCCCTCAGCCTCCTGAGTAGCTGGGATTACAGGCACATATCACCATGCCCAGCTAATTTTTGTATTTTTAATAGAGACAGGGTTTCACCATGTTGGTCAGGCTGGTCTCGAACTCCTGACCTCGTGGTCTGCCCACCTCAGCCTCCCAAAGTGCTGGGATTACGGGCGTGAGCCACCGCACCCGGCCCACAGATATCCACGACTTTAAAAATGGAAGAATTTTAAACTCTCTAAACAGGAAAATATTGGGAAGCATTGTTATGAAAATAGATTTTAAAACATTTGGAGTGAAGACAATATTGAAGTACGCTAAGAAAAATCCTAACCTACCATGACATTGGCAAGTCTGAGAGAGCAAAGAGAAATAAATTAGAATAGTGTGATTTGAATTAGGAGCTTGATTCTGTGAAATGAGCTGAGACCTTGTTTATTTATAGCTCCAAAGCAAACTAATTAATTCATCCATTCATTCAATACCCATTTAGTACCTGAGCTCTTAGCAAACATGCCGCACACTGTATGTAAGTGCTGGGGATATTGCTTGAACCAACACAACAAAGGTTCTTATTCTTGTGAAAGTTATCTTCCAGTAAGGGAATTAACAGACCGTGTTGCCCATCACCCCTGCCTGCTTTAGCTAGGATGACTACTGATCTCCAGCTATTGGATCTTCATTCCAGACAATAGGGTAGAGGGAGAAAAGAAGGAGGAAGGTTTTTTAGAAGGTACTCATAGCACACGGCTTACAAATTATTGGCTTAAAACTTAGTCAAATGGCCATACCTAGCTGCAGGGGAGGTTCAAAAGATGTAATCATATAGCTAGGGTAATGAATACAGAAGAAACAATTGGATATGGAAAGGAAACTAGCATGCTATTCCACAATCTCTAAAGAAAGATTAGGGAAGTTTTGGCTTAAAGCAAGAATAATCACAATAAAATTTTACAACCCTTTGCAAGCATATATGAAAACATACAAAAAAGGTTGTAATGATCTTGTCTTAAGCTGAGAGGAAAGAAAAAATGAGAAAAATTAAATTATAAAATGAAACTTTGGTTTAGAGGTAAGAAACATTTGATGACAGTCAAGAGATCAGGGTTGTACAGTATATTATGTGAATGTTGTGACTCATTGGTTTCATCTTGGATATCATAACTTGACATTTTGTAAAAGTGGTTTTTCATGAGAATTTTTTCAGGTGCCCTATAAAGTCCTGTCACATCAGAAGTGAATAATAATCTTCCATATTCATGAGATATCTTCATGGCATCTTCTACAGTCTTCCATTGTTTAGTTTAGGTAAACCTGGGAATCATGTTTGGGTATTGTCTCATCCAACTTCTGTTACCCATCCCCATCGTAAGTCATGAAGATCTTCGATATTTTGTGCTCTAGCAATTAATTCATCATGAAACCTGCAGTTGTTTGCTATTCCAGTCATTTGTCCTACTTCGCTTCCAGTAAGCATAGTGAATTTACCACCATTAACTCCTAAACCATATGGAATTTGTACATGTGATTTGACTTCGTGAGCAAAAATTCTATGTATATCTTGAAATTCGTGCCTAGTATAAAACATTTTCAGTAGAGATTATATTTCTGCACTCGGGCAGCTATGTAACTTTCACTGTTATTGCTGGTCGGGCTTTCCAGGGGTCATGATAACCTCCTGGGTTCTCTGGAAGAGGGACATATTCTTCAGGATGACATTGTAATATTTTGTTAGCTAAAATCTTTTATCTATCTAAATCGACAGTTCCTAATGTCTTGAGTAACAAGGCTGGTACTTTTTATTTTTCTTAGCTCTGTGAGTTAATGTGACCAATGCCTGAGGTTGAGTAATCAGGCCAATATCAGACTGGTCTTTGCCAGAACTTTTTGCCTAATACATTTCTCTATTGTTTTCTATGGGTCACAGGATGTTAATATTGGTTCTAGAATGTAATTTTAAAAAATGTTTTGTGAATGACTAGCAACATGGTAATTTCATTTTCAAATATAATTTGCAAGTGAAATGTGTAGGACTCCAATAAGGCACGATGACCTAGATCCTGAGTATGATCCCTTCAGAAGAAGCAAATAGTGAGTTGAACAAGCCCACTCCTGTCTGCTTACACCAGTCACTTTTGAACTAGCAGTTCAATGGCAGGCAGGGGGAATGACCTGTGGTTGCCAGATGTCCACTCAGTATGACCCTGGATTGGACATATAGTTACCTTGAGTCAGGCCAGCCATGTGTTGTTGGACTATTTCTTGGAGATACACTCATTAGTGACTGTTAAAGTACCTGAGTCATTAGGTACCTATAGACTATGCCCACTGATATTTGCATTAGGTGCAAGCTGCCTAGCTGTGCTGACACTGACTGAAGCTGTGAGGTTTCAGAATGACATGACACCCAATTACATATGCTCAGATTTACCATGTATCAAGAGGTATTCACACTATCAATTAGGCAATTATCATTCTACACACAGGCAGTAATAAAGAGAGTAAAAAACCACAGTGATGTCTCAGGATACCAATGTACCTCCAGAAGACTCCAGTGGGTCCAGAAGCCCTTTGGATACTGATCAGAGGCTCCTTTTGGGCAGAGATCACAGCAGCAGCCACCAGGTATGGAGAAGTCCTTAGAGTTTTCATGGACAAAGCTTCTGAAGCTTTGCTGGTTTTATGATCCTCCGCAGATGGGTCCATTCTCATTTTCTCAGCCACCTTTCACATCCTATCAGTTCATTTCAGGTCTCTCATGATCCCAGGCAGCAGTAGTTATTATCATCTCAGTCCATTCATATATGTTTATCTCTTTGGGGATGAGGGGACAACTTCACTGTGGACTTAATTCTACTGGAGATGAGTGATCCCATTTTAAGACATCGGGATCACAAATTATTATCACATATCATCAGGGCAGACAATAGCTACCACCTGAAGCTGAAAGCAGATAACTCCATTTATTCTGGAAACATTCTGTCTTGATTATGGTGCCAGTTACTGTGAGGGACTTCCTTTTCTCCACCTATTTTTTACAAGGTTTGAGTATGAACTGCTAACATTCTACTGATTTATGGATGAAGGGACTGACTGCACCATTCCAGCCTGTCACAGCACTTGCACCAATACTTCCACTTTAAGAGTTTTTCACCTTGTCCAGAACTACAGTCCATTAATCCTCTCATTTTCTCTCTTAAGAGAATAAACAACACATCTCATATACATACCCACACCCCTCTTCTCCCAAATACCAAATACACAAAAATCCAATCTCTCTCTTACCTAAGCAATTTTAGATAGTCACTTTCTCATAATTATCTTAAGCTCCCTGACTTGATGCTCATCCTTTCTCTGGCAAAATCTCATCCCTGGATGAGCCCCACTTTGTGTTGGCTCATTGACACCACTCAGCTGAACCCCAAAAATATCAAAAAGTGGTCAGAGGTATCATCATAAGTTCAAATTACTTACACAACAAATTGGCCCTGAATATTTCCAAAAATCAATAAAAGTTTTGTTTCTCCAATGACATCATTTATTCAAAAACCCAACATGTAGAACCAATCTTTTCTCTGTTCTTCTAACTTTTATTCAACTTCTTTCACCTGAATATCTTGCCATATCATTGAAGGAGAAAATATATCCCATCAGGCAAAAGCCTAAGAAAATAATATGCACAGGATGCACCCACCTCATCTTTCTCTGCCTCATCATATCAGAAAAAGTACCCCTCCTTTTGTCACAAGGCAAATCTAAGATAAAAGGTTTAGATGGCCTGTAATTCCAGCACTTGGGGAGACCAATGCAGGCAGACTACTTCAGCCCAGGATTTTGAAACAAGCCTAAGCAACTTAGGGAAACCCCATCTCTAAAACAAATACAAACAAATAATTAGCTGAGCATGGTTCTGCAGTATGTTAGCACAGTCTCCTCTACCAATGTAAAGACTCTCCTAATATGGGCAGTTTCTTACAAAACTACACATAATCTTACTATGTGATCCAGTAGTTGCATTCCCTAGGTCTTTATCCAAATGACCAGAAAGCTTATGTCCACACAAAAATCTGCACACAGATGTTTATAACAGCTTTTAAAATAGCTGCCAAAAGTCAGGAGGAACCAAGATTTCCTTAAGTAGCTTAATGATAAATACAAATGTGGTATATTTAGAAAATGAAATGTTAATCACATCTGAAAAGAAATGAGCTATTACTAACTGCATATTACATACTAAATGCATATTAGTAACTGAAAGAAGCCAATCTGGAAAGTTATCTATGATTCCAAGTATATAACATTCAGAAAAATGCAAAACTTTGGAGAGTGAAAAGATTGGTGGTTTCCAGTGGTTAGGAAAAGAAAGGATAAATAAATAGAGCACAAGATTATTACAGTAATGAAAATATACTGCAGGATATCATAACAGCTATAATGATACATTCATTATACATTTCATTCTCGTTATACATTTCTCCAAACCCTTAGAATGTGTGCCATCAACAGTATCACTCTGGGTGATAATGATGTGTCAGTGTAAGATCACTGACTATAATAAATATTCTACTCTGGTGTAGGAGGTTGTTGGTTGAGTGACCCAAGAGTGTACAGGAATCGAGGGCATATGGGAACTCTGGACTCTGCACTCCATTTTGCTGTACACTCAAATCTACTCTAAAATAATAATGTATCTTTAAAAATCTATTACTATCACGTAGCCCTTTTCAAGTCTCCAACTGGTCTGAGCCAGTTCTATTAAATCTCAGAAAACACTGGTTAATAAGCTAGCTCTGACCCAACTGGCAAGAAGAGGCAGAAGAGACCCAGGCGACGGGAGTATATTGCACATGCATGCACCAGGAAACTGGAGGAAGCTTGGAGGCCCTTTAGGCTGGTTCTGAGCCCATTGAAACTGCAGTTACAGGCACAGATGCCTGGGGCACCAATCTGAATTTGCCAACATCCAAGGCCACATGAACACAAATGCACAGTCTCCTCTGCGATCAGTAGCTAAAGATGTTAGGCCATGACTGGACTAGGATGGGAGATGAGCTGAGGACAATAGATTATGTAGACTTTTGTTGCCTCTTCCCAGCCCCAAGCATTTCACTCTTTACTCTTGCCACAGGCAGCAGGGACGCTCCCTATGAACATCATCCCCACAGTCTATAGTTGTGTTGCCCTCAGTCTCTTATACCCTCCTATGGCACAGTCAGTCAGGACATCCAATCCTGCAAACTTAAGGGTCCACACATGGCCAAGATAATGGGGTGAGCAGAACCCTCACCTTTGATCTGAAGACAAATGCCCCCTACCTTCTGGGCCTCTACCAGCAGCTGGAGTTCCTGGAAATCTCCAGACACACACCAGTGTTCTGAACTGCAGGCTGCTGCCCCATCCTATGGCAGAATAGACCTTTTCTCCACCAGAATTGCCCTGTTATCCAGTTGAACGAAATGTCTTTTTAACATAGAAACAGGGCACAGAAACTAGTGTTCCTTGGCTCTGAACCCCATCACACTATCTGCAGGTAAACACCCGTCCTTAGCAAATACCATACATTTGAGAACTCAGTCCCTGGAGTGTGGTCATTGGCTCTGCTTTCAGAAAACATCAAGGTACTTTTGGCAGCTCTGCAGATTTCATGAAGAAAAGCAAAAACATAAAACCAACTGATGAACACACACACACACACACACACACACACACACACCCCGCAAAGTGACTAACAGGATGTCCCTCCAGGACATTTGCAGAGAGGGGAGCAGAAAACATCCCAGGGCCCTTTCACAGCTACTTCCTTGAGCCCATTTTCAGACAGTGCTGTCTAGACCTGTCTCAGCCCAAGCACCTGGCAGTATTCAGGAGCTGGCTCCCTTACCTGAAATTCAACATCAAGAAATGATCTCTTGGCTGGGAGTGGTGGCTCACGCCTATAATCCCAGCATTTTGGGAGGCTGAGGCGGGTGGATTGCCTGAGGTCAGAAGTTCGAGACCAGCCTGTCCGACATGGTGAAACCTCACCTCTACTAAAAATACAAAAACTAGCCGGGCATGTTGGTGTGCCCCTGTAATCCCAGCTACTCGGGAGGCTGAGGCAGGAGAATCACTTGAACCCGGGAGGCAGAGGTTGCAGTGAGCCGAGACTAGGCCATTGCTCTCTAGCCTAGGCAACAAGAGCAAAACTCTGTCTAAACAAAAAAAAAAAAGAAAGAAAAAGAAAAGAAACAATCTCTTCTACTTAACATTGACAGGAATGTCCTCAAGCAGTGTCCTCATTGGCAGGGGTGGAGAGTTTCTTAAAAAGTGAGGTCTCTGCCCACCACCTAGAGAACCTGGAAATTTCCATCAATGCCACAAAGTCCAAATCACTGGATACTGCTCCAATGTATGGCAGATTAGACCATCTCTCCATTAGATCTGGGTTTCTATTCCATTGAATGAAATGGCTTTTCTATTACTGTGTCAGGATAAGGGAGAAAAAGGGTTTTACAACTGAACTCCAGTGTACAGTCTGCACAGACACAAGGCTTGTGCAAATATGACACAGTAAGGCCCCAGGACCCTTGAGCCAGCTGAATGCACTGAGTTTCAGGAAACAGATACATTCAGCAAAACAGTGGGCTTCATGCTGAAAGAAATCAAGCCAAGAACACACACATCACTCTGACACACACACACACACACACACACACACACACACAGACACATATTCAGACACCTTAGTGGCCAATAGGTCCTCTCACCAGGAACCCGCAGACAGGAGAGCAGAAAGCCTCCCAGGGGTCCATTACTGCACTTTCTGGGAAGCTTTATCAGATGGCCAGCCCTAGGACAGCATTGTCTTATCCTCATCCAGCACAAACTGCCATCACCCTCTGATGTGAGAGCTGGCCTCCTCAGCAGAACCTCTGTCAGATAAATTTCTTTTTTTTAAATCATGAGGGGGAAACTTCAGACAGTGTCTTGATCAGGGTGGGTGGAGAGGGGGGTTTCCTAGAAAGGCAGGGCAGGGCTGAAGCCCTCTGGGTTAGCTGTGGGCTTTTGATATAAAGGCAGATAAGACTGGACAGGTGGGGGAGTTAGCGAGGGGATGGACTGGGGTGTGCTGAAGAACTCCAGTTGGGAGGGTTCTGTTGCTATAACAGAGTTCCTGAACCTAGGTAACTCATAAAGAACAGAAATTTATTCTCTCACAGTTCCGCAGGCTGGGAAGTCCAAAATCAAGAGGCCTCTGGAGAGGGTATTCCTACTACATTCTCACATGGAGGTAGGTGAAAGGGAGAGAGGATGGATGTGATGTGCTCACATGACAGAAGAGTGACAAAAAGTAAACCCAATCCATCAAGCCTTTTTTATACTTATATAAGACATAACTATTTTATATGTATATAAAAAGTAACATCCCCCTCATCTACTGCAGGGTAGTAGATAACACCCACATATGGGAAATGCAGAATAGATAAATAATTTATTCTTTCTTTTATCAGTTTTCCAAATAAAAAGTGCCTTTTTGACCTAAACACCTCCATTAGGCTGCAGCTCCCAACACTGCTGTCTTAGGGATTAGAGTTCTAACAGATACATTTTGAGGGATACATTAAGACCATAGCAATTGTAAAACCAAAGAGTATCTGAGCCAGGTCTCAATCAGTGTAGAAGTTTATTTTGCCAAGGTTAAGAACATGCCCAGGAGAAATAAACACAGAATCACAGACACAGTCTGTGGTCTGTGATTTTTCTCTAAAGATGATTTTGAGGGCTTCAATATTTAAAAAGGAAAAGTGACCTAGAGAGGAAACAGGAAGTGTGTGGTGATCCTCATGTTGCAAGAGAAAAGGAGCACGTAGGGAAATAGTCAATTATGTACTGATCTTATGCTCAATAAATCAGCACTTGATTAGATAAGATGAACAGGGTAGCTACCTGTGGAAATGTTTAAACTTTTATCTGTAACTGCTTACAAAGCCAAGGAAAGGCAGCTTCTTTCATGACTCAGCTTTCAGCTTAATTTTTTTCTTTTGGCATAGGAAATTGGGGTCCCCAATTTTTATTGTCCTTTCATACAATGATCAATCCCTAGATCTATTATTTCACCAGGAGTTGCAAAATAGTAATATTCTAATGCTACCATTACACCTTCATTTATTAGCTGAAATACTTACATAAAAAGTAACTTCCCCTTGATCTGTTACTTAGTTATCCAGTCACACCACCCACACAGGAAATGCAGAATAGATGAATTATTCCTTTATCAGCTTTCCAAATAATAAATTGGATCACTGGAAGCCTTTTTCTTGCTTGTAAGCTTATTTATTATAGTTACAAATCCATGCACTTATTGCTGTTACTATACTAATTGATGTTCCAATGACAGTAGGAGCATCATGTCTTCTCCTAGGCCCTGTGATATACCCTAGTAATGTTTCATAGCATCCTTATTTTATGATATGTCAGGATGATCCAGAATCATCTCATACATTTTCTGTCCAGACCTAAATTCAGGCATTTCTCCAAGGAACTCTGATCTCTTTTTATAAAAAATTGTTATTTCCAGAATATAGCCTGGATATGAGAAATGCTGCCTTACTAAGGTGGTCCTTGATTCATGGCTTTTTCTGTGAATACACACAGGAGTTCTCCTTCCTTCTAGGTTCTCTTTTTTTTTGAGAGTTAAAGCATATCATGAATCCATGATGACTTGTCCTATCCAAATTGAGGACTATAAAGTGTTTGTTACTTTGTAACTTCTATCTGTATCCCCTTTCTTCTATACTAAGAATCCTAGGTCCTCAATGACACCAGGAATGACAGAATTAAAGTATTATTGCTCCTCATCTCCTTCATCCTATAATACCCATCTATGAATTGAAAATGAACAATGCCAACAACAAACAGTTTTAGGGTCCTCGTTTGGCAATTCATTTTTTCCTTAGGATATATTTCCTTTTGGTTGTACAAATTGCAATGCTTTAAGGTGACTCAAAACAGTTACTCTTGATATGTTTAAAACCCTCAACTAGAGTTTTAGGACAAATTTATGTTTAGGTATTTTATATTCATTTTTTATTTACTGATTTTTCATTTATTAAGATTTTATTATGAATAATATTAATATTGGCTGGGTATGGTAGAATGGTTCATTCAGATTGTTTGGGACTTGGGTGCTCACTTCAGCAGATTTTATTATGAATAATATTAATATTGGCTTGGTATGGTAGAATGGTTCATTCAGATTGGTTGGGACTTGGGTGCTCGCTTCAACATATACTAAAACTGGTTGGGACTTGGGCTACACCAGTGTCTAAATATTTCTCTATTCCCCTGCCTTGATGGACCCTGCCCTGCCATGAAAAGTTGACTAAAGTAAGCTTAATTCATTAAAATGTGATTTTAATGTGCCTACTTCTTTGCAAGACATTTGCCAAAGTTCTAAACTGAATTCTGGATAAAAACAGGTAATGAATTTTATTATCTGTTCAAGAAATGAATTCCTTGCATTTACAGAAGCAAGACTGGATGACAAAACTTTGTATCCTTCAAATGAAGATGATGTGGCCAGGTGCCGTGGCGGGCAGATCATCTGAGGTCAGAAGTTCGAGACCAGCCTGCCCAACATGGCAAAACTCTGTCTCTACTAAAAATACCCAAAAAATAGCTGGGCGTGGCAGTGGCTGCCTGTAATCCCAGGAACTCAGGAGGTCATGAGAGGGAGAATTGCTTGAACCCAGGAGGCAGAGGTGTCAGTGAGCCGAGAACGCACAACTATACTCCAGTCTGGGCAACAGAGCAAGACTCCATCTCAAAAAAAAAAAAAAAAAAAGATGAAGTATGCAGAGAAGAAAGAGCTTTCACTTACTTACATGAAGTACTGAAGATGTGACCTCAATTTCACTTGCTGCTTGATCAGACTGAAAGGCTGAGACATTGTTTGTGCCAAGCTCACTAGCACTAGCAAATCTCTCTGGGCTCTAGGTATGCATGGAGCTGGCATTGGTGTCATCACCTCCATGATGTAGATCTTGCTCATCAAACACTCCAACCAGCTGGAAATGAAACATAAATATGCATTTATAAATAAAGACATTTAAATTACTACCAAAAATGTATACTACTTTGACATAAGTCTACAGTGGGAAAATACCTGAGTGACCCCAGAATGTTAAGTTTTAAGAAGCAAATCCTCAGCTGGGCATGGTAGCTCACACCTGTAATTCCAGCACTTTGGGAGGCTGAGGTGGGCAGATCACCTGAGGTCAGAAGCTCGAGACCAGCCTGGCCAACTTGGTGAAATCCTGTCTCTACTAAAAATACAAAAATTAGCCAGGCGTGGTGGCAAACACCTGTAGACCCACCTACTCGGGGAAGCTGAGGCAGGAGAATTGCTTGAACCTGGGAGGTGGAGGTTGCAGTGAGTGGAGATTGCGCCAATGCACTCCAGTCTGGGCAACAGAGTAAGACTCTGTCTCAAAAAAAAAAAAAAAAAAAAAAAAAGAAGGAAAAACCTCAAAAAGACAGTGTTTCTGTGAGTGTTGATGGTTTACTTTTACATTTCTGAAGTGAATATTTTATAGACAAAATTCTACAGCTGAAAAATAATGAAACTGCTATCACAGCATGCTAAGACGGAAGTAAATTTAAATATGTTCTAAAATATAGGCTATATTGTTAAGTGGAAAGAAAAAATGCAAAACACAGAGCAAGAATGCATATATATACATGTGGTATGAGCTACACTTCATATAATGAGAAGGGGATATTAGAAATTATATACGTTATCTGCTTATTTGTGCATAAGATATCTAAAAAGGATAAAAGGGAATCTAATGAAATGAGAATCTAATAAAAGGAAATCTAATAATATGAGCATGCAGAAAGAGGTGGGGAAGAACATAAGAAGCCTAAGTAACTTTGGAAAACTCTATTTTCATTGTTGAAAGCTAAAGACAAAAAATATGTCACACAAATACTATCTTCTAATTAGTAAATTTGTTTCTTAACAAGCATATGGTTTCACATTTCTCAATCTACTATACACACACACACACACACACACACCAGGAACAAACAAACAAGTGAACATATCTTGGAAAATAAAAGCCAATGTTCTCACTGTTAGAAGTTACAAAGAAGGAAAAGCTAGAATAAACTCAGTGGTGTTAGAGTGGAATCAAAGGCAACAGTATGAACTCACAGTTTTTATGAGTAGGTAGGTAGGTACACAGTCAGATAGGTATAGACAAATGTTAACGCATGTGTGAGTACACCAATATAGAGTTCCTAACTCTGTCCATGAAGAGATCCTAGAGTAAATGGCATTCCCATGCCAATGAGCACACCTAGTGCTCAGATCATGGTTTCTAGTACCATTCTCCAGTTAATGAACCAGGGCTCCCTAGAAATAGGGTTAATTTCAGGGCTGAGATCAGGGAAGACGCGTGATAAGCCTGGAATGCTTTGTGATGCCAAAAATAAGGAAGAACTGAAAAATGATGAAGGCACATCAAAAGGAAACAGGTGCCAACCTGAAGGGGCTCTCAATGGACAATGTTGAGTGTTGGGAGAAAAGCTGAGTGTTGGGAGAGAAGCTGAGGCAGTGCTTGGAACATGTCCGGGGTCCAAGGTCTAAAACCTCTCATGGCCTTTGGAATGTGTCTGGACTTGCTGGCTCCTTGCTTCTAGCACTCCCTTTATCTCAAGTAGCCATATGTTTCAAAGAAAATGCTGAACCGTCACAGCTGTAGCTCATTCACTTGATACACCACTTCCTTTCAACCCCCACATCCTCACCAACTGTTTCTTTGATCACCAATAAACAGTGTGGGCTCCCAGAGCTTGGGGCCTTCGCAGCCTCCATACTAGCATTGGCCCCCTGGTCCCACTTTCTCTCTTAACTTGTCTTTCCTCATTCCTTTGATGCCGCCAGACTTCATAGACCCCATGGCCTGGTGTTGGGTCTGATCACCCCAACAGTTGATACAACCTGAAAACAAAATAAATAATATTAGCATTGGATCATAATCCAAAGAATACACTAAACAGCCATGAATCCATAATAATATAAATAATTGAATAAATAAGTGGTGTAGAAGGAACAGCTGTTTCCTACTGGAGCATTCCAAACAAATACAGAAGGAATGATGGAAAGAAATCATTAGGCAATCTCCACCGTAATAACTGCTGTAGGTAAAATTCTACTCATGGGTGCTAGGATTAATGGTGGAGATTACGATAACAAACAGGATATTTGTATATCTACAAATGTCTCCCCACAAAATACATTTCAGCTAAAAAGGGAAAAATACTTGGCAGCCACCATTCTACCAAGATTAACATCACCAGTAATGGCAACATCACACACCATCTGATAAAATGCACTGAGAAGTATGTAACATTACTTCTGTGGCATTCCTGCCACATGAATCATATTTATTTCATAGACTGTACCTCCGTTTGAGTTTATCTGATGTTTCCTCATGATTAAATGGAAGGTTACTTCATGACAAAACATCAGACACACCCAAATGGAGGTGCAGTCTACAAAATATTTACAAAATAAATATGATTCTTAAAAAGTGTCAAGGTCATGAATGTAAAAGAAATAATGAGGAAATTATGCAAACTGGAGGAGCCTGAGGAAAAATGAGAACTACATGCAACGAGGACAGAAAATGGGTACTGGAGGGAGAATTCAGATGCCCTCTGAAGATTAGTCAACAGTACTGAATCAGTATGAATTTCTTACCTTTAATAATTGTTCTATGATTATGTTAAACATTAACAGTAAGGATAGATGAAGGGTATGCAGAAATACTGTTAATATTATTTCAATTTTTCTGAAGTATACAATTATTTCAAATTGAAACATTTTGAAATAAAAATTGATTCTATTTCTTCTTATAGCTAATATAGCTCTTAAAATACTAATACACTTATTAAAAATCCCACGAGAATAAGGTCTAAGGATCTACCATGACTGTCACCTTGGGATATTCATCCTACAGACCCATGCCTAGAACAACTAACTTTAGGATTCCGAGGAAACAACCATGGCTGAAGCCAAAATCAACCCCTTTTCTGCCTCCAATCCAAGGACAGAAATATACATGTACACAATTCAAATAGCACACATAATTACAATCCTCATTTTATAAATAGTTTTGTCAATTGGAACAAATGCTATTTCCATGAATATGTACATTTTACATATCATCAATCCATTTATGAAACAACAAAGAGGGTCATAGAGACATGTAAACAAACAAGAGGCTCAGGACCCTACTGAGGTATAACATAAAATCACCTGATTAAATAATCTGGAAGGAGGATAAGTGGTATGAAGAAATCAAAACAGGATGAATAGTTGAGCCACTCAAAGTTATAGCGAGCAAACTAAGTAGGAAAATAAATCGTTAATAGTTACAAAAACTGGAAAGGTGCTTGTATGTATATGACAAATTGTCCATAAAATCAACTTGTTTTTCTGACATTGGCTGGCAAGGATCTCCCTGTACTAGTAACACAGACATTCCACTAGTTTAGGAGTCATCCAGCAAACTCATCCTGAAAATGGCAAAATAGTAAACATATTTGGAGCTGTGGTCCACATCATCTGTTTCATAGTCTACTCGACCTTTGCAGCATGACAGCAGCCATAGACAACATATAAACAAGTAAACAGGGTTATAGTTAAACAAAACTTTAAGTATAAAAGGAGTACTGATAGGGTTTTTGCATATGTTACTTTAATTATGACTTTAATTGCGTAAAGTATTCCTGGAAACAACAAGGGCCACATTCTCCAGGCCTGTGGGGCGTGGCAGGAGGCAAAGCCGAAGGCGAGGTGGCTACAAAGCCATCTCCCATGTGCGTCCCCAGCTTCCAATTCCGGTGGGGGCGCTGGCTCCTGCCCCTCCCCAGCATCTATATATTCTTAAAAGTTAACATTCTAGGGTCACTCAGGTATTTTCCCAATGTAGACTTACGTCAAAGTAGTATAAACTTTTGGTACCCTGGTTCTGATAAGACAAGAAGGAACCTTTCAGCCAGCCCTGATTGGGTCATATTATCCAATCAGAGTTGTTTTGCACAGTGGCTCTCACCCAATCCGAACATGCCTTCCAGGAGAGCCAGTTAAATAAGAGTCATTATAAATAGTTCCCCCTTGGGCTTTCGTCATTTCACCCCACTCCAGGCCGCGTGGTCTCTACTGCTCCGCCCTGGTCAGGAGGAGAAAGAAGAGGGCCAGGCGCCATGTGCCCGCACTCTCCCTGGATGCTGGAGGCCGGTCCGCCCTAGGCAGGAGGAGAAGGAAGAGAACTGGGTGCTGCCCACCTGCACTCTCCCTGGATGCTGGAGGCTGGAGGCAGTGAGGCAGCAACAGCACAAGGCGACTTTGGAGCGGCCTAATATAGCTACCTAGCCTTCCGCTGTGCCTCCTCCCAGAGCCCAAGAAGCCTGGAACTTGTGGCATCCAGCGCTTAAAGGAGGAGAGGGCAACCCAGCCAAGGGTGAGTCCGGGAGTCTGGGGTGCCAGCGGCAGAGGGAGGCCAGGCAGGAGTCTCGGCCTCCCAGGGAGTGGCGTGCAGGGAAAGGCAGGAGGGCCCCAGCGGCAGGAGGGGTTACGGGCCGGGGAGGGAGGCCTCAGGCTGGGAGCCCAATAGACCGTCTGACCCTCCCCGAGCCCCATTCCAGGCCGAGCCAGGACCCCTCTGATGCACAGGACCCTCGGGAGCACTTTCTGTTGTTGAATCCGGGGCCCAGTGCGGCTTGAACCCAGCCCCCGACCTCCTCCTCACCCTCTGAGAACCCGTTGGGGTGGGTGCTGGAGAAGCCCGGGTCAGAGAGGAGCCCGGGTCGGAGAGGAGCCCTCCCCTTCTCTCCTCCGTGGAGGCCTTGGAGCCTCCGTTTCCTCCGGGACTGGAGTCCGGGGCCTCCTGCCCGACCCGGGGTGAGAAAGGGAGCCCCTATCAGGACCCAGTGAGAGGGCACTGGGACCCAGGAGCGGCGGTAGCCTTGGGCGGCAGCCCGGGAAAAGGATGGAGGTCCCCTTGGGCCCCCGGTCCCCCACTGCCGGGGCCTCTGTCACCTCCTGGGGGTCCTGCCCCCTGGGGTCCCACCCTCCGGGCTGCCTGTGGGTATCTCTCATCTGGAACTGGAAATAACCCCCTTCAAAGTACGGCTTAGCAAATATTTATTCGCCCATGCACCCCCTTTTTTTTCTTCATATCTAGTGTTCTTATTATCTTGGGTCATTTGTGTTTTTCCTGTATTGATGTGAAGCATTTTTAAAGACAATTTAGAGATTAGTCCTTTATTGGTTCGTTTCTATTGTAGGTTGTTGTTTCCTAGTCTGGTCTTTGTTGTTTAATTTCATTTTTTTTATTTCTTCCTTGATTGAATTCAGGTAACAATGTTTTTCTTAGAATATTTGTATCTGTGTTTGTGAAACAGAGCATCTGTTATTTCTGGGTTTTTTTATTGTCTGATCAGATTGTGTATTAATGTAATGATGGCCTCATGAAACAAATTGAAAAACCATCCCTTTTCTTCTTTCTCTTTGAGAGAGTGAGCAGTGTCGATATTTTTTTCTTCCTTAAATATTTGGAACATTTTCAAAGTCTGATCCTGGTATTTTCCTTGTGGAGCATTATTGTTTGTTGATTTGTTGGATTTTTTTAAAAATAGTTAATTAATTTTGTTTAATATACATAGGAGTGTTTTTATTTTATACTATTTTTGTGCCAGTTTTAGTAAGTTGGGTTTTCAACATCTATTGTGATCTCTGTTGTCAGACTTTTGATCATATGTATTTCACAAAATTCTCTGATTATCTTGTTATAGTACTGTTATGCAGAGCAGACTGTTGTTTTGATTCTGATACTGGTCACTTGTGTCCTTTAATCTCTTTTCCTTAATCAGCTTTGCTAATGGTTTATTATCTATATTATTTATAAGAACAACTTTTAGCCTTGGTTTATTTCTGTCGTACATTTTTCCATTTCATTGATGTTTGTTAGCTTTATTATTGCCTTCATCCTGTATTCTTTGCACTTGATTTTTCTTTCTTGATTCCTGAGAAAGAAGTTGAGGTGCCTGGCGCGTTGGCTCACACCTATAATCCCAGCACTTTGGGAGGCCAAGGTGGGTGGATCACCTGAAGGTCAGGAGTTCCAGACCAGCCTGGTCAACATGGTGAAACCCCCGTCTATACTAAAGATACAAAAATTAGGCGGGCGTGGTGGTGGGCGCCTGTAATCCCAACTACTGGGGAAGCTGAGGCATGAGAATCGCTTGAACCCAGGAGGTGGAGGTTGCAGTGAGCCGAGATCGCGCCTTTGCACTCCAGCCTGGGCAACAAGAGCAAAACTTCGTCTCAAAAAAAAAAAAAAGAAGAAGAAGAAAGAAGTTGAGGTGACTGATTTTCAGTGTTTCTGGACTCCTGCCCTGCAGAGATCCTCTTGCTGTAACCTGTTTCATGTGAGGTAGAGTTTAGAAAATGTTTATTGGCCTCTGTGCCTTACTTTTCTTCATGTACTCTTCTTATTTTGTTAATTTTTCTTTAGGGCTTTTTTTCCTTATATTAAATTGAAGGACTTATTGTTAAAAATCTGTAAGCCCTTTATTGGCTCATTTTTGTCATAGGTTCTTGTTCTCTAGTTTGATTTTTGTTCTTTCATTTCTTTGTGTTCATAGTTGTATATAGTAATCTGGTTGATAATGATCTTGTATGCAGTAGCTTTGCTTAATTTATTTATTAATTGTAACACTTTATGTCATGTTAGGCAGTACTGAGTGCTTCTGGGAGCAGCCAGGTTTCCATGAACTCCCAGTTTACTCTAAATACTCCAGCAACCCACATGTGTGCACACTGGATAATGTCACGCATGCAGGGCAATGATGCTGGGGATGCACGGACTCTGCCATTCTGTGAATCCACCGCACAATTACAAACATTAGCATTAAAATAAAATGGACTGTTAGGCAACTGCAAAGGACTAATGCACCTATGTGGCACAAATGTGTCTTTCCGTATTCAAAGTACTTGTAAGAGCTTCAAGTTCCTCATGCTCAGCCACTAACATCAGGGGTCTTGGTACACAGGCACACATGCACAGACACACATATAGGCACACATATACACATGAATGCACCCATGCGCACACATATTCACACACACATGCAGATCCTCACACACAGACATGGGTGAGAAAGTCAGATGTACATGGAACAGCCCCTGCTTTGTAAGCTGTCTGGCTTTGTAGGGAGAAAGAGGTGAAACAACACACTGTTTATCTTAGAAGAGGAGATGAAGGGAGGAGAGCTGGATATGTCCAGTGGGGAGAAATCCAGGAGCCACTCCACCAAAGATCAAAGTCTCCGCGTGGATGATACCCACAAAACATATCAGTAGAAAGGACATAGCCAGCATCAGGTCAGTGGTGAGTTTCATGAGTATCAACTGTGGCCATCCAAATTAAAGACCTGGCAGTGGGATAAGTTAGCAACTGAGCTTTCTGTATGTTACCTTATTAACTTTCTGTATATTAGCTTATTAACTTTCTGTAATTAGATGGTGATTAAGCATTTTCTGAGCCAAAAGCTTAGTATAATTTGAATGTAGTGAAAAAATGTTATGAGTTTAACACTATAATTTGAGATCTAAAAACAAACAATTGCATAAGAATTGGTCAGATACCTTGTCTTTGAAACATACTGAAGTCTTTGAAATTAATCTGATAGCTCTGCAGTTGGTATGATGCATAAGAAAATATTTGGCATGAAGGGGAGTAACATACCACATGTATGTAAGTAACAATGGAAAAAATGTTAACTCTAGACTTACTGAATAATTACTCTGGAATTCATGTGTAGAGAAATTCATTATGAATATACATGGCAAATTATTAACAACCTTCCCAAAAGCAGAAAGCTCATACTCAAGAAGATTCATTTAAAGGGAATGATTTGGAAGATGATTTCAAGCGCAACTCTGCATTGACTCAGCATTTATTAAGTCATACAGCAGGCTGCTGGAGGCCTCACTGCAACCTGGCTGGCGTACAGTGTCCTCCTCCTTCCTTCTCAGTAGACTTCCTTGGCCTTGATAATAATGTGTGTTAATGAACACAAATCTCAAAATACATGCAACTTTCCTCCCCCACAAGCCAAGGTATCAGCTCTGCAAATCAGATGACCTCAAGGTCAGTGGGAGTGACCAGGGACACCGCCCTGCATTCCTCCTCAGCTTCCAGATCCTGAGGAGCTCTGGGGCCTGCCTTCTGGACAGGGAACATGTCTGTCTGGCTTCCTCAGCCAAGTACGGGAGGCTTTGGGGACCTGTGTCTGTCTCTGGAAAGAAGGAAGGAGCCTGTGGCATCTTCACTAAGCAAAAGCACATCCAGCCCATGGCCAAACTTCAGAGTGGGGAAAGGGGCCCAACACAGCTCCTCCGTTCCTGCAGCAGAGCCCAGAAAACACATCTGATGTTGTGGCTGCCTCAAACCTCCAAACACCATGGGCTTGAAGTGTCCTTGTTAACGTGGCCATGGCCACTTTCCCCGTGGTCCATGGTAAGTTTTGGTTTTTGGTTTTGGTTTTTGTTGTTTGTTTGAGATAAGGTCTCACTTTGTGGCCCAGGCTAGAGTGCAGTGGTGCAAACTTGGCTCATTGCAGCCTCCACCTCCCAGGCTCAAGCAATCCTCCTGTCTCAGCCTCCCAAAGTGCTAGAATTCCAGGCTTGAGCCACCACTCCAGGCCTTGTGTAGAAGTATTATACATTATCTTTAAAACATAGTTTAGTGCTAATAATCTAAAATTGTGTTGCCGTTTACTATTAATATGCCCTTTGTGGCACATCTAATAAAATGCTTTGCTTCATAACCTGAAACAAAAAGTTCACTACATTTCCTTGATCAGATCAACAACTATGGAAGTCTTAGAATAATGATATTCTCACTCAAAAGAAAAGCAACAATCCGTCTTTAATGAAACTCTTTCTGTGTTTTATTAGTGGTTGAGAAATAACAGATCCTTCAGCAGTGGCAGCAGTAAGATAGCATATGAATTTTTTATTTTTATTTTTTTACTTTGATAAACCCTGAGGCTCTGTTGAGGAAGAAGCTTCCACAGTAGGCCCTAGGAGAGCTGCAGCCACCATGGCCATACTGTGTTAGGCACAAATAGGAATGTAGTTTCCCAGAGGAAACAACTTCCATGGGTAGATTTGTGATCAAAGTTTGTAGAATAGCTTTAAAAATCCTTAGGAAGGCCAGGCACAGTGGCTCACATCTGTAATCCCAGCACTTTGGGAGGCTGAGGCAGGCAGATCACCTGAGGTCAGGAGTTTGAGACCAGCTTGACCAACATGGAGAAACCCTGTCTCTACTAAAAATACAAAAATTAGCTGGGCGTGGTGGTTCATGCCTGTAATCCCAATAATTAAATCTCCTGTAATCTCAGGAGGCTGAGGCAGTGAAGCAGCCTGCAACATGCAGGAGCTCAGGGCATTGCCACTGCACATGGGGCACTTGGTGGGACTTTGGCAAGGATTTCGTCATTAACACTGAGCAAAACTCTATGAAGACAGAGGCATTCTTTTAGATTAAAAACTAACAACATAAGGCGGGGTGTGGTGGCTCACATCTGCCATCCCAACACTTTGGGAGGTCAAGGGTGACAGATCACTTGAGCTGAAGAGCTCAAAACTATCCTGGGCAACATGGCGAAACCCATCTCTACTAAAAATACAAAAATTAGCTGAACATCATGGTACACATCTGTAATCTGAGCTACTCAGGAGGCTGAGGTGGGAGAATCACTTGAACCCAAGAGCAGAAGTAGCAGGGAGCTGAGATTGTGCCACTACACTCCAGCCTGGGCAACAGAGTGAGACTCCATCTCAAACAAACAAACAAAAACTAAAAAACAAAAGATTGAATATACAGAGTTTTCTCCAGAAAATCTTCAATTTCTATAGATAATCTTCAGTCTTCTATAGAATAAAATGAAAGATTACAAAATTGAAGATTAGAAAATTACATAGAGAGCTGGGCATGGTGGCTTACACCTGTATTCCCAGCACTTTGGGAGGCCAGGGTGGGTGGATCGCCTGAGGTCAGGAGTTCGAGACCAGCCTGGCCAACATGGTGAAGCACCGTCTCTACTAAAAATACAAAAACTTAGCTGGGTGTGGTGGCGGGCACCTATAATCCCAGCTACTTGGAAGGCTGAGGCAGGAGAATCACTTGAACCCAGGAAGCAGAGGTTGCAGAGAGCAGAGATTGCACCATTGCACTCCAGCCTGGTCGACAAGAGCTAAACTCCATCTCAAAATAAATAAATAAATAAATAAATAAATAAATAAATAAATAAATAAAAAGAAAGAAAATTCCATAGAGAAACAGCTATTTCTCGATCTTCTTGATTCTTGTGCTCATGACAAGACTGCAAGTTACTCAGTTCCACTGTCTTTTGCATCTGTGGTTGTGGTTGAAAGGAATGGCCTGAATCATGCACCTCGTAACTCACAGAGTGGCCCCATGCATTCCAGTTTTCTTTTTTTCACTTAGATTCTGAATTACCCATGTAGTTAAAGGTGTTTTGTTATTCTTCACAATTCTGTCTGTGGCTAATCTTATGTTCATGGGATTCATTTGAGTCTGGAACATGTCCCAGATGGCAAGATGCAGCATGTCACAATATTTTCAAAATCCATGAACACAGTTGTTTGGCAGTTCCACAGTAAATAAGTATTTGGAGTCTTAAGCTATTTCTTTTAAATATGTTCAGGTACTGATAGTGACACTGTTGAGTTCTACTTGAGCCCTGAGGCACTGGGAAACAGTGATGGTTAAAGAAATCACCACCTTGTGTTCCTGCCTTACTGCAAAGAACTTCCCTTCCCCATTGACTTAGCTAAGACTCACGGATCCCCCTCAAAGGATGTCCCACCTATGACAAGGTTAGACACAGACCCCGCAAATGCTGTCTTTGTTTCATGAAAGTTTAGCTGAACTGCTTGTCCCCACGGATGCATTTCAGGATAAAATGCTAATTAACTCAGCTTTGATATGGGCTTTACCATGTCCTTCAGGACCTGCTCATTAGTTAGAGACCCCTTGGACTGCATAACTTCTTCAAAGACATTTTATTTTATGCTTAATCATATAGAAATGTAATGATTTGATAGATTAACCAATGTGGTTTTCCTCCCTTGTTCTCCAGTTGCCCACTATTTCTCTCCCATTTAGTCTAAACCTTGGCATCTCCTCTTTCAAAGGGGAAGTTTTAACAAAAGGACAAAGAGAAAGAAAAGAGCAGACACTCACATTTTGAGTTTTAATAAACTTGGCAGAATGATGACACAAGAGTGAGTTTGTCCCATCCCAGAGCAGATGAGGAGCTTCTGAATGAGAGTGGGGAAAGGGATGGTGCTGTTGACACTCGATGGTGATTACACTCATGCAGACAGGAACCTTGAGTGGTGGGGGCTGAAGGTGCTGAGCGCAACGCCCCAGGCAGACAAGAAGAAACTTGCAAGTGCAGGTACAAGATGAGGAGTCACAGTGAAACTTATCACAACATTCAACCTCTATTCAGGAAATACTTCACAACACTTACCAGGTACTTTTCTAGGCACTGGACATAACGCAAAGAATAAAGCCATAAAAAAAATTCTATCCCCGTGGAACTTACAATTTTGTGCAGAAGAGCAAATAGTTCACTAAAGAAATTAGCAAAACCGGGCATGTGCGGTGGCTCACGCCTGTAATCCCAGCACTTTGGGAGACCAAGGCGGGCGGATCACGAGGTCAGGAGATTGAGATCATCCTGGCTAACATGGTGAAACCCCGTCGCTACTAAAAATACAAAAAAACTAGCCAGGTGTCGTAGCATGCACCTGTAGTCCCATTTACTCGGGAGGCTGAGGCAGGAGAATGGTGTGAACCCAGGAGGCGGAGCTTGCAGTGAGCCAAGATCATGCCACTGCTCTCTGGCCTGGGCGACAGAGCTAGACTCTCTCTCAAAAAAAAAAAAAAAAAAAAAGCACAACTGTAGAATGTTGGAAGGTGTCAAAAGTTATGGAACAAAATGAAGAAAAGCGGATAGGGACTGCTGAGGGGTGGGCTACAATCTGAATTGGGGGTTAGGAGGGGATGGAGTGAGAATGTCCCATTTGATCATAGCCTTGATGCATGTGAGAGAGCCTGGAGGAGACAGTGGGCGAGAGCCTCCCAAGTGGCTGTAGCAGGCTGGGTTCTGCATTACATAGGGCACATTAAGTGAAATGTGATGGCTATTTTGTGTAATCCTTTAAAATCCCAATAGAATTAGCACTGTCTAGGAGGACTACACTTTGAAATAATATTTTCAAAAATAATTATTTCAAAGAAAGCATAGCAGTTGCATCCTATTGAGAAGTGGGAATATTGGATAATAGGTTAAGCTATCATTTTGTGTTAGAATATTGAAGCAAATATGGCTTGGTGTGGTGGCTCACATCTGTAATTCCAGCACTTTGGGAGGTGAAGAAGGGTGGATCACTTGAGGTCAGGAGCTCAAGATCAGCCTGGCCAACATGGTGAAACCCCGTCTCTACTAAAAGTACAAAAATTAGCCAGTTGTGGTGGTAAGTGCCTGTAATCCCAGCTACTGAGGAGGCTGAGGCAAGAGAATTGCTTGAACCTGGGAGGCAGAGGCTGTGGTGAGCCAGGATTGTACCACTGCACTCCAACCTGGGTGACAGAGCAAGACTCCATTTAAAAAAAAAAAAAAGAATATTAAAGCAAACCATTAAAAAAATTGCAAAGTCCCAGAAATGTGGCAAGACAAGCAGACCTATTGATGGCCATAATGAAGCCCTGTAGATTTCTCAGAGGAGCCTCCATGTGTTAGAACCATACCTAGGGCTGCAGCTGGCTAAGACATTCTCCATCAGCCTCTGGGATCAAAGGCGGGGTGTTAAGGTTGTCTGGATGGGGCCATGAGCCTCCCTCTCAGTAAAACACAAGCACAAGGGCTACATCCCTCTTGGTTTTTCATAATGTAGGAACACAGGCAGAGCTTAGTGTTCTCAGAGCCTCTGAGATCCTGGGCAGAGTGTTTGGTAAGATGCTGCAGATATTTCCTTTAAAAATAAAAATCCCCTGGTAAATGCTCAGGCATCTCAATGGCCACACCAGCCCTCGTCTGTGTACCCAACTCTCTTCATTTGGCTCTGTTCCCATGAAATTCTCCATGTGAAATCTGGGAGGGGATTGGACAGTTTGCATAACTTAGTTGATGACTCTCCTACAATCTTCTAGACTTCACTAATCTTTGAGACTCTTCACCCACTCATGTGACAAAGTCACCTAATTCTGTAAATTTGGGCCAGTTCATTTTTCTAGATCTCAGTTTGCTCATCTGTATGCAAGAGGTTTAGTGTAGATAAACCAAGGATGCCAATATGCCTGTCTCTCCAGATGTTCAATAACAGAAGAGAATAGGAGCTGGGGGCAGGGTGCAGTTCCAAGTCCCAATTCCATGCCTCCAAGATCAGCTGTTTGTCTTTATTCATCACCAGGCATGCATCTCCTTGATACCCTCAATATCTAGACATAAAATGTGACATGACAGATTATCTATGTGTTATTTTCTTCTCCATTCCTCATGACTTGTATTTCCTTAACTCATCGAAATCAATTTTCCACATTTTTTGAAGGAGAGTCTTTTGACAAAGATGTGAATTATCTACAAGCAACTGAGAGAAAGGCCTATTGTCCTCAGTGTGCTGGTGATAAATTTCCAAATGATGAATAAAAGATTTCCTGTGGCATCAGTTTCCTTGATGGTGTCTTTATTTTCTTTTTTTCTCTTGGGTAGAAGGGAATGAGCAGAGCAGCTATGCTTCTGGGTTTGTTTTGTTTGTTTTTAGCTTATGTACAAAAGCAAGCTCTGTTTTTCATTGAAATATCTTTTTTCTTGTATCAGAGATGTGTTGTAAAAGACTCATTGTGGGTTCAGGGAAGAATGTTTTAACATGCAAGGAAATGTTGCAAAATTAGAAAGAGGACATAATTCCACAAAACTAAATAAAACTGGGGGAATTTTTAGGATACTCTGAATAAATCTTATTATTTGCATCCCACTAACCCCAATCAAATAATAATTTAGATTTGTTTTATTTACTAAACTGCTAATACACACATTCAGAGGTGGTCCAATGCAGTCCCACCATAGAAACCCTTCCCATGCTTAGCCACTGTTGTCATTAATCTCTCCAAACCCAAACGATGGTTTAAACACAGTCGTCCCTTGGTATCCAGAGGATTAGTTCCAGGACCCACTTTGGACACCCAAATTTGCTGGGAACAGGCCCTAAGCCTGTCATAAACAGGCCTTAAAGAAACTGGCCATAAAGAGGATTTCTGCAGCAATGTGACATGCTCGTGATGGCTATGACACACACTGCAAGAAGTTGTTGGTTTACTGGAGCAGGGCAAGGAACACCTGGCCTTCCCAGAGCGGAAAACTGCTCAAACCACAAATAGCATGAGCAGCCTGTGCCTTAACAACATGTTTTTGCTGCAGATAATCAGCCAGAGACTGTTTCTCTGCTCCTCGCTAAAAATGCTTTGTTTCCCGTAAGGAATGCTTTTAGCTAATCTATAACCTATAGAAACAATGCTTATCACTGGCTTGCTGTCAATAAACATGTGGGTCAAACTCTGTTTGTGGCTCTCATCTCTGAAGGCTGTTATCCCCGATTCCCACTTTGCACTTTATTTCTGTGTCTTTGTCTTTGTCTTCATTCCTCTAGTGCCGCTCGGTTGGAGTCTCCACGACCGAGCTGGTCTCGGCACAAATCCATGCAGGCCCAGGTCCTGAAGTCAGCCTTGTGGAGCCTGTGGGTAGGAAAAGTTGACCCTCTGTGCATGTAGGCCTGGAACCTGGCCAATACTGTATTTTCTTGCCACATTTGGTTTCAAATGTGGAAACTGCCTATATGGATCTACTGCATTTATTTTTAAAAATCCCCTGAAAGTAGACCTGCACAGTTCAGGCCCAGATTGTTCCAGGATCAACCCAACAGTAGAAATCAAGTATCTTTGTCATTGTCTCTCGGGATCTGTCTTTTCACCAATAAAATATGAGGGCTTAATTAATTTATCCCTAAGTCCAATCTAGCTGTTTATCAATGGCCTCATAAACTATTAAAACGCCTGTTGTGGGTTGGGCATGGTGGTCACACCTGTAATCCCAGCACTTTGGGAGGCTGATGTGGTGCGCTGAGATTGTGCCACTGTACTCCAGCCTGGGCAACAAGAGCGAAACTCCGTCTCCAATAAATAAATAAATAAAACACCCTTGTTAAGTCTCAGGGAAATGTGCCTGGAAATGTTGTTAAGTCGCAGGGAAATGTGCCTGGCTCTGTCTTCTCCCTGCTTGGGTTGTTCAAATTATGCCAAGATAAGAGGCAGTGATTTCAATGAAAGAAAAGTATCTCACAAGCTATTTTGTTTCTTTCTTTTTGTTTGAGACAGAATCTCACTCTGTTGCCCAGGCTGGAGTGCAATGGTATGATCTTGGCTCACTGTAATCTCTGCTTCCCAGGTTCAAGTGATTCTCCTGCCTCAGCCTCCTGAGTAGATGGGATTACAGGTGCCCACCACCACGCCTGGCTAATTTTTGTACTTTTAGCAGAGATGGGCTTTCACCATAGTTGACCAGGCTGGTCTCGAGCCCCTGACTTCAGGTGATCTGCCCGCCTCAGCCTCCCAAATTGCTGGGATTAGAGGCATAAGCCACCACTCGCCCAGCTCACAGTCTTTAGTCTCCTCTTGAGAAAAACAGTTTTATAGATATAGTCTCACTCAGCTGGTCCTTTCTGTTTTCTTGAGGAACATTTCTGGTATTAGTTTTTACCACAGTAAATCTGCCACAGTGACTGAGCCCCCAGCCAATATGAACTGTATAGGCACATCCATTGTTTTCCGCTGCGCAGTGACCCATGAACCAAAGGGTGAAAATGGTGCCTGAGAAGTTTCTTTATATCCTTTCATTTGATAGAAAAGACCCCTAGTGAGAATGTATAGATAATATGAAAAATGTAGAGATAATGTGAAAAAATAATAACAGGTCCATTGTTAGAAATTTCCCACACATATTTTAAAGTATAAAATGCCTGGCAAGAAAATTATTAAAGGGAAATGACACATGTGGAATTCAAATTACTCTCGGAGCACTCACAGCCTCTCTTAGTAGGTACAGTGAGCTAGACACCCTATCAAGACAATTTGTTTCTTTCCTAAATTTCAAATTATATTAGTGACTGATTTTATTATAATAGTCACAGGCAGTGTGAGTCAAAACTATTTCCATAGCCTCCGTAGAATTTGTGGCATTCTGATCCTTTTTTTCCCTGGATCCGCTTTTATTGTTGTTCATTTTGTTTCGGAAAATGGGGAGCGTGTGAAAATCAATAAGGCTGTTGAATTTGTCTCCTGTATGTTTAGCATCCAAGCCGTTCAAAACTGCCCCAGGTGTGAAGGAGTGAGAAGGGATTTGCATTTCTGCCTTTCTTTTTAACTTTCAATGTATCTGCTGTCAAATCTCCATATGCTATTTCCCTCACCTCCCATTTGGAAAATTCCTATATAAATCCATCATTTTACTAAATGCATTGTTTTAGAGCTTAACTGACCCAGCACTATATATGTTGTAGAATCCGGATGACTTCCAGCCACCTTCTTACCTCTGATTCTTGAGTTTTGTATGCAGCTGGGTAGTGCTGCATACGAGACTTAGTTTAAACCATGGGGGTGGTTTAAACCACACCCATGGCATTGGGTTCACTGCTGGGAACATTAAAGAATTCAAGATTCTATTATGAGATTATTGAATTTTTTCAACTTCATCCAAGCAGACATAGGTAATTGATGTGCAGAAATATTTCAGAAATTAGGTCAGCAGACATTCAGTTGTCAAGGGGTGCCACCCACGTGGGCTCCACTGGACACTCAAGCCATGTGTATTCATTGGGTCTTTGTGGGCTTGACCCCTTGTTGAGAAGCTGACACAGCATTAGACAACTATAATAAAAAAGAATTAATTCATACTATATTGCATCATGAATCTGTGGGTCATATTATTCCAAAATATATATTTTATAATTGTATTTGACTGTGAGAGAAATTAATGTACCCATGTATAAGTATATACTGATTAAAACAAAAATATACAGACAGTAAGTTTATTTTTTTGAGTATGTGATTTTTTAAAACAGGGAAGTCACTGGTTACATTATATAATTTTAAACTTTATATCTTAGAAGGTAGTAAGAAGTTCTAGTATCTTTTCTTTCTCACAGACACTAAGTTCTGGCTAAATACATTACGATACAACTTTTAACAAAAACATTACTGCAAATACATAGTAATGTAAATCTCAGTTAAAAAAATAAATCCTTAAATACTATGATCAAAACACTTTGAGAATTTCAGAGCTGATTCTATACCTCGAAGAGGTTTCATGACTAGAAAACTTAATTGCAATAAAAGACACTTCCACAACCCTGTTGACCTCTGCAGCCCAGTGATGTCTCCTCTTTCCCCCATCTCTGCTCACAGGCGCCATGTGGACCATGGTTCTCAGGGCAGTGCTAAAGCAGTCACAGGTGGAGGCTCCCTCCAGGGCACTAAAACTCCCATCCCTGGAGTGTGCAGCCAGTCTTGGGCAGCTCCACACCCCAGCTGACCTCACTTACTATTGCCAGGAAAAAGTCCTGTTTGTGGACTTCTTGCTGCAAGGGGTGACTCACAGTGCATGTGATTCCTCCCATCAGACAAACTGGCCACACTCTGCGGACAGTGAACTGCATGTCCAGGGAGCATAGGCCAAGGTTATTCACATGGAGCTTAAGTCAAAGCCCTGGCTGAGCTCTTAGTGTCTGCCATTCTTGACAACAGAGCAATGAAGGGCTCCTTCCTGACAGTTCATAAATGCTCATTCACACCACAGTGAGATTTTGCTACTAACACCATGTCTTCATTTTCTGAAAATGACCTATGTGTTTCTTTTCATAGACTTCACAATCAGGAGAGAACAGGTAATTAGGGTGGATTGGGTCTGGTGCAGTTCTTTCCAGAGATGAGACTGGGGACCAGATATGCCTCCTTACTCTTCAAAATCAACCTCATGTAAAACATCAATTTGCTGTCTTTAGATGATCTCAATATGTAGCATGCAGCTGCTTCTCCCTGGTCCTACCAGCCTCAACTTGGTATAGCCCTTAAATATTTATTGAAATTATTACCATATCTTTCCAGTGAGTCCCCCAGGCCTTCCAGATTATCCAAAAGATTAATCCTCATAAATACAGACAATCACCTTAAAATACAGCTTCCATCCAATTCTGTCTGGTTTCAGAAGTGCTGGTGCCTTACCTCTTAGGTCAAGTGCAGAACCCCTGCCAGAATTTCAAGAACTCCTACAGCCTGTGCTCACCCTGTGTATCCCAGATCCACACTGTGGGCTGCCAGGGGGACCTGGGACTCAAGGAAGGACACAGCAACCTTCTTAAAGGTGTGGCTAATGGAAGTTCTTAATTCAGAAACAAAATGATAAAATAAGGAAACATAACATCAGGAATGAAGAAAAATAGAAATAATAAAAACATGGATAAACACGACAGACTGGCCTTCTTGAGTTTTTCTAAACTGTGTTTGATGATTGAAGCAAAAATTACTCCATGGTCTGATATAGTTCTTCATGCATGTAAATTATGTTGTAAAGTGAGAAGGAGAAATGGGCCTACATGGAGGTGAGGATCCTCCACATCACATGGCAGAATGTGGACACCAGTGGGCTGCAACAAGTGACGTGCATAAAATGTCACACCTGAAGTAACAGAGGATCTAGAGAAACCCATACATTCTAAAACAGTGTAGATAAACCAAAATGGAATTTAAAAAAATATTACCTTCTCTCAGCTAAAGTGGAATCTGTGTTATTCAAGGCAGAACCAGCCTGACCAATCATGTTATACATTGGCTCAGGGGCCATGCTCAGGGTTCCCAAATGATCCTGTACCTGAGTTGTACCTGAGCAAGCTTGCGGGGTCCACCAGTGTTGTACACACCCCCATGTAGAGAACAATGAGAAGTTCTATTTTCACAATATAAGCTTGGATCTATGTAAACATTTTGTTTTAATAGTGTTTATATTTTCTGATGGTAAGAGTAGATATGAATTAGTGTCCTGTGAATCATCTCACATTTATCATCAGAGCAGTAGAAGCTTGTTTATATTGTTCTCTCTGCATAAATATATATTTTTTGTTCTTCCTGGGGTCTGGCCTCAGTTCCCTTATATGCTGTCTACTCTATCCTGAGGCTGTTCCCCAGACATGGCCCAGCCCTGGCATTCTGCTCTGCTAGAAACATATGACAATGGTGCCAGAACTTCTCAGACTTCCTTATTAAGACAAAAGAGAGCCCTGCTTCCCTGCTCCCCCTTTTGATGCTTTAGCCTCTTTTATTTTTCTCTCACCCAGGCTGGAGTGTAGTGGCGCAACCTCAGCTCACTGCAACCTCCACCTCCTGGGTTCAAGCAATTCTCCGGCCTCACCCTCCAAAGTAGCTGGGATTATAGGCACTCACCACTATGCCCGGTTACTTTTTGTATTTTTAGTAGAGACAGGGCTTCACTACATTGGCCAGGCTGGTCTCAAACTCCTGGGCTAGAGTGATCTGCCCACCTCCACCTCCCAAAGTGCTGGGATTACAGGCATGAGCCACCACACCCAGCCCGCTTTAGCCTCTTTCCTGATTTAAAAAATTTTTATTTTGAAGTAATTTTAGATTTTGAGAAGAGTTCCAGAGATAGTGTGGATGGTTTCAATATGCCTTTAACTTCCCCTAAGGTTAACATCTCATGTAACTATAATATATTTAACAACACTAAGAAGAATTAACATTGGTATAATACTATAAGTAGACTATACAATTCATTTGGATTTTGCCACTTTTCTATTATTATTATTGGTTCCAGGATCCAATACAGGGTACTGTGCCATGTTTGCTCATCATGATGTGTTAGTGTCTTTGACTCTGTGACAGTGTCTCAATCTTTTCTGTTTTTCATGACCTTGGCACTTTTGCTGAAAACCAGTTGGATATGTGTGGAGTTCCCTTGGTTTATGTTTGTCTGACTAGACTAGGATTATGGATTTGAGGGAAGAATGTTGCAGAGGTGAGGTGGCCTTTTCATCACATCCTATGGGGATAAGGCATCACTGGTGACATGAACCGCAATCACTCGGTTTAGCTTGTGTCTGCCAGGTTGCTCCTCTGCGAGGTTATTTTTCCCTTCCATCCTCTATATGTTAAAATTGAGTCACTAAATCCAGCCCACACTTAAGGAGAGGAAAATTAAACTCCACCTCTTTAAGGCAGAAATAACAATATATTTGTGAGTGTATATTAAAACAACCATGGTAATTAGTAAATATTCGGTTAAAGATACTTTCAGGCTTTGCAAATACCCTGTTTCCTCCTCAAGTTTCACCCACTAATATGGGTCCCTCATTGGATCTTGCCAACAGCCACTATCACTATAGTGTTCTAATGGTGATTTTCTTTGCCCTCATGTTTTCTACATAAATTATTTGAAATTCTTCCATGGGAAAGATTAGTCTCTTCCTTCTCATTCATTTAATTAACAATGTATTTGCATAGTATGGACTCACGTCTCTTTATATTTTACTTTGGATTACGACGCATGCCACATCCTTGTGTTTTGAGCACTTTCTGGCCTGCTGGCACATCAGGATGCTCCAGGATCATCTTATGTTTTCACTGCCCCAGTCCTAGAAGCAAACATTGCTCCAGAGATCTGAATCATTATATTGGAGAATGTTATTTAGAAACCAAGATTTATGCTCATTGCTTACGGGATGCATGTATCTCTTAGCAGACAGAACAAGCAATAGTGTGTCCTAACCCATGTATATACATCATCTATCAATCTCTATGTATATGTATCTGTCTATCTATCTATCTGCCTAACTACCATCTCTCTGTGAGTCTATCTTATCTACATATCTATCTGCGTATATATTGATATTTTTAACTCTAATCTGGCACCACAGGATTTTTTCTAGTCTTGTACCCTTTCTAACTTATAACTTCCTTCTGTAACAGTGAGGAATCTAGCTCACATTCTCTACAACTTATTCATTTTCTCTAGCCTAGTGTAAATGAAAATGAAAAGTAATGTCAGAATTAACTTTTGTCCCTGTGATAAAATTACCAACTAGATACCGTGTTTACACACAGCTCAGTTTGTGTAAACCTTATGCAGTCAAATTACCATTTTCCAAAGTTAGTTTGGTCAATTTCTTTTTCCTCTTGGAATACATTAACCTGGTTGGTTGCTTGTTTTAATAAGCAAAGAATAAAGATCAGTGTTTGTGGTGTAGCATTTGGTAGTGTTTGACAAACCTGTAGAGTTATGGATCCACGATCCAGTACAGCCATAGCAATGATTATAAAATGTAAGTTCTTTTATCAAGGGTACAGCAAACTTATAGGACCACGCAGCTCTAGCTAACATTTGCAGGTGAAAAAGAGTGTAGAGTAAACATCAAACTGCAGTTACCTCATCTGTAACAACTAAAAGCATGCTAAGATGATTATGAATACATGTGCCAGAGGAGAGAAATTGGGTTTATAAATGAAATTCAAGTATAACTCCCAAATGGGAACCAAATTCCTGGGACTACTTATTGCACTAGATTTGGTACGTTATAAATAAATATGAATAGATCAATGGAATTTTTTCAATCAATAAATTATTAATTTTGAGACACCATCAATATTTTCAGAGGCTTGAAGGAAGAAAAATAGTAAACGAAATATGCACATTTAAAAACTCATACTGACTAGCAATATTAACTATGAAAAATATGTCAGCTGGGTGCGGTGGTGTACACCTATAATCCCAGCATTTTGGGAGGCCGAGGTGGGCAGATCATGAGGTCAAGAGATCCAGACCATCCTGGCCAACATGGTGAAACATCGTCTCTACTAAAAATACAAAAATTAGCTGGGCATGGTGGCACGTTCCTGTAGTCCCAGCTACTCAGGAGGCTGAGGCAGGAGAATCACTTGAACCCAGGAGGCGGAGGTTGCAGTGAGCTGAGATCATGCCACTGCACTCCAGCCTGGCAACAGAATGAGAATTCATCTCAAAAAAAGGAAAAATATATCAAACCATTGAAGAAATACAGTTAGAGGTTCAACACAGTGATCAATAATCAGATGATTTTAGTTGCCTCATAATCAGAAAAAAAAAACACATAATAAGGACAATAATGAACAGAAATATCTCTGGAGGAAAGGAAGCAAGAGAATGAGGATTCTGAAAGTCTGTCCTCAGAACTCAATGGAAACCTCTAAGACTAGCTGAAAGTGTTAAGATGCAAAGGGGAGAGAGTGACACAGGAAATAAGGTCCCAGTTGTTCACAAGACAGGTCAAGAACACTGGCATCAATTTATAAAACACGGTATTTGTAATGAACTCATGCACTCCAAACCTGCCTGTAGCTCTTCCTCTGCAGATAGGCTACAGCTCTAAAATGATGCTATAAAAAAGAACACCTGCAGGGACAGAATGTTAAGTTAGATATTCAAAATGAACCAGAGGATGTGTCTTTAGGAGGACCTTTATGGATATTTAGTCTGACTCCCTGATTCTTTAGTTGGGTTAAGTAGGCCCAAAGAGAAGAGTAATAAGGCACTTGGTAAGTAGCTGGGCTGTGGTGTAACTGAACTTTGCAAATTTAATGACAAGACTCTAAAATTCTAGGGCTCATCATTTTCCATTCTGGGAAATTTGAATTTCAGACTCAATGCTGTTTGTTCTCAGGGGATTGGCTTTAAGACAACGGGTTCCTGGTGAGCATGTGCTGCTAATAAATTAAGAACTGACAGTCCTTGTTTACTTTGCTTACATTCTCACACCCCATTTGTCATTTTAGACCTCACTAAGTATTCTAACCTTAGTCCAATATAAGTTTTAAACATATATGTATGCATATACATATGTAAAGCTTGTTTCATAAGTTTCCCGATTTTCTAGGGGCTTTATTACAAAAACATATTCCATGAAGTACATAGCTCAGGCAGTCAATGACATTTCCTTTCTAAATCTCACTTTGTTAACTCATGCTTTTAGCTGCATTTATACCACCAAACACTGCAATAAAAGGTAAATTTAAAGTTTTTCAAACTGAAATCTATACTTAGTGTTTGTGATGACACTCTGCAAAAATTTGAAGTCAGTTGAGCTGACTGTCCCCAGAAGGCACTCATTGCTTTAATAGTGAATGCCACAAGCCTAGGTGAAGTTCTCTCTACAAGAGCTTTCATACACTTACAATTATTTCACACTCTAGAACAATTACTAATGGCAAAGCAAGGCAATTATAGTCACTCTGCAAAGTGGGACCACAGTGCTGCATAGACATTTAATTGACTAGGATGTTAGTGTAATTTTCTGATTAATCAAAATGTCTGGATTACAAAGAGTTATTTATTTCAGGATGCCAATATAATGAGTCATACACATTTTAAATTTAACAAAAGAGGAACAAATTAGGACTTCCAATACAGGAAAACTAACATGCTTCAAAGAGTAATTATGCTTCACTATTAAAACTGATCCTTAGGAGAATGAAGTCAAGACAAATGGCAAAGTACAAAATACCAAAAATCCATCTCTATCTGCACAATTATATTGGAAGAAATTGGCTGAGGCAAACATTTTAAACCTCCGTAGTTTATTTTGAACACTTGCAGCTTCCAGGGGACAGCTTGGCTGGTACATTATGGTAATCTTTGCTTTATTTAAGCCACGAGCAGGGTTGCAACTACCATCCCCCAACCACAGTCTCTATAGTCTCATGTCATGTGGCATTGGGGTCCATAACCCACATTCAAGGGTGAAAGGTCTTGCTGGAGCCAGGGTAGACAATAAAGACCTGGCCTTCCAAACACCAGGGCTCTGTGTTCTAATTATGGAGTGCTTCTCTGATAAATGTGGTGTGGGCATGTAGGCTGGTCACCAGTTATCCAACCTCCATAAACTGAAGTAGCCACCAAGGGATTCAAAAGGGATACACCTGTTTTTGGAGACTAAAAAGTAATTGCATATGTGAGAGAATTTAGAAAGCCAACATACCTGCCTAGGGAAAGACAAAGGCCCAGTAATGACCTGAATAAGACCTTAAGTTTTTACCTCAGGCTGATCTCCAATAAGGAACACCATAAAACATTTTTTAAAGCCCAACAAGCCCTGGAGGAAGAGGGAATATCTGCTTTCCAGTTTCTGCATTATAAGGTTCAGAGTCCAGTCAACAACAAAAACAACAAAGAAGGCATAAAAAAGGGGAAAGTATAATCCACTTAAAGGAGCCAAATAAATCAAAACCCAAGGAAGCCTGGATGAGTATGTCAGACTTACTGCTAGAAAAAGACTTTTAAACAACTGTCCTAAATGTATTCAAAGAGCTAAGGAAGACATGGACGAAACAGGAAAATGATGTCTGAAAAAATGTTTATTCAAAAAAGGATATAAAATTATAAAAGCCAAGAAATTCTAGAAATGAAAAGTACAATAACTGAAAATACTCTAGAGGGGTTTAAGAGCAGATTTAAGCAAGCCAAAAAATAAATAAATACACTTGAAGAAAGAACCATTGAAATTACTGACTCTGAGGAAAAGAAAGGAAAAAAGTGATAAAAACTGAAGAGAGCCTAGGGAATATGTGAGATACCATCAAACAAACAAACATATGTAGCATGAGAATCCCAGTAGGAGAAGACAGACTGGGGCAAAAAGAATATTTGAATAAATAATGCCTAAAAACTTCCCAAATTTTATGCAAAAAGATGAATCTACAAGTCAAAGATGCTCAACAAACCCCAAACAGGATAAACTCAATAATACTCATACTATGATACATTATAATCAAAATATTAAAAGACAGAGAATATTGAAAGCAACAAAAGTGAAGTGACTCATCGCATACAACAAACCATCAGTGATATTATCAGCCAATTCCTCATGAGAAACCTTAGAGGCCAGAAGTTAGTGTCTGAATATATTTAAAATGCTTTGAGGCTGGGTATGGTGGCTCACACCTGTAATCCCAGCACTTTGGGAGGCCGAGGTGGGTGGATCGCCTGAAGTCAGGTGTTAGAGACCAGTGTGGCCAACATGGTGAAACCATGAAACCCTGTTCCTACTAAAAATGCAAAAAAATTAGCCAGGCGTGGTGGCAGGTGCCTATAATCCCAGCTACTCCAGAGGCTGAGGAAGGCAAATCTGTTGAATCCAGGAGGCAGAGGTTGCAGTGAGCAAAGATGGCACCATTGCACTCCAGGCTGGGTGACAAAGAGTGAAACTCCATCTCAAAAAGAAAAAAATGCTTTGAAAAATTTTTACTTGATGATTTTATATTCAGAAAAACTATTTTACCTCATGAATGAGATATAAATGAAGACACTCTCAAAAAAAGTTTTTAAAGCTAAAGGGGTTCATTTTTCCATAGACCTGCCCTGCAATATATGCTAAAGAGATTCCTTCAGGTTAAAATGAAAGAAAGTTAGACAGTAACTGAAGCCTCTGATATGGTTTGGCTGTGTCTCCACCCAAATCTCATCTTGAATTGTAATCCCCATGATCCCCATGTGTTGTGAGAGGGACTGGTGGGAGGTAATTGAATCATGAGGGTGGTTTTCCCCATGCTGTTCTTGTGAGAGTGATTTCTCACAAGATTTGATGGTTTTATAAACTTCTAACATTTCCCCTGCTGGATGTCATTCTCTCCCCTGCCGCCTGTGAGGAGGTGCCTTCTGTCATGATTTTAAGTTTTCTGAGGCCTCCTCAGCCATGCAGAACTGTTGAGTCAATTAAACCTCTTTTCTTTTTAAATACCCAGTGTCAGATACTTCCTTAATAGCAATTTGAGAACAGACTAATACATGGACAATTATAAAGAATAATTTTGTTTTCTGATTTTGGTTTGTAATCTAACTTTCTATTTTCTATAGAATTTAAAAGACAAATGTGTAAAAATAATTAGTAATCTATATTATTAAGCACACAATGAATAAAGATGCAGTCTGTAGCATTAACAACAGAAAGTAGGATGAAATTGTAGAAAAACAGTTTTGTTTTGTTTTTTTGAGACGGAGTCTCACTCTGTCACCAGGCTGAAGTGCAAGTGGCATGATCTCAGCTCACTGCAACCTCCGCCTCCCAGTTTCAGGCGATTCTCCTGCCTCAGCCTCCTGAGTAGCTGGGACTACAGGTGTGCACCACCACGCCTAGTTAATTTTTGTATTTTTAGTAGAGACGGGGTTTCACAATGTTGGCCAAGATGGTCTCAATCTCTTGATCTCATGATCCACCTGCCTTGGCCTCCCAAAGTGCTGGGATTATAGGCATGAGCCACTGCACCCAGCCAAGAAACAGTTTTTGTATGCTATTTAAGTGGTATCCATTCAAATTATATTGTTATAACTTTAGGATGCTAGATGTAATCCCTATAGTAACTACCAAGTAGATATCTAAAGAATATACGTATAAGTAAGTGAGATAAGAATCAAAAGTTTCATAACAAAAAATTATGTAAAAAGGCAGTAATGAAGGAAGTAAGGAACAAAAACTTATAACGCATATCAAAAACAAGCAACAGGAACAAAAGGCAGTGGAAACTTCTGCAGACTTAAAAATGTCCCTGTCTGACAGCTTCGAAGACAGTAGTGGTCCTCCCAGCACAGAGTTTGAGATCTGAGAATGGTCAGACTGCCTCCTCAAGTGGGTCCCTGACCCCTGAGTGGCCTAACTGGGAGGCACCTCCCAGTAGGGGCCGACTGACACCTCATACGGCCAGGTGCCCCTCTTAGACAAAGCTTCCAGAGGAAGGATCAGGCAATAACATTTGCCATTCTGTAATATTTGCTATTCTGCAGCCTCCGCTGGTGATACCCAGGCAAACAGAGTCTGGAGTGGACCTCCAGCAAACTCCAACAGACCTGCAGCTGAGGGTCCTGACTGTTAGAAGGAAAACTAGCAAACAGAAAGGACATCCACACCAAAACGCCATCTGTATGTCACCATCATCAAAGACCAAAGGTAGATAAAACCACAAAGATGGGGAGAAACCAGAGCAGAAAAGGTAAAAATTCTAAAAATTAGAGAACCTCTTCTCCTTCAAAGGAACACAGCTCCTCGCCAGCAACAGAACAAAGCTGGACAGAGAATGACTTTGATGAGTTGAGAGAAGAAGGCTTCAGACGATCGGTAATAACAAACTTCTCTGAGCTAAAGGAGGATGTTCGAGCCCATTGCAAAGAAGCTAAAAACTTTGAAAGAAGATTGGACGAATGGCTAACTAGAATAAACAGCAAAGAGAAGACCTTAAATGATCTGATGGAGCTGAAAACCATGGCACGAGAACTATGTGATGCATGCACAAGCTTCAGTAGCCAATTCGATCAAGTGGAAGAAAGGGTATCAGTGATTGAAGATCAAATGATTGAAATGAAGCAAGAAGAGAAGTTTAGGGAAAAAAGAGTAAAAACAAATGAACAAAGCCTCCAAGAAATACGGGACTATGTGAAAAGACCAAATCTACGTCTGATTGGTGTACCTAGTTCAACCATTGTGGAAGATAGTGTGGCAATTCCTCAAGGATCTGGAACTAGAAATACCATTTGACCCAACCATCCCATTACTGGGTATATACCCAAAGGACTATAAATCATGCTGCTATAAAAACACACGCACATGTATGTTTATTGCGGCACTATTCACAATAGCAAAGACTTGGAACCAACCCAAATATCCATCAATGATAGACTGGGTTAAGAAAATGTGGCACATATACACCATGGAGTATATGCAGCCATAAAAAAGGATGAGTTCATGTCCTTTGTAGGGACATGGATGAAAGTGGAAACCATCATTCTGAGCAAACTATCACAAGGACAGAAAACCAAACACTGCATGTTCTCACTTATAGGTGGGAATTGAACAATGAGAACACTTGGACACAGGGTGGGGAACATCACACATTGGGGCCTGTCATGGGGTGGGGGGAGGGGGGATGGATAGCATTAGGAGATATACCTAGTGTATATGATGAGTCAATGGGTGCAGCACACCAACATGGCACATGTATACATATGTAACAAACCTGCATGTTGTGCACATGTACCCTAGAACTTAAAGTATAATTTAAAAATAAAAAACAAGCAACAAAGTGGCAAAATTAAGCCCTGTGTTACCAGTAATTACTTTAAATCTGAACAGATTAACAATTCCAATCAAAGAACAATAGGCAGAATTAATTTTTAAAAAACATGATGCAACAATTTCAATACAAAATCTACAGGAGACTTTCTGTATGTCTAAAGACAAATATAACTTGCAAGTAAAAGGATAGTAAAATATATTACATGCAAATAGTAACCAAAATAAATCTGAGTGGCTATAATAATATTAAAACAAAATAAACTTTAAATCTTAAAGTTTAAAAGAGATAAAGGAGACTATATCACTAAGAGAGTCAATAGAGCAATTAAAGTTATAAGCATTTATGCACCTAATGACAAACCCTCAAAATATATGACATAAAATTGACAGAATGGAAGGGAGAAATAAACAATTCTATGATAATAGCTGGTGACTTCAGTGCTCTACTTAAAGTCACAAATAGATCAATCATATAGATGAAAAGTTAAAAAAAAAAAAGACTTGAACAATACAGTAAACCAACTACAGATGCACATTGAGTTACCATGGGGTTACATCTCCATAAAGAAAGTTGAAAATACAAGTTGAAAATGAGTTTGATATACCTGATCTACAAAACATCATGGCTTATCTGGCCCATATAAACATGGTCAGAACACTTACATTAACCTACAGCAGGGCAAGATCATCTACCACAAAGCCTATTTTATAATAAAGTGTTGACTATCTTACTTTATTTATTAAATATTGTACTGAAACTCAAAATTCTTACAATTATAGATGCAAAAATTTTAAACAAAATACTAGTAAATTGAATTCAATAGTCCGTTAAAAGAATTATTCATTATGAGTGAATAGCATTTATCCCAGCAATGCAAGGGTGGTTCAATACAAATATATCAACTAATGCAATACATATTATTAATAGAAGAAAGGGGGAAAAACCTATACATGATCGTTTCAGTTGATACAGAAAAGGCATTTGAAAAATTCCAACACTATTTCATGATAGACTTTCAGAAAACTAGGAATAAAGGAATAATTCCTCTACATGACCAAGGGTATTTATGAAAGACCCATGGCTAACACCATAATCAGTGGTGAAAAACTAAAAAGATTTCCCACTAAGAACAAGGCAAGGATACTCCTTTTTATGCTGCTATTTAACAGGAGGTTCTAGCCAGAGCTATTAGATAGGAAAAATAAAAACATCCAAAATAGAAAGAAAGAGGTAAAAATATCTCTATTTGCAGATGACATGAACCTATATGTAGAATATTCCAAAGAATCCAAAGAAAACCACCAGAGCTAATAAACAAATTCAGCAAGATTATGGGTACAAGATGAGCAATTTTGTTTGCTATACCATTGACGAAAAATCCAAAAAGAAAATTAGGAAGTGACTCCATTTACAATAGCACCTAAAAAGAATTAAATACTTTGCAATAAATTTATTTAAGGAGGTTAAAAACTTATATACTAAAAATGATAAAATGCTGCTGAAAGAAATTAAAGAAGAAACGAATAAATGGACAGACATCCCTGTTTGTGTATAGGAAGACTTAACACTGTGAAGATGCCAATACTACCCAAAGAGAGCTACAAAATTCAACAGAAAAGGAAAAGCTAATTTTCAAATTCATATAAAATTACAGAGGGCACCAAATAGCAAAAACAATCTTCAGAAAGATGAATAAATTTGGGGTACTCCTACTTCCTGACTTTGAAACCTACCACAAAGCTACAATAATTAAAACACTGTGGTACTAATAAATCAATGCAATGGAGATCCCAGAAGTAAAGCTTCAAATATATGGTGAATTGTTTTTGACAAAGATGCAGAGGCCATTCAATAGAAAAATGATAGTCTTCAAAAAACAGTGCCGGGAAAACTGGAGATCTGCTTGCAAAACAATGAAGTTGGACCCTTACAACACATGCAAAAATTAATACAAAATAGATTTATGATCTAAAGGCAAGACCTAAAACTATAAAGCTCTCAGAAGAAAGCACTGGAGAAAATCCTCATGACATTGGATTTGGGAACATGATACCAAAAACACAGACAACAGAATGAAAAAATTGGTCAATTGGACTTGATCAAAATTAAGAACTTTTTTGCATCGAAGAATACTATCAAGAAAGCAAAGCAACAACCTACTGAATATGATAAAATAATTGCCAACCATATGTCTGACAGGATAGTAATATCCAAAATATATAAAGAACATGAATAACGCCACCACAATCAAAGAGATAACCTAATTAAAAGCAAGCAAAGGACTTGAAAATTCTTTGACATTACTCAAAGAATATACACAAATGACAAACAAGCACTTGAAAAGATGCTTAACATCAGTAGTCATTAGAGAAGTGCAAATATCAATCACAATTAGATACCCCTTTCTACTTAGTAAGATGTGTATGCTAACGAAAAATGGAAAATAACATGAAGTGACAAGAAAGTGGTGAAGTCAGAACACTTGTGCATTGCTTATGGGAATGTAAAATGGTGCAGCTGCTGTTGAAAATAGCGTGGTGGGCTAGGCATGATGCCTCACACCTGTAATCTCAGCACTTTGGGAGGGCGAGACAGGTGGATCACTTGAGGACAGGAATTCGAGAACAGCCTAGCTAACATGGTGAAACCCAGTCTGTACTTCGAAAAAAAAAAATGCAAAACTTAGCTGGGCATGGTGGTGCACCCCTGTAATCCCAGCTACCTGGGGGGCTGAGGCAGGAGAATCACTTAAACTCTGAAGGCAGAGGTTGCAGTAAGCTGAGATCGTGCCACTGCACTCCAGCCTGGGTGACAGAGCAAGACTCTGTCTCAAAAAAAAAGAAAGAAAAGAAAATAGTGTGGTGTTTTCTCAGAAGTTTAAACATAAAAGTGCCATGTAACCCAGCAATTCTGCTGTAAGGTGTACATCCAAAAACCTGAAAATAGAGATCTGAACAGACATATGTACATCACTGTACACAGGCACATCATTCGCAATAGCCAAAAGGTACAAATCACCCATGTGCCCATGAACAGATGAATGGGTAAACAAATCATGGTATGAACATGCAAAGGAACATTATTCAGCCATAAAAATTAATGTTTTAAATATAGCTAAACATGGATGGGCCATGAAAATGTTATGCTTAGAGAAATAATCCAGACATAGAGCGACACATATCTCATGATTCTCCCTACATGCCGTACCTGGAATAGGGAAATCCATAAGGACAGAAAGTAGAATAGAAGTGACCAGGGACAGGGAGGAGAGAAGGAAAGATTATGGTTGAGTAGATCAAGTTTTTGTTGGGAAAGTGAAAAAATTTTAGGTATAGATAGTATTGATGGTTATATAACATTGTGAATGTATTTGATGCCATTGAATTGTACACTTACAAATAAATTAAATGATATTGTTTATGTGTATTTTACCAAAGTAAATCATCCTCACAATTTTGAAATCAGGATGGAACAAGTAAGAACACTGATTTTTAGAAACAAACAAAACCCAAAACTACAAACATATGTTAGTTGGGATAAGGGGTTTTTGGCAATAAATTTGAAGGCAAGTACTTAAATTGTACCTAAATATAGTGGAAAATGATAAACCTAATACATGAAATCTCTAATGGCAGTTTTATGAGATGCATAGAAACATGTTTTGAAGCTACAGTTCTTTTTTTAAGTGAAAGCAAGTTTATTGAGAAAGTAAAGGAAAAAGAATGGCTACTCCATAGGCAGAGTAGCCAAGTTATAGTTTTTTAACACAGAAACAGAAAACTAAATGCCTCATGTTCTCACTTATAAGTGAAAGCTAAACATTGAGTACACATGGACACAAAGAAGGGAACAGCAGACACCAGGGACTACTCAAGGTGGAGGGTGGCCATCTGTACACCAAGCCCTGCAACACACAATTTACCTATAAAACAAATGTGCACATATACCCCTGAACCTAAAATAAAAGTTAAAAATAAAAAATAATAGTTTTTTTTTTTTTTTTTTAGACAGAGTCTTGCTCTGTCACCCAGGCTGGAGTTCTGAAGTTCTTAAGATCACTATGCCTCCTCTTATTTTGACTTTTTACCAGCCAAAAAATATAACCAAATATGCCTAATTATAACTCTAGAAAATTGAACAATGCAATGTAGGGAAGGAAAAATCCACTATCTAGAAAGCTACAATGTAAGTTGAGTTTCTACACTGTTATGGATGAGTTACTGAGTGCTCACAGAAACATTATGTAAAGAATTTCATTGGCCAGATGCGGTGGCTCACGCTTGTAACCCCAGCACTTTGGGAGGCCGAGGTGGGCAGATCACGAGGTCAGGAGTTCGAGACCAGCCTGGCCAACAGAGTGAAATCCCATCTCTACTAAAAATACAAAAATTAGCTGGGCATGGTGGCAGGCGCCTGTAATCCCAGCTACTCAGGAGGCTGAGGCAGGAGAATCGCTTGAACCCGGGAGGGGGAGATTGCAGTGAGCCAAGATCATGCCACTGCACTCCAGCCTGGGCGATAAAGCTAGACTCTGTCTCAAAAAAGAACTTCATTGAATGAGAGTAGAACACTTCATGCCCACTGGACGTGAACTCAGGATGGAAGAGGCACTTATGCAATTTACTGTCTCTGACTCAGATTCCAGAATGTCATGGTGTACATCATGTAATGTAAATCTTTAGAAAGAAGAAAACATGATTGGAAGAAATATGGAAAAAAATGACTTTTTAAATTTTAGTTCCTGATCCAAAATTTTCAATGGTGTCTCATTATCGAAAAGATAAAACTCAAACTTTTTAACAGGGAACCATTTGTGACAGAAAGTATAATATTCTCAATCACTCCTAGTAAGTACTAGGACTGAGTACTCAAATCTTCCTAGATTGAGATTGCTTCTATTGAGTATACATCTCTGCCATGATTATGCTCAGATGTGTGCAATTACTTAATTTCTCCCACTGCATTTGATTGTGATATGGCTATTTTTGCTTAACACCATAACCCCAGGGCCCGACATAAATTAATGAATTAGTTAAGCCTGTTAAGTCCTCTGTGCATCCTTCCTCCTATTATATTAACCCCCTCCTCACCCCTAGACTTTTATTGCTCAGTGCATATTAAAATCTTCTGATTAGGTTCTAAAACACAATTACATCCCACACTTTAGTGCAGATATCTTTCCATGTTCTTCAGTTTGTTTCCAACAGCAAATTTCTAGATTCTCCACATAGATCTTACATTTTTTCCCCACTCATTAACCAAACTGCATGACTCACAGCCCCAAACATCCCCTAACTATTACATTAGATAACCACCCTCTCTCAGTTTCAACTGCCTATGTGTTTCTCTGCCCACTAGAATTATACCAAGTATTAAAATCAGCGTAAATTGTCACTTTTTTCAGGTAACTTTCTTATTCTTGTTCTACCTGAAAATGCAGTTCTTTCATTCTGCTTCCTTGGCACTACGACCACACCTCTTTTGTGGCATGCATTATATTGAGTTTGTTATACTTCTGCAAATACTTACTTCAGCTCAAATTCTGTTGAAGTCACGAATTCGGCTAGTATTTACCTCTGTGTCAATGGCATCCTGCTGAAAGTAGATGCAGGCTTGGTATGTTAGAGAAGCTGAGGAAAGGGGTCCTGAAATGAGTGGAGAACCAGAGACAGATGTAGGAGGAAGTGGGAGAGCCTCTAACCCAGGTGTTCTACTAACAAACTGGCCCCTTGCAACTACTCATCATATACCAGTAGTGCACTTAGAGAAATTCACCACCTGAATGAGCTGTGTAACACTAGGAAAGCACATCTTTAGTTGGAACATTACTGGTTTCATTTAAAGCCAAGTATCACACACATTATATACATCCTTTGTTTACTATTTTTCATTTCTAACACTTGTATATTAGTATTAAAGAGAGAAATACAATTTGAGTGCTTGTCATCAGTGAAGAAAGTGGTTAGCGTAAGTGAAAAGATGAAAAGAGCAGACATTCTGAGGGTCCTCGCTCTAGACCTTACTGATTTTTAAAGGATTCTGGGGCTTGAGTGTCTCAAACTAGTCCAGAAAAAGCCAGCGGCAAGCTCCATACAACTACAAATCTCACTAGGTACATCTCCCATTCCATGAACATGGGAGGAGGTGAACATATCAGCCTTTCCCAGTTTCTCATCTTACATTTTTTGGGGGTCAATCCAATACCATCATATGAATTATTTGGTAACTGGAATATCTGAGCAAAAATGTTTACTTTTTGCACTTGAAAACACGAAAAGATATGGACATAGAGTGCATCTTTATTAGAGAATACTGAAAGTCCCTACAAGTCCAAGTTTTTAAATCCTCAGTTGACTGTTTGGCAGAATAGCTCATTATTAGGTAGAGCTCTTTTCTAGGGCCCAAACTACATGGCTTAGATACAATGCACAGAGAAATGGGCCAACCCCACCTTTCTAGCTCATTAGTTATTAGCAAAAAGCTTCGGCCTGGGGTGCAGTTATGGCTATAGTTGGCTTCACAAGTGTGCGAAGATTTCTGCTAGATGGAGGAGGAAAACGGTGATGATAGGGCTGCTGCATGTTGCTCTGGAGGCTTCTCACTGCACAGTGAACTGCCCGATCACAGCAGCCCTAGACAAAACTGGATAACATAGTTCTTAATGGTTTCTTCCTCATTGGCCATCCCCTGATCTGAGTGGCTGTGAGGCAAGTTTTTATAAGGCAAAGATATTAGCTCAGAGGATCAAGTAGAACAAATGTGTTGTTTGGCCTAGGTGTGGTTGCTCACTATACAGAAAGCCAGTCACTAAGACGAGTATTGCCAGGGAAGAGCTTTATTGTGGATGCTGTCAGTCTAACCGTCAAATCTGTCTCTCTCCCAACTAAAGTTAGGAGTTTATATAGACAGGAATTAAGGGGAGTAAGGAAGATGATCAACAGGCAGCAGGTGGTTAGATGAGAGGTCTAGCATCTCATTGTAACCACCTGTGGGAAAACAGGAATGAGAGAGAAGGAAGAGGAGTTAGTCAACTGCCAACAGGTCTCATTGTCCAGTTGTGGTTCTCTGTAAAGTTTCAGGTCCGTAAAACTATGTGAGAGTCCTAACGATTGGTTTATTGAGAAAGAAACTCAGATGACAAATGTTAAATTTCTCAACCTTTAAGACTGGGAGGTCAATCCTATACTTTGGATATTTTTGCCTGCCTAAATCTGATGTTGAATGTAATTCCCAGTGCTGGAGGTAAGTCCTGGTGGGAGGTGATCATGGGGATGGAACCCTCATATGGCTTAGTGCTGTCTTCCTGATACTGAATTCTCCCAAGATCTGGTCATCTAAAAGTATGTGGCACTTGCCCCAACTCCCTCTCTCTTGCTCCTGTTTTGCCTTCTGCTATGACCGAAAGCTGAGGCTTCAACCAGAAGCCAAGTAGATCCCAGCAACATGCTTCCTGTAAAGCCTGCAGAACCTGAACCAATTAAACCTCTTCCCTTTATAAGCTCTTTCCTTTATATTACCCAGTCTCAGGTATTTCTTTATAGCAATGCAAGAATGGTCTAACAGTCAATTTCTATGTTTATTCCCCAAAAAAGCCCCATAAACATCAATTGTATAGGAAAATTGAGCTGGTTTCAAGATCAGAAATTTGGCCCATATTAAGAATAGTGGAATTATTGTATTGTGCTCCTACTGAGTGGTGTTTTAAATTGACAGCTACACATTTTATTCTGTTCTGTGGAAAATTATGACCCATTGAGATTTTATGTTTACAATTATTACTTCTGTTCATTTTACCATCTCCTCTCCCTCCATGCAGTAGGGGCATGTTGCAAATCACAAACTCCAAAAAATTAAACACAGGACATTTAAAAAATTAGCATTGGTATTGAACACTCTCCCCCAAATCAGGATTATTTGCCATTCATATTTTTTCTGTAGTGAACTTTCCACACCATTCTTTCACCAATTTTCTTATTAGGATTTTTCTTCTATTCTTAACCAAAGCTGTTTTACAGGTATTTTTTTTAGTCCATTACTCGCCTTTCCATTTCCTTAACTGTGTGCTTTGAAGAACACAAGCTTTTGAATTTAACAAAATCTAATTTATCAAAGTTTAAAGTGAGTAAATCATTTGTATTATAATTAAGTGCATTAAATTTATTTTTGTATGTTCCATATTTTTATTGTCCTATATAGAAATCATCATCTAACTCAAACCTACAAAAATTTTCTCATGTTTTCTTCTACAAGTTTTAAGTTTGAGCTCTTATATTTAGATCTATGATGAGTAGAGGCTTTATATATGCTTTGGGGAGTCAAAGGTAACACCACTTTTTGAAGACATGTCTTTCCCCTTGGATTTCATTGGCATATTTTCTGAAAATCTCCCAAGCACCTCATGGTTTATGGCTGTGATTCTGGACTCATGTATCCATAATTGTTTTGAATGTCCACATAAATTTATAATCCACTTGTCAAATTTTAATTCAGGTGGCGTTTAATTAATAGAACAATTTGAGGAAAACTGACATCTCGAAAATAGTTTTCTTGCCTATTTTGGCCCTATTTCTGCCATACACATTTTGGAAAACTTTTTCCAGTACTAAGAATAAATATTGGGAGCTTTATTGAAATTGTATTAAATTTATAGAAACATTTAAAGGAAACTGATATTAACAATGGTCTTCCTAATCATTGAAATTTTACTTTATTTTTAATTTTTGTGGGTACATACTAGGTGTATATATCTATGGGGTACATGATATATTTTGATATAGGCATGCAATGTCTAATAATCACATCAGGGTAAATGGGGTATCCATAACCTCAAGCATTTATCCTTTGTGTTACAATTCAATTATACCTTTAAAATGCACAATTATTATTGACTGTAGTAACCTTGTGCTATCAAATACTAGGTCTTAGTCATTCTACATTTTGTGCCCGTTAACATTCCCCACTTCCCCCTCACCATGCCCTCACTGCCTTTCCCGCCTCTGGTAAACATCCTTCTACCCTCTATAAGTTCAGTTGTTTTCATCTTTAGCTCCAACAAATACGTCAGAACATGATGTCTGTCTTGCTGTGCCTGGCTTATTTCACTTAATGATCTCTAGTTCCATCTACAATGTTGCAAATGACAGGATCTCATTCTTTTTTATGGCTGAATAGTACTCCATTGTGTTTATGTACCATATTTTATTTATCCATTCATCTGCTGTTAGACACTTAGGTTGCTTCCAAATCTTGGCTATTGTGAGTAGTGCTACAGTAAACACGGTGCAGATATATCTTCAATATACTGATTTCCTGTCTTTGGGGTATATAACTACCAGTGGAATTGTGGGATTGTATGATAGCTCTATTTTTAGTTTTTGAGGTACCTCCAAATTGTTGTCCATAGTGGTTGTACTAATAACATTTCCACAGTGCACGAGGTTTCCCTTTTCTCCACATCCTCTTCAGCATTTGTTATTATCTGTCTTTTGGAGAGAAGACATTTTAACTGGGGTGAGATGATATCTTATTGTAGTTTTGATTTGCATTTCTCTAATGGATCAATGATGTTGAGTACCTTTTCATATGCCTGTTTGCCATTTGTATGTCTTCTTTTGAGAAACGTCTATTCAGATTTTTGCCCAGTTTTAAATCAGATTTTTTTTTCTATAGAATTGTTATAGCTCCTTATATATTCTGGTTGTGAACACCTTGTCAGATGTTGATACAGTTTGGATATTAGTCCCTGCCCAAATCTCACTTTGAGAGGTAATGCTCAGCGTTAAAGGTGGGTCTTGGTGGAAGGTGTTTTGATCAAGGGAGAGGATCCCTCATTAATTGATGCTGTCCTCACATCAAGGCCCATATTTCTGCCATATACGTTTTGGAAAACTTTTTCCAGTGTTAACAATAAATACTGGGAGTTTTATTGAAATATTAAATTTATAGAAACTGCTATTATTTTAATAACAAGTCTTTAAACATTGAAATTAACTTTATTTTTAAATTTTTGTGGGTACAAAGTAGGTGTATATGTTTATGGGGTACATGAGATATTTTAATACAGGTATGAAATGTGTATAAACACATCAGGGTAAATGGGTATCCATGACCTCAAGCACCCCTCACAAAATCTGAGTACTCACAAGATCTGGTTGTGTGGCACTTCCCTTCCCCCCTCTCTTTGCCCTGCACCTGCCATGTGAGATACTTATTCCCCTTTTGCCTTCCACCATGGTTGGAAACTTCCTGATGCCTCCCTACAAGCTGATCAGATGTTAGCACCATGCTTCCTGTACAGCCTGCAAAACCGTGAGCCAATTAAACCTCTTCTTTATAAATTACTCAGTCTCAAGTATTTCTTTGTAGTACTTCAAAAATGGCCTAATACAGATGGATAGTTTGCAAATATTATCTCACATTCTATGGGTTGTCTCTTCACTTTGTTATTTCCTTTGCAATGCAGAAGATTTTTAACTTGATGTGATCCCATTTGTCCACTTTTGCTTTGGTTGCCTGTTTGTCAGGTATTACACAAGAAATCTTTGCCCACTCCAATGTCCTGGAGAGATTCCCCGATGTTTTCTTTTAGCTGTTTCATAGTTTGAGGTCTTAGATTTAACTTTTTAATTAATTTTGATTTTTGTATATGCTAAGAGATGGGGGTCTAGTTTCATTCTTCTGCATATGGATATCCAGTTTTCCCAGCACCATTTATTAAAGACATTATCTTTTCCCCAGTGTATGTTCTTCATTCCTTTGTCAAAAGTGGTCACCATAGATGTATGAATTTGTTTCTGGGTTGTCTATACTGTTCCTATGTGTCTGTTGTTATGCCAGTATCATGCTGTTTTGGTTACTGTAGCTCTGTTGAATAATTGGAAGTCAGGTAATATGATTCCTCCAGTTTGATTCCTTTTGCTCAGGATAGCTGACTATTCTAAGTCTTTTGTGGTTCCCATATAAATTTTAGGATTGTGTTTTCTATTTCTTTGAAGAATGTTAAAGTTTTCTGGATGTTCCACAGTTTATCCATTAACCTGCTGAATGACATCTTTTTTTTTTTCTTTTTTCCTGAGATGGGGTCTCACTCTGTCTTCCAGGCTAGAGTACAGTGGCACGATCACAGCTCAGTGCAGCCTCAATCTCCCAGGCTCAAGCGATCCTCCCACGTCTCTGCCTCCTGAGTACCTCGGACTACAGGTGCATGCCACCATGCCTGGCTAATTTTTGTATTTTTTGTAGAGACAATTGTGCCATGTTGCCCAGGCTGGTCTCAAACTCCTGAGCTCAAGCAACCCACCCACCTTGACCTTCTAACATGCTAGAATTACAGACATGAGCCACTGAGACCAGCCAGAGTATTTTCTTACTGTCAGGTACATGAGATGATTCAGGCTCATCTTGTATTTCTCCCAATCTCTGACTAGGAATCATCCCTGTTCCCCTTTTTTGTGGATAGTATTTAGGAACTAATAACTTGGCAGTTGGTGTGCTTACTGTTACTGAGGTGTCATTGTGTTTAGGTCCTCTCAGTAGAATGAACACAAAATATATGCATATGTGCACACACAACAATTTATTTATTTGTTCCTATATATTTAAAAGATATGAGTTCTATTCTAATGCCACACTCCAGGTTTTCTAGCTCTCCTCATTCCTATTTTTATAAATACCTTCTCTAATGGAGAAATCTTGCTGTCATCATTCTCAACATATTTATTTGCTCAGTGTTACCAATCTCTCAACAATGCTGCCCATCTCCTCCCCCTGTCCCTTCCACACCTCACCCTCAGCCCTCTTGGTGCCAGCAGACACAAAGCCACAACTCCTCTCATCCCACGAGGCAAGTCTAACTCCTCCACTCTGGGGAAGGAAGGCAGGAGAGATACATGAAAAGTCAAAGGGGGGAATCAAAAGAAAGAGGAATGGAAGTCCACACTGATTTTTTTAAAATAATAAATCTTTTGATTGCCCTAATAAACATCTCTTGGTGATGATATAGTTTATGGATATGGCTAGATGTTTTTTTCAATTTTAGGATTTTGCATCTAAATCTATGAGACTTTGGTCTATAGCTTTATGGGTTTTTTTGTTGTTTTTTTTTTAGGTTTTGTTATCAAGGTTGTACTGGCCTCAAAAACTGAATTGGAAAAGTTCCATCTTTTTTCTTCTAGAAAAGTTTATAAAAGCCTGGTATTATTTCTTAAATATTTGGAATAACTTCAGTGAAGCCATCTGTTCCTAGAGTTTTCTTTCTAAGCAAGTTTTTGAATACTCCACTCAGGTATTGTTTGCAGTTGTGACAAGGCACAACCAATCTCTAGTATGACCTTGTTTCCAGGGCTTTTACTGATGGCATGTTCACCAACCCACTGGCACTTCCTAAGTTCTAATCATTTCTCCTTTGTACTGCAAAATGCAAAACAAAACAAAAATCCTACTTATTATCTTCTCAAATTAGCTTTTCAGGCTCCTGCCCTATGCAGCATGAGACATCTGGAAATTTCTTGAGAAATTATATGTGTTTGAAGCTCCTAATGTATCCATTTTTTTCATTGCAGTCTTGATTGTTCTTCTGGTTTCTGGTCCCCCCCATGCCTTCCCCTGACCCCCAGGTTATGGTCCTCTGCCTGAATCAAGTTCAGTATTCAGGTTCTTCCCTATAGCCAGAAGTGGAAAGGGCCCCCAGAGCTGCATTTTATGCTTGTGCTTTCTGAGATTTACCACTCTCTAGAATTTTGCCCTTTAGTCCTCTTTGCTTCTATAGCAATAAGTTGCATTTAAATATTTTCTGTAATTTTATAGTTATCCTCAATGGGTCCATTCTGCTGCCAACTACTATACCTTACCCAATAGCAAAGTATATTTTTGCTTTTTTTTTGTTTTTTGAATCTCTCTCTGTCACTCAGGCTGGAGTGCAGTGGCATGATCTCAGCTCACTGAAACCCCCACCTCCCAGGTTCAAGTGATCCTCCCACCTCAACCTCTCTAGTAGCCAGGACTACCGATGTGCACCACCATGCCCGGCTAATTTTTGTATTTTTAGTAGAGACAGGGTTTCATCATGTTGGCCAGGCTGGTCTGGAACTCCTGACCTCAGGTGATTTGCCCACCTCAGCCTCCCAAAGTACTGGGATTACAGGCATGAGCCACCATGTCCAGCCTATTTGTGCTTTTTGAAAGCTCCATATTTAAGTTATATCTACACATACATTTTAAAAAGTTGTATCACCTATGAAAGACATGTTTCAGTATGGAGAGAAATAGAGTTGGGTACAATAAGTCACTCACAGCAGAATGTCCTGGCTTATGTGTTAGACATCTGCAGGGCAGAAACCACCAGAAATCTGGACCCACTCTCTTCTACTAATCCTCATAAGTTGCATACAAGGCAAATTGACTTGCTGCTTTGATCCACCATTCTGAGATGGGTCGTCTGAATTTAGTCTGCCCTAGGATTATTCAAAAATCCTGCTGGTGGGCTCCTGTACTATGGCCCCTGATTGATGGTCTTTCTCTTTCTTCTGGACATACAAGAGCACTCTTGTTTGTGGGTCCCCTTGCTAAAAAATCTTCCCTTATTTTTCATATGGCTAAGCAATAAACCTTTGAACTACTTATAGCCATTGGCTTGAGTGGCGTCTTTAGAAGTCTCTTAGAAAATAGCAGTCTTGACAATGAACTAAACTAGATATTAACAAAGTAAAATGCTATTTCTCAATAAAAATATTTTTTCCACATTTTCTTAAATTGCTAGATATCCTGCAACTCAACACCTCTGTTCTATATTAAATTTAGATTTTAACTTAAAACATCCACACATTGGATACAGTTAAAAATACTTTCTCTACTATCTGATGTTCACTGAGAAGCTACTTCTTATTACATATACTCCATAAAATATAACCTCATAGTAAATGCTTTCCTATAGTTTCCTACAGTTTGTGCATTTTCTCTGGCCTCTTGACTTCACACAGAATGATTTTCCACATTCATTACACCCATAGGGTTTCTGTCTTATATGAGTTCTGTGGTGAACAATTAGAGCTGACTTCTGATGAAAGGTTTTCCCACATTCATTACACCCAAAAGGTTTCTCCAAGTGTGTCTTCTCAGGTATTCTGTGAAACTGTAGTAGTAGCAGAAAAATGCATCCCTTCTCAACCTAGGGATGCTGACCCAGGTTTCACCCCGTGTGAATTCTCTGATGTTTAATGAAGAGTGGCATTGGGCAAAATGTTTCCTATATTCATTCACCAATAAGTTTTTTCCACTTTTAGTTTTGTAACATAGTGTATGGTCCAAATTCCAGAATAATGTTTTCCTGCATTCCCTATCTTCATATTGTTTTTTCCCTCTTTAAGTTCTCTTCTATACTGTGAGAACTGACTTCAGGGCAAAGGTGTTCTCATTATCATTATATTAACAGATTTCTCTCACCCTTTATGTTCTGTGTTCTACAAAGTTCTGACTTCACCCAGAGTAATTTCCCTCGTTTACTACATTTATAGGGTTTCTCCCCAAGTGTATTCTCTGATGTACAGTTAGTTTTGACTTAACATAGAATGATTTTCCACAAACATTACATTCATAGGGTTTCTCCCCTGTGTGTGTTCTATGATGTGCAATGAGTTTTGACTTCACACAGAATGATTTTCCACATTGATTACATCCATAGGGTTTCTGTCTTATATGAGTTCTCTGGTGAACAATTAGGGCTGACTTCTGACGGAAGGTTTTCCCACATTCATTACATCCAAAAGGTTTCTCCCCTGTGTGTCTTCTCAGATGTTCTGTGAAACCGGAGTAGTAGCAGAAAAATTTTCCACACTGAATACATTCATAAGGTTTCTCACCTGTGTGAGTTCTTAGATGTTTAGTAAGGGTTGACTTCTCAGAGAATGACTTCCCACATTCATTACATTCATAAGGTTTTTCACCTGTGTGTATTCTTTGATGTTTAATGAGGTCTGATTTTCTGAGAAAGGCTTTCCCACATGCATAGCATTCATAGGGCTTCTCCCCTGTGTGTGTTTTCTGATGCACAGTAAGGACTGACTTAAATGAGAAGGTTTTCCCACATTCATGACATTCATATGGTTTCTCCCCTGTGTGCGTTCTTTGATGTTGAGTAAGGGTTGACTTTTCACTGAAGGATTTCCCACATTCATGACATCCATAAGGTCTCTCCCCTGTATGAATTCTTTGATGTTTAATGAGGTCTGAATTCTTATAGAAGGTCTTCCCACATTCATGACATTCATAGGGTTTTCCCCCTGTGTGTGTTCTCTGATGTCTTGTGTGGGCTGACTTCTGGGTGAAGGTTTTTCCACATTCATGACATTCATAAGGTTTTTCTCCTGTATGTGTTCTCTGTTGTAAATGAAGGACTAATTTTTCACTGAAAAATGTTCCACACTCATTATATTCAATAATATTGTTAATTGAGTGGGTTCTCTGAATTGGAGTGAGATTTAACTTCTGGCTGAATGGGTAAACACTCTGATGTTCAAGGAGAATGGATTCCTCAAAGATATTTTCTCCACATTCATTACCATAGTGGTTTTCTCTTGGATGTGTTTGCTGATGAGTGATGAAAAATGACATATCACAGGTTTTCCCATGTTCAGTATATTTGCAGGTTTTCTGTCCTGTGTAACCTCTCTTATGTACAAGGAAGAGTGAATTCTCAGGGAAAGCTTTCCCACATTCATTGTATTCAAAAGATTGTTCCCAATTTTTAATTTTCTGATGCCAAATGAGGTCTTCATTCAGCCAGAAGCTGTTCCCATTTTTATTATATTCAGAAGGTTCCTCTTCAGAATGAATTATTTCATGCTTTTCATCACAGAAACATTTTCCACCTTTGTTAAACTCATTGAACTTCATTATTGAATAGTTTCTACTGGTATTAATTAATTCTGAAATACAGAGTGAAAAGAAAGGTTAGTTGACGAGGATATGTAAGAGAAATAAACTTAGCATTATATTTGAAGGCATGGCTCAGTTTAGGCCATTATCTCCTCATACCTATGTTATGACAATGTGCACACTTCCAGTCTTATACCTCTTTTCAAGTCAACACAGCAGCAACAAATTAAATTTCTAAAAGTTCTAATTCATAGTCCTATAATCCAGGCTCCAATTCTGTGTGGTTTTGTTGTTCTTGGTTGTTGTTGGTGGTGGTGGTGGTGGTGTTTTTGAGACAGAGTCTTGCTCTGTCATCCAGGCTGGAGTGTAGTGACGTGATCTCGGCTCACTGCAATCTCCGCTTCCTGGGTTCAAGTGATTCCCATGCCTCAACCTCCCAAGTAGCTGGGACTACAGGCATACGCAACCATGCTTGGCTAGTTTTTATGTTTTTAGTAGAGACAGGATTTTGCCATGTTAGCCAGGCTGGTCTTGAACTCCTAGCCTCAAACAATTCATCCACACTGGCCTTCCAAAGTGCTGGGATTACAGGCATGAGCCACTGCACCTGGCTCAATTGTTTTTCTAGCTCTGATTCACTAGAAATAAAAGTATGCAACAATAAGAGTGAAATCAGTGAGTGAACAAGCCATCCTTGCCACAGGATCAGGTTTATGGTTCTATTCCAGCTGTGGGATTTGCCCTTTATTTCATCAACTGTCCTATACTATACTGAGTCCAATGTCCCAAGAACAAACACTTTTTTTTTAAACAAGGTATCACTGAAGTAAACATATCTTTACATTTAGATTCAGATTAGAACCAAGCCATTCTTTTACAAGTCTAGAGTGAATATATTTCGCTCTAGGTAAGTTCAGCTGTTTGTCCCTCATAAATTGCTCATTCCCATCATAATCTCATACTGATTGTTTTTCCATTGTCAGTTTGCAGTCTAACAGTGTTTTTAAAAAGTTTCCTTCCCAAATTTCCCAGGTTCATTTACTAAAAAACATGAAAGGACTGTTTTTATAATTCATTTAAGCACAAACATCAGCTGGATTGCTATAACAATATTCTTTGTTAAACACTGAATTTTAAAATATTTCATGCAGTTCTGTTTTTGTTCAACAACTATGTTCCTGGCAGCCATTACTTTACCTATGATTTTCTCTCAGTGCCCTATATAGATATTTAAATCAATGGTACTTAACAAATAATGTTTATCAGTATTATCCGGAGAGCTTTTTCAAACACAAATTTTTTCAGGCTTCACGCTGAAATCGTTACTGGTTGAATGTGTAATTTTAATTTTAATTGCTTTTTATTTTTTAGAGACAGAATCTTGCTCTGTCACCCAGGCTGCAGTGCAATGGCACAAACACAGTTAACTGCAGCCTCTTCCCAGGCTAAAGCAAGACTGTCACCTCAGCTCCCCAGTAGCTGAGATCACAAAAATTAGCCAGGCATGGGACCACAGGTGTGTGCCACCATGCCTGGCTAATTTTTTAAGTTTTCATAGAGATGGGGTCTTCTTATTTTGCCCAGGCTGGTCTCAAATTCCTGGGCTGAAGTGATCCTCCCACCTCAGCCTCCCAAAGACCTAGGATTACAGGCATGAACCACTGGGCCCAGGCTATTTTAAAACAATTCTGTAAAAAATGGTAAATATGGTAAAAAGCTAATGAATGAGCAACTCAAAAAAGCATGTATAGAAAAATATATTTAATTTTACAAAAGGAGGGATGCTCTTTACTGGGAAGAGTACAACAGGGAGCTTTCTGGGGGTGTTGAAAAATCACTTTATATATTCATCTCAATGATGGGTACATGAGTGTTACATATATATATAAAATTTTATTAATCTCTGGCTAAACTATATAGTTTATATCACAATTTAAAAAAAACAACAAGATGTGTGTATGAAAGTGATACTGGGAGATGCTGGGTGATTCAGAGTCACTGCATATTTGGGTCACGTCAACATGTTACTTCCAAAGGTCTGGAGCCTCTAAAACATGATTCCTAAAGAACATTTCAATGGTCTTATTATCCAAACTTACCCTTTGTGATCTACCTTCCTTTAAATTCCATCTGGCACATACTAACTCACCCAGATGACTCTGGCTTGGAAATTTTTCCTCTAATATCCATGGCTCCTCGCCTTTCTCCAACTTGAGAATCACTTCTGGTTTAGGAATGCAATACCCTGTGAATGAGAATTGTATTACTTGGGACAAACTGGGTGGGTTTTCCTGAAGGAGGAAGACAGTATACCCCAAACAGTACACACACACACACACACACACACACACACACACACACACACACACACACTTCATTTAATCCTGTCATGGGGGCAGAGGAAAACATTCTTTCTGGTATCCAAAAGGGATAAATTGTCCTTGACCTCTGAATCTCAAACCTAAATATTATTATATTTTACAAAAGTTCCACAAGTTTCTATTGATAAGAAAGGACATGCATTCTGGCCTTCTACATGGGAAACAATTCCTACCTACCTACTGAGACAAGGTGGCTGTAGTTCTCCAGCATCACATCCCTGTACAGGGTCCTCTGAGCAGGGTCCAGATGCTGCCACTCCTCTTGAGTGAAGCCCACAGTCACATCCCTAAACGACACTGATCCCTGGAAAATCACAATTTTGCTCAGTCTGAAGTGATAAGAATCAGTTGACGTGAAAAAAGATGTTTAGGGACTAATTCTTACCATTTTTATTGTTGAAAATTAAATAGAAACTGTTATAAAGGGCCCCTATGATATATGTTGTTTTATGTTACATATTGTGAGTAAAAAATCATAGTAGAAATATCCTGTTGGTGCATTAATTTATTACTTAATGCAAAAATATTTAGTGCCTACATGTGCCTAGAGCTTTCTTAGTTTCTGAGTATTCCAATTTGAACACAGGAGTCTTCCTTACAAGAGAGGAACATATCTTCTCATAAGGAAACATACATACAGAGACATACCTACCACAGGACTTAAAGGACTCACACCACAGCTATGTGTAACACAGATGGATCATAAAAGTGTTCTGTGCAAAATCATGTGAGATTTCACTAAAGTGATAAAACTTTAGTTCCTTTGCAAACATATAAGAAAAACTTAACAAAAGGTTAAAAACCTGAAAAAATATGTGGCAAGTCAGTGGAACTGCTTAACAGGATAAGAGCATGTCTTACCTGTGATGAGGTAAAGGTTGCAGAGGCATGGAAGATGAGGGAGACTAGGAAATACTTTTGGCTTTAATCCTGTTAGTGTTCTCCAAATATTTATCACTCATCTAATCCATAAAAATTTTTAGCAACTACTAGTTTTATTTATATTTATTTATAAAGTAAATAAAATACAACCAATCCACATATAAGGAAAGCTTAATTTTGTTCTTATTTTTTAGATAAAAATATAAATAGGCATGCTGATATTTTCCTCCCATGCCCTAAAGGACTGGCAGTATATGACATAAACACAATTATCTTGCATACTTCCTTTAGGCCATAGGCTCCCTGCTCCACCCATCCCAGGTCATTGATGCGAATAGCAGAAGTTGATGGTGAACTGGAAATACACACCTGAATCTCTGTAACATAATTCAGTTTTCACTGAGGAAGCAATGCCACCAAAGTAGAGTTGAGACTGCTGGAGAGCAGCATTAGAGGTAGATTGTCTATACCAAGGGGCAGCAGTGGAGATGTGGAAGAGGGAATTCACTAAGCAAAGGAAGAGAGGAAGGGCTACTTCCAGAGGGCCTGCATAGAGGCCTTAGAACGTCTGGAAATTAGAACCAGGAGGGTGGGTGTTGCAGGAGGGGAGAGTGCAGAGTGACAATAAGACACATGCAGGCCATGCTGCTCTTGGAATGTCTTCATGTCATGGAAGTGAGCATATCCAGTGGAAGGCTACAGAGATGATTCTGAAGCTTGGAAGAGATCTAAGGTTTGGAGTTCAAGACCAGCCTGGCCAACATGGTAAAACCCCATCTTTACTAAAAAGACAAAGAATAGCCATGCCTGACTGTGGACGCCTGTAATCCCAGCTACTTGGGAGGCTGAGGGAGGAGAATTGCTTGCACCCAGGAGGCAGAGATTGCAGTGAGCCAAGACTGTGCCACCACACTCCAGCCTGGGTGACAGAGTGAGACTCCATCTCAAAAAAAAAAAAAAAAAAAAAAAAATCACAGACTAAAAAAAGAGCATTCCAAAATTAAATGTTAATATTTGCCTAACTATGAAAACAAAACAAATACTCTCTGAACACTACTAGAAAACAAAATGGGCCAGGTGCGGTGGCTCATGCCTGTAATCCCAGCACTTTGGTAGGCCAAGGCAGGAGGATCACAAGGTCAGGAGTTCAAGACCAGCATGGCTAACATGGTGAAACCCTGTCTCTACTAAAAATACAAAAATTAGCCAGACATGGTGGCAGGCACCTGTAATCCCAGCTACTCGGGAGGCTGAGACAGGAGAATCACTTGAACCTGGGAGGCGGAGTGTGCAGTGAGCCAAGATCACACCACTGTACTGCAGCCTGGGCAAAAAGAGTGAAACTCTGTGAAAGAAAAGAAAAGAAGACAAGACAAGACAAGAAAAGAAAAGAAAAGAAAAGAAAAGAAAAGAAAAGAAAAGAAAAGAAAAGAAAAGAAAAGAAAATGGATGTAAAATACAGAATTGTACAAATCTAAATATATAAAATTGCACAAATTATAACAAAATAAAAACTGGAAAAATAGATAATAAAAGAATAGCTTGTAAAATATAGATAAATCCAGGAGATAAATACCATTCTAAAATGAATTCCGAAAGAAAAAAAAAAAAGCTAAGGAGAGACTTTTTTGGAGGGAAATGAGGGCAATCAAGAGCACTGTGTACATTATAGCCCGTTTATGTCTGAGGTTGCACAAATTTTTTTTAATTTTTGCAATCAGACCTTGAAATGACCCTGAGCAGTAGGATATAAATAACTCCCACATGCTTAGCATTCCACTAATGGAACACTAGGCATACATGGGTTAGGGAATTCAGAAAGCCAAGCACATACCTAGGACAGGAGAAGCTTGGCAAAGACCTCAAAAGACCCGAAGGTTTTACTTCTGGCTAATCTCTGTGCTCAGTGCAAGCAAGCAGTGAAGACTAAGATGAAGTTCTAAATGGACCAGGCTAAGTGCTTAAAAAGTGCCCCAGGACAGAGCCAATTTGCAAATAATAGGAAAGGGGTTTTGTTGGGTTTTTTTTTAGTTTTTTTTTTTTTGGTGGTTGTTGTTTGAATCCTGGCCTTCCAGGAAAAATGCCTGTTAAAACAGTACCTGAACACAAGCTAAAGAGAGAGAATTCAGTGACCACACATGACTAGAAATTAAAATAGAGACTGCAAAAACCCGGGAGGCGGAGCTTGCAGTGGGCCGAGATCGCGCCACTGCACTCTAGCCTGGGTGGCAAAGTGAGACTCCGTCTCAAAAAAAAAAAAAAGATCATCAGCAGAAACCTTGGAGGTTAGAAGGCACTGGACTGATATATTCAAAGTGCTGAAAGAAAAAGCTGTAGCTGAGAATTCTACGCCTGGCAAACATGCCTGTCAATAATGAGGACATTCCCAGATGAACACCAGCTAAGGGAGTATGTTTTTACTAGATCTACTCTGCAAGGAATGCTAAAGGGAATCCTTTGGGTTGAAATGTGATTCAAAACAAACAAGGGAACTGCTATAAGATTATACGCCAAGTTTTCATCTGGATTTGGTCTTAAAAGAGAAATTAGGATTAAATAAATAAGAAAAATGGGAGACTGGCAGAGTGGATAAATTTCTTCAAATAATGCATACAAAAATGTAATTAGAATGAATAAGATTGAGTATTTGACAGTAAAACAGGGTGACCACAGTCAACAGTTTTTTTTTTTTATTATTATACTTTAAGTTCTGGGGTACATGTGCAGAACATGTAGGTTTGTTACATAGGTACACATGTGCCATGGTGGTTTGCTGCACCCATCAACCCATCATCTACATAAGGTATTTCTCCTAATGCTATCTCTCCCCTAGCCCCCAACCCCCTGACAGGCCCTGGTATGAGATGTTCCCCTCCTGTGTTCATGTGTTCTCATTGTCCAACTCCCACTTATGAGTGAGAACATGCAGTGTTTGGTTTTCTGTTCTTGTGTTAGTTTGCTGAGAATGATGGTTTCCAGCTTCATCCATGTCCCTGCAAAGGACATGAACTCATCCTTTTTTATGGCTGCATAGCATTCCATGGTGTATATGTGCCACATTTTCTTTATCCAGTCTATTACTGATGGGCATTTGGGTTGGTTCCAAGTCTTTGCTATTGTGAACAGTGCCACAAAAAAACGTATGTATGCATGTGTCCTTATAGTAGAATGATTTATAATCCTTTGGGTATATACCCAGTAATGGGATTCCTGGGTCAAATGGTATTTCTGGTTCTAGATCCTTCAGGAATCGCCACACTGTCTTCCACAATGGTTGAACTAATTTACACTCCCACCAACAGTATAAAATCATTCCTATTTCTCTATATCCTCTCCAGCATCTGTTGTTTCCTGACTTTTTAATGATTGCTATTCTAACTGGCATGAGATAGTATCTCATTGTGGTTTTGATTTGCATTTCTCTAATGACCAGTGATGATGAGCTTTTTTTCATATGTTTGTTGGCCGCATAAATGTCTTCTTTTGAGAAGTGTCTGTTCATTTCCTTCACCCACTTTTTGATGGGGTTGTTTTTTTCTTGTAAATTTGTTTAAGTTCTTTGTAGATTCTGGATATTAGCCCTATGTCAGATGGATAGATTGCAAAAATTTTCTCCCATTCTGTAGATTGCCTGTTCACTCTGATGATAGTTTCTTTTGCTGTGCAGAAGCTCTTTAGTTTAATTAGATCCCATTTGTCAATTTTGGCATTTGTTGCCATTGTTTTTGGTGTTTTAGTCATGAAGTTTTGCCCATGCCTATGTACTGAATGATATTGCCTAGGTTTTCCTCTAGGGTTTTTATGGTTTTAGGTCTTAGGTTTAAGTCTTTAATCCATCTTGAGCTAATTTTTGTATAAGGTGTAAGGAAGGGGTCCAGTTCCAGTTTTCTTTATATGGCTAGCCAGTTTTCCCAACACCATTTATTAAGTAGGGACTCCTTTCCCCATTGCTTTTTTCAGGTTTGTCTAAGATCAGATGGTTGTAGACGTGTGGTACTCCTGAGGCCTCTGTTCTGTTCCATTGATCTATATATCTGTTTTGGTACCAGTACCATGCTGTTTTGGTTACTGTAGCCTTGCAGTATAGTTTGAAGTCAGGTAGTGTGATGCCTCCAGCTTTGTTCTTTTGGCTTAGAATTATCTTGGCTATCCAGGCTCTTTTTTGGTTCCATATAAAATTTAAAGTAGTTTTTTTCTAATTCTGTGAAGAATGTTAATGGTAACTTGATGGGGATAGCTTGAATCTATAAATTACTTTGGGCAATATGCCCATTTTCACAATACTGATTCTTCCTATCCATAAGCATGGAATGCTTTTCCATTTGTTTGTGTCCTCTCTTACTTCCTTGAGCAGTGGTTTGCAGTTCTTCTTGAAGAGGTCCTTCGCATCCCGTGTAACTTGTATTCCTAGGTATTTTATTCTGTTTGTAGAAATTGTGAATGGGAATTAACTCATGATTTGGCTCTCTGTTTTTCTATTATTGGTGTATAGGACTGGTGGTCATTTTTGCACGTTGATTTTGTATCCTGAGGCTTTCCTGAAGTTGCTTATCAGCTTTAGGAGATTTTGGGCTGAGATGATGGGGTTTTCTAAATATAGAATCATGTCATCTGCAAACAGAGACAAATTTGACTTCCTCTTTTCCTATCTGAATACCCTTTATTTCTTTCTCTTGCCTGAATGCCTTGGCCAGAACTTCCAATACTATGTTGAATAGGAGTCGTGAGAGAGGGCATCCTTGTCTTGTGCTGGTTTTCAACGGGAATGCTCCCAGTTTTTGCCCATTCAGTATTATATTGGCTGTGGGTTTGTCATAAATAGCTCTTATTATTATTTTGAGATATGTTCCATCAATACCTAGTTTTTTGAGAGTTTTAAGCATGAAGGGGTGTTGAATTTTCTCGAAGGCCTTTTCTGCACCTACTGAGATAATCATGTAGTTTTTGTCATTGATTCTGTTTATGTGATGAAAGGAGTACATTTATTAATTTGCCTATGATGCACCAGCCTTGCATCCCAGGGATGAAGCTGACTTGAGCATGGTGGATAAGCTTTTTGAAGCGCTGCTGGATTCGGTTTGCCAGTATTGTATTGAGGATTTTTGTGTCAATGTTCATCAGGGATATTGGCCTGGAATTTTCTTTTTTTGTTGTGTCCCTGCAATGTTTCGGTATCAGGATGATGCTGGCCTCATAAAATGGGTTAGAGAGGATTCCCTCTTTTTCTGTTGCTTGGAATACTTTAAGAGGGAATGGTATCAGCTCCTCTTTGTACCTCTGGTAGTATTCGGCTGTGAATCTGTCTGGTCCTAGACATTTTTGGTTGGTAGGCTATTATTTACTGCCTCAATTTCAGAACTTGTTATTTGTCTATTCAGGGATTTGACTTCTTCCTGCTTTAGACTTGAGAGGGTGTAAGTGTCCAGGAATTTATCCATTTCTTCTAGATTTTCTAGATTATTTGCATAGAGGTGTTTATAGTATTCTCTGATGGTAGTTTGTATTTCTGTGGGATCAGTGGTGATATCCCCTTTATCATTTTTTATTGCATCTATTTTATTCTTCTCTCTTTTCTTCTTTATTCTTCTGGCTATTCTATTTTGTTGATCTTTTCAAAAAACCAGCTCCTGGATTCATTGATTTTTTGAAGGGTTTTTCGTATCTCTATCTCCGTCAGTTCTGCTCTTAGTTATTTCTTGCCTTCTGCTAGCTTTTGAATGTATTTGCTCTTGCTTCTCTAGTTCTTTTGTGATGTTAGGGTGTCTATTTTAGATCTTTCCTACTTTCTGTTGTGGGCATTTAGTGCTACAAACTTCCCTCTAGACACTGCTTTAAATGTGTCCCAGAGATTCTGGTATGTTGTGTCTTTGTTCTCATTGGTTTCAAATAACTTTTTATTTCTGCCTTAATTTCATTATTTACCCAGTAGCCATTCAGGAGCAGGTTGTTCAGTTTTCATGTAATTGTGCAGTTTTGAGTGAGTTTCTTAATCCTGGTTTCTAATTTGATTGCACTGTGGCCCGAGAGACTGTTATGATTTCCGTTCTTTTGCATTTGCTGAGGAGTGTTTTACTTCCAATTATGTGGTCAATTTTAGAATAAATGTGATGTGGTGCTGAGAAGAATCTATATTCTGTTAATTTGGGTGGGGAGAGTTCTGTAGATGTCTATTAGGTCTGCTTGGTCCAGAGCTGAGTTAAAGTTCTGAATATCCTTGTTAATTTTCTGTCTTGATGATCTGTCTAATACTGACAGTGGGTTGTTAAAGTCTCCCACTATTATTGTGTAGGAGTCTAAGTGTCTTTGTAGGTCTCTAAAAACTTGCTTTATGAATCTGGGTGCTCCTGTATTGGGTGCATATATATTTAGGGTCGTTAGCTCTTCTTGTTGCATTGATCCCTTTACCACTATGTAATGCCCTTCTTTGTCTCTTTTGATCTTCGTTGGTTTAGTCTGTTTTATCAGTGACTAAGATTGTAACACCTGCTTCTTTTGCTTTCCAATTGCTTGGTAAATATTCCTCCATCCCTTTATTTTGAGCCTATGTGTGTCTTTGCACATGAGATGGGTCTCCTGAATACAGCACACTGATGGATGTTGACTTTTTATCCAATTTGCCAGTCTGTGTATTTTAACTGGGGCATTTAGCCCATTTACATTTAAGGTTAATATTGTTATGTGTGAATCTGATCCTGTCGTTATGATGCTAGCTGGTTATTTTGCCCATTAGTTGATGCAGTTTTTTCATAGTATCGATGGTCTTTACAATTTGGTATGTTGTTGCAGTGGCTGGTACCGGTTGTTCCTTTCCATGTTTAGTGCTTCCTTCAGGAACTCTTGTAAGGCAGGCCTGGTGGTGACAAAAATCTCTCAGCATTTGCTTGTCTGTAAAGGATTTTATTTCTCCTTCACTTATGAAGCTTAGTTTGGCTGGATATGAAATTCTGGGTTGAAAATTCTTTTCTTTAAGAATGCTGAATATTGGCCCCCACTCTCTTATGGCTTGTAGGGTTTCTGTAGAGAGTTCTGCTGTTGGTCTGATGGACTTCCCTTTGTGGGTGACCTGACCTTTCTCTCTGGCTGCCCTTAAAATGTTTTCCTTCATTTCAACCTTGCTGAATCTGATGATTATGTGTCTTGGGTTGCTCTTCTTTACGAGTATCTTTGTGGTGTTATCTGTATTTCCTGAATTTGAATGTTGGCCTCTCTTGCTAGGCTGGTTAAGTTCTCCTGGATAATATCCTGAAGGTGTTTTCCAGCTTGGTTCCATTGTCCCCGTCACTTTCAGGTACACCAATCAAACACAGATTTGGTCTTTTCACATAGTCCCGTATTTCTTGGAGGCTTTGTTCGTTCCTTTTCATTCTTTTTTCTCTAATCTTGTTTTCTCACTTTATTTCATTAATTTGATCTTCAATCTCTTATGTCCTTTCTTCCACTTGATTGATTCAGCTATTGATACTTATGTATGCTTCACGAAGTTCTTGTGCTGTGTTTTTCAGCTCCATCAGGTGATTTATGTTCTTCTCTAACCTGGTTATTCTAGTTAGCAATTTGTCTATCCTTTTATCAAGATTCTTAGCTTCCCTGCATTGGATAGAACATGCTCCTTTAACTTGGAGGAGTTAGTTATTATTACCCACCTTCTGAAGCCTACTTCTGACAATTTGTCAAACTCATTCTCTGTCCAGTTTTGTTCCCTTGCAGGCAAGGAGTTGTGTGGAGGAGTGTGTTGGAGGAGAAGAGGTGTACTGGTTTTTGGAATTTTCAGCCTTTTGTGCTGGTTTCTCCCCATCTTCGTGGATTTATTTACCTTTGGTGTTTGATGTTGGTGACCTTCAGATGGGGTTTCTGAATGGATGTCCTTTTTGTTGATGTTGATGTTATTCCTTTCTCTTTGTTAGTTTTCCTTCTAATAGTCAGGCCCCTCTGCTGCAGGTCTGCTGGAGTTTGCTGGAGGTCCACTCCAGACCCTGTTTGCCTCGGTATCACCAGTGGAGGCTGCCAAACAGCAAAGACTGCTGCCTGTTCCTCCACATAATAAAGCACATATACAAAAAACTCATAGGTAACATACTCCACAGTGAAAGACTGAAAGATCCCCCCCTAAGATCATGAACAGGCAATGATAGTGCTTTCACACCACTGCAATTCAACACTGTATTAAAAGTTCTAGCCAGAGCAAATAGGCAAGAAAAAAAAAATAAAAGACATTCAAATTGAAAGGCAGAAGTAAAACTACTCTATTTGCAGATAACATTATTTAGCATATAATCCACAAAACATCTATGAGCTAACAAATAGTTTTGGCATAGTTGCAGAGTACAAAATCAACACACAACAATTAGGTTTTTTTAAAAAAAATACTCCAACAATGAACAATCCAAAAGGAAATTCAGAAAATAATTCCATTTATGGTAGTATTCAGTAAAATAAAATACTTAGTGCTATGGTCTGAATGTATGTCCCCTTCACAACTTCATATGTTGAAATCTAATACCATTGCAATAGTATGAAGCGGCATGGCCTTTAGGAGGTGATTAGGAAGCTCTGCCTTCATGAATGGGATAAGTGTCCTTATAATTTAATGGACAAAGTAGTGGCTTGACAACCTATAGAGACAGGTTTAGATACTGTGCTGCTAATAATCAGAAATTTTATTTTTGATAAGCTTACATAAAGTAATGATGTTTTTCCAAAAATAAGAAGACTTAGTCAAATGGCCCCTTTTAACTTCTAAAATGTTTTAATACATCAAATCTGATTTGAATATTTAATATAGCAACTATGGATAATTCCAGGAATGGTGATCTAAGGGATCAAACCAGAGCTGAGGAGACAGGTAGCACTGGCAGGTAAGAGATTAGATACAGGCTGGGCACGGTGGCTCACATCTGTAATCCCAACACTTTGTTAGGCCAAGGTGGGCAGATCACCTGAGGTCGGGAGTTCGAGACCAGCCTGACCAACATGGAGAAACCCTGTCTCTACTAAAAATACAAAATTAGCCAGGCATGGTGGCACATGTCTGTAATCCCAGCTACTTGGGAGGCTGAGGTAGGAGAATCACTTGAACCCAGAAGGCGGAGGTTGCGGTGAGCTGAGATCATGCCATTGCATTCCAGCCTGGGCACCAAGAGCAAAACTCCATCTCAAAAAAAAAAAAAAAGAAAAAATATTGGATGCAAACAGGGAGAAGGAGCAAATAAATATTGTGGATAATGGTATAGCCTGGTTTCTCACTGTTGAAGAAAGAAGTTACAAAGATGGAAAACAGAAAGGCTATGGGGTTAAGATTGAAACTGGGAAATGTCTACGTAAACTCATTGTTTAAAAAATATGTATAGACAGACCAATACAAAAATAGGTGTACACATGTGTATTTCTGTGTGTGTGTGTGTATGTATACATACACACATGTATTTCCTAACTGTCAATTGAGAGGGATTGAGGCAGTGACAACCTTTAGCAATAAGCACCCAGATCTTGGTTTTTAAATTCCATCCTCCACTAGAAAGAACAATGTCCTTTGGAGAAATGGCTAATGGTAGAGGTACTGCAGGAAAAGGACAAGATGGGCCAGGCACATCTGTTGTTCCACAGAGTAATTACTCAAAAACTGATGTGGGGGGTAGGCTGAAAATGGAAAAGGTAACTCCAAAACTCCATCCCAAACTAAAGCAACAATTAAGCTGGGGAAGAAAAAAAAAACAAAAAACACCTCTCAGCATCAAGCTTTTCAGAATTCTCCAATCTAATTAAAAACCTAGTACACCCAGAACATTCCTGGTATGACTTGCTGATGCCTGTGCCAACGTGGACAGTATGCACCTTGTTTTCAGAGAACTGTAGTTGTGTATTTTGATCTGTCTATGCGGGCTCTCTGAAGAAGTGGCTCACAGGCTTGTCTTTGTTTTGCCTTCCTTGAAACTTTCTCAGGGCTAGTCTTCCAGGAAGTGCTTGTTGAAAGCATTTAAAGGCAATTATCTGGCCACAGTAGCCAGATGAGAAAAGCAGCAGATGGACTGAAAAACTGGGAATGTAAAAACTGGGAAGGAAACACATGGGGCCAGGGGTGGGGATAAGGGGTTTGAAAAGCTCCTGCATAAAGCAGGGAATTGAGATCATGTGTAAGTCCAAGACAATATGCATGCTCAGAAAAAACCTGAGAGGAACCTAAGCTTTCACATCTGGTTGACCTTCACGCTCTGTGTAAGCAGGAAGTAAAGGTTAATGCAGAGATGTAAATGGCCTGGCAAGCCATTACAGGAGCGCCCTAAAACAGGGCCAATATGCACAGACCAGAAGAGTTTTTTGTTTTGTTTTGGCTCTAGGCATTTAAAGAAATCTCTGTCAAATCACAGACGACCACTAAACTAATAGAACAGAGGTTTCAGTGACCATGTACAACAAAGAACACTGACTTTACAAAAATAGTTTATAAAAGTCACAAAATAAGCAAATAATACAAAATAAACAGCAACAACAAATTCTGAGGAAAAGAATCTGATTTCTAGAATTAGCACATTTTAATATTCAAAATGTTCAGTTTTCAATAAAAAATTATGAGGCATGCAAAGAAGATAATATGACCCACAGACACACAGAAAAAAGAAATAAAACCTGTACTCAAAGACACCTTTGATACTGGTCTTACTAGATAAAGAATTTAAATCATCTGTTCTAAATGTGCTCAAAGAGCTAAATGAAAGCAGACAAAGAACTAACAGAAACCAGGAGAATGATGCTGTGCCAAATATAAAATATTAATGTAGAGTAGAAAATTATAAAAATGTAATTAGGACTGTCTGGAGCTGACAAGTACAACAACTAAAATTTTTTAAAATCAGTGAAAATCAGTGACAGATTGGAGCTCAAAGAGAACAAAGAATCAGCAAAATTGAAGACACTGATGGGGATTACTCATTCTGTGGAGCAGAGAAAAAGAATGGTGAAAAATAGACAGTGCCTAAGAGATCCAAGAGACAACATCAAACATACCCACAAGTTAATAACAAGAGTTACTAACGAAGAGGAGAAAAGGGAACCAAAAAATATCTGAAGAAACAATGTCTGAAGACCTTCCAAATTGATGAAAGACATGAATCTCTATGTCCAAGACTCTAAAGAAACTATAATTATGATAACATCAAAGAACTTCAAACTGAGAGAAATAATAAATTGTCAGAAGACAAAGAGTCTTGAAAGTAGCAAGAGACAAGGGACTAACCATGTACAAAGGATCTGAAATAAGATTAACAGCCAGTCTTTCATTAGAAACCATGAAGGCCAGAGGCAGTAAGATAATGGCACCTTTAAAGTACCAAAAGAAAAAAAAATAACAAAAATTCTACATTAGGCAAAACTACCTTTCAAAAAGGAAGGGGAAATTAAAACATTCCTAGATCAACAGAATCTGAGAGAATGTGTTAGTACTAGACCTGTCCTACAAGAAATGCAAAAGGAAGTCCCTCAGGTTGAAACAAAAGGATACTAGACAGTAACTCCAATCCAAACAAACAAAAAATTCAAATGATAAAACTAACTACTGTAAGTAAATGCAAAAGCCAGTCTTATTGTATTCTTGGCTTTTATGTTCTCTCTTTTTTTTATGTGATTTAAAAGACAGATACATAAAACAATAATTATGCATCTATGTAATGTGCACACAATTTATGAAGGCCTAATATGTGACAATAAGAAGACAAAAGACAGGGACAAAGCTGTATAGGAGCAGAGTTTTTATATAATATTAAGGCTTAGTTGGTATTAATGCAAGCTAGATTGTTATAAATTCAAGATGTTAATTGCAATTCCAAGTATTAACACTAGGTAAATAATGAATACAAAGAAATACAAAAGGAATTAAAATGGCACGTTAGAAAAAAACACAAAAGAAGGCATACACAGAAAAACTGAAAACAAGATGTAATACATATGGAAAATAAATAGCAAAATGGCATAAGTCCTTTTTCAGTTTATCATTTACTTTAAATGTAAATAAACTAAACTCCCAACTAAAAGACAGAAATTGGCAAAATAGGCTGGGCATGGTGGCTCAAACCTGTAATCCCAGCACTTTGGGAGGCCAAGGCGGGCAGATCACGAGGTCAGGAGTTTGAGACCAGCCTGGCCAATACCGTGAAACCCCGTCTCTACTAAAAGAAAAAATATATATATACAAAAATTAGCCAGGTGTCATGGTGTGCACCAGTAATCCCAGCTCCTCGGGAGGCTGAGGCAGAAGAATTGTTTGAACCCTGGAGGCGGAGGTTGCAGAGAGTCAAGATCACACCACTGCACTCCAGCCTGGGTGACACAGTGAGACTCTGTCTCAAAAAAAAAAAAAAAAAGAAAAATAAAAGGAAAAAGAAATTGGCAAAATAAATACAAATATATGATCCAACTATATATAGTCTATAAGACACTCTCGTTAGATACAAACACACAACACAATAGGCTGAAATTGAAATGACAGAAGAGGATAGTAACCTAAAGAATGCCAGGGTGGCTATACTGAGACAAAAGAGACTTTAAGTCAAAAATTGTTACAAGAGCAAAACATTACATATTGATTAAAAAAAAAAAAGGTCAGTCTACAAAGGAGACATAGTAACAGAAATAGAAATAAATCATCCTGAAGTTAACATGGAATTTCAAGGTATCTCAACTAGCCAAAATGATCTTGAAAACCCATGCATGTATGGTAAAATGATTTTCAACAAAGTTGTCAAGAACAGTCAATAAGGAAAGGACAATTTTTCTAACAGATAGTGTTGGAAAAACTGGATAGCCACATGAAAAACAAAACTAAAAAAAAAAAAAAATTAACTCAAAATGAATCAAACACCTAAATCTAAGAATTAAAATTAAAGTTACAAAACTCATGACAGAACACATTGGAGAATGGATTCTTGACATTATATGTGGCAATGTTTTCTTGGATATAATACCAAAAACCACAGGCAACAGTAGTAAAAATAAATTGGACTATATCAAACTTAAAAATTTTGCATCAAAGGGCATGGTTAACTGAATGAAAAGGCAACCAACACAACAGGAGGAAATATTTGCAATTCATGTATCTGATAAGGAATTAATATAAAAAATAACCCCTACAACTCAAAACAAACAAAATAACCTGATTCAAAGATGGACAAAGGACTTGAACAGACATTTTGTTGCAGGAAGTCAGGGACCCCAAACAGAGGGACCGGCTGCAGCCAAGGCAGAAGAACGTAGATTGTGAAGATTTCACGGACATTTATTAGTTCCCCAAATTAATACTTTTATAATTTCTTATGCCTGTCTTTACTGCAATCTCTAAACATAAATTGTGAAGATTTCAGGGACACTTACCACTTCCCCAATCAATACCCTTGTGATTTCCTATGCCTGTCTTTAATCTTTTAATCCTGTCAGCTGAGGAAGATGTATGTCACCTGAGGACCATGTGATAATTGCATTAACTGCACAAATTGTAGAGCTTGTGTGTTTGCACAAATACGAAATCTGGGCACCTTGAAAAAAGAACAGGATAACAGCAATTGTTCAGGGAATAAGAAAGATAACCTTAAACTCTGACTGCCAGTGAGCCAAGCGGAACAGAGCCATATTTCTCTTCTTTCAAAAGCAAATGGGAGAAATATCGCTGAATTTTCTCAGCAAGGAACATCCCTGGGAAACAGAATACAAGCCTGGGGGAATAGGCCTATAGACAGCCCCCCTGGGTGTGGCCGTCTCCTATGGTCTGTAGGCTGTAGGGGTGAAATAGACCCCAGTCTCCCATAGTTCTCCCAGGCTTATTAGGAAGAGGAAATTCCCACCTAATAAATTTTGGTCAGACCGGTTGCTCTCAAAACCCTGTCTCCTGATAAGATGTTATCAATGACAATGGTGCCCAAAACTTCATTAGCAATGTTAATTTCGCACCGGTCCTGCGGTCCTGTGATCTCACGCTGCCTCCACTTGCCTTGTGATATTCTATTACCTTGTAAAGTACTTGATGTCTGTGACCCACACCTATTCGCATACTCCCTCCCCTTTTGAAACTCCCTAATAAAAACTTGCTGGTTTTATGGCTTGTGGGGCATCACGGAACCTACCGACATGTGATGTCTCCCCCAGAAGCCCAGCTTTACAATTTCTCTCTTTTATACTCTGTCCCTTTATTTCTCAAACTGGCCGATGCTTAGGGAAAATAGAAAAGAACCTACGTGACTATCGGAGCAGGTTCCCCAATACATTTCACCATAAAAGATATATAAATGGTCAACAAGCTTATGAAAATATGCTCAACATCACTAATCATTAGGGAAATACAAATCAAAACCACGATGAAAAATTACCATACACCCATTACAATGGCTGCTATCAAAACAACAAAAGAAAATAACGAGTGTTGGCAAGGATATGGAGAAATCAGAATCCTGCACAACTGAGGATGGGACTGTAAAAATGGTGTACCTTCTGTAGAAAACAGGTTGGTGTTTCCTCAAGAAATTAAAAATAGAATTACCATAGATTCCAGCCATACCACTTTTGAGTATATAACCAAAAGAACTGAAAGAAGGATCTCAAAGAGATAGTTGTACACCCACGTTCACAGTAACATTATTCACAACAGTTAAAAGGAGGAAGGAACCCAAATGTCCACTGACAGATGAATTAATAAAACATGGGTACAATGAAATATCATTCAACATTAAAAAGGAGATAAATTCTGACACATGCTACAACACTGAGGAAGCTTGAGGACATTATGCTAGGTGAAATAAGACTGTTACAATAAGACAAATACTGTATGATTTCACTTAAATGAGATATAGCAAAAGTAGTGAAACTCATAGAACAGAAAGTAGGATGGTGGTTGCCAGGGGCAAGGAGGAAGGGAAAATGGGGAGTTACTGTTTAATAGGTACAGAATTTCAATTTTCCAAGATGAAAAAGTTCTGGAGATTATATGTACGATATGAATACACATACATAACACTGCTTCTGAATTGTACATCCCAAAATGGTTAAGATTGCTAAAACAAAAAACTAACAATAAATAAAGATTCCTGCTTTGGCCACATATATTCAACATTGTACTAAAAATTCCAGCCACAGCAATTAGGCTAAATAAATACACACACCCAAATTGGAAAGAAATAAAAATATTTTCGTTTGCAGATGACATGATCTTATATGCAAAAAATACTGAAGTATCCACAAAGGAACTACTACAAGTAGGAAACAAATTCAGCAAAATTACAGGATACAAGATCAACACTCAAAAATTAGTTGTGCACAGTCAAAAAGCAAATTAACAATTCCACTTATAATAGCATTTAAACAAAAAAATTTTAGGCTTATGGGCCATTACAGTCTCTACTGCAACCAGTCAATTCTGCCCTCGTAGTGTGAAAGTACCCACAGACTATACATAAATACATGAGTATGGCTGAGTCTCAATAAAACTTTATAGACACTGAAGTCTGAATTTCATATAATTTACAATAGCATTTAAATGAAAAACTAATAAATTTAAGCAAGGATATGCAACACTTGTACACTGAAAACTACAAAACATTAATGAAGGAAAGAAGACCTAGGGGAAAAAAATCTTACATTCATGGATTATAAGATTTAATATTAAGATGATAACACTCCCCAAAGTGTTATTACCCACTCCAATACTTACCCAATGCAATACTTATCAAAAACTCAACATACTTTTTTGCAGAAATAGAAAAGCTAACTAAAAATTCCTATGGATTGCAAAGCACCCTGCTGTGGAAAACTGTCAGTTTCACAATAAATTAAACGTAAACTTACCATATGACCCAGCAATTTCACTCGTAGGTATATACCCAGAACAACTGAGAGCATGTATTCTAACAAATATTTGTACATGAATGCTCATAGGAGCACTATTCACGATAGCGAAACACAGGATGACCCCCAATGTCCATCAACAGATGAATGGATAAACAAAAGTTGGTATATCCATATAATAGAATATTGTTCAGTCATAAAAAGGGACAAAGTACTGATATACAACTACAACATAAATGGGTCTTGAAAACATTATTCTAAGTGAGAGATCAGACACAAAAGGCTACAAATTGTATGATTCCATTTGTATGCCATATCTAAAACAGGCATATCTATAAAGACAGGAGATTATTGGTTGCTAGGGGCTGGAGCAGAGGGGAAAAAGGGAGCAACTGCTTATTAAGTTACAACACTGCTTATTAAGGGTACTATGTTTCCTTTTGGTGTGATGAAAATATTCCAGAAATAAATGGTGGTTATGGTGGTACAACATTGTGAACGTACTAAAGTCATTGAATTCTATACTTTAAAATGGCTTAATTGTGAATTTCATGTGATGTGTATTTTACCATAATTTTTTTTTTAGGTAGAATCTCTTGAAAGTTATTGCAAATATTCCAGTTCTGCCCAGTCTCTAGGGCTGTCACAAAGCCTGCCACATCCTAACAACCCATGATCACCCTAGCCTACCAGGACTGTTTCTTTAAACAACCATAAGTCCTAATGCTACACAATTCATGTGATTTTTTTTTTTTTTTTTTTTTTTTTTTTTTTGAGACAGAGTCTCACTCTGTCACCCAGGCTGGAGTGCAGTGGTGCAATCTCAATCTCGGCTCACTGCACCCTCCGCCTCCTGGGTTCAAGCGATTCTCCTGCCTCAGCCTCCTGACTAGCTGGGATTACAGGTGCACGCCAACATGCCAAGCTAATTTTTGTATTTTTAGTAGAGACGGGGTTTCACCATGTTGGTCAGGCTGGTCTCGGACTCCTGACCTCATGATCCACCCACCTCGCCCTCCCAAAGTGTTGGGATTATAGGCATGAGCCACCTAGCCCGGCCTATTTGAATTTTTTAATCACATACTTTCTCTTGATATCGCTTAAGTTTTCCCCTGGACTGCACATGAATTATTCACTTCGTTGTACTACTTTTTCATGTAACTGCAAGATTGTCATCAGAAGTTTCACAGTGTCACCTAATAAAGCCCATTGACAAACTGTTTTATGTTCCAGTTTCACAACTCTGTGAGATCACAAGATCTGCATTCACTTACATGACATTTTTGTTTTACTCTTCATCAACTCTTTATCAGAAATCAGCAAACATTTTCTGTAAAGGGTCTCACAGTAAATATTTTAGGCTTGTGGGCCATTACAGTCTCTGCTGCAACCAGTCAACTCTGCCCTCATAGTATGAAAGTACCAACAGACAACACATAAATACATGAGTATAGCTGAGTCCCAATAAAACTTTATATATAATGAAATCTGAATTTCATATAATTCTTGTTTTTTTTCCCTCAGCCACCTAAAAATATAAAAACCATCCTTCGTTTGTGGACCATAAAAAAACATGCGGCAGGCTGCATTTGACCCATGAAATGTAATGTGACCTCTCCTCTATATTTTCCCTGATGTTATTTCTACTTTCATATGAATGTATAGACATTTTTTAAACCTCAATAATTACTTTTAAGCAAAACGGTGAAAAAATAAACAACTTACCTGGGATGTGATCATCTTCCACTGGTGTTGGAAGAGCAGAGCAAACTGTGAGGGTGTAGCTGAGAAATAAGAAAAGATCATGAGTGATGTCACTTGCCTTAAAAGGTCCACTTCGCAGCCGGCAAAACATCTCTGAAAGGGAGATACTCACACGCCCATGCATGACTCTGGCATGATTATGTACTGCTTGGACTCATTAGTTTTCAAATGTAAAAACGTTTGTTTTCTACTGACTTAAAAACAATTTATGCTGTACTCTAACAGAGTATGCAAACCGATATATTAAACTAATTAAGCAAGTTAGGAAAAGCCAAAGAGTGGAACATAATACTTTCATTAAAACTGATGCTAAACAAAAATACTCAGGTTTTAATCTTTATTACAAACCAGAGAATCCCAACAAGGTTTTGAAAAAAGCGATGTGGTATTTTTCAGCCCAGTTTTTTTTGTTTGTTTGTTTGCTTTTTTGAGACAGAGTCCTGCCCTGTTTGTTGCCCAGGCTGGAGTGCGATGGCATGATCTCGACTCACCGCAACCTCCTGCCTCAGCCTCCCAAGTCGCTGGGACTACAGGTGCGCACCACCACACCCGGCTAATTTTTTGCATTTTTAGTAGAGACGGGGTTTCACCATGTTGGCCAGGCTGGTCTCGAACTCCTGACCTCTTGATCCACCCCCCTCAGCCTCCCAAAGTGCTGGGATTACTGGCGTGAACCACCGTGCCCAGCCCAGCCCAGTTTTTTTGGAAGGAAAACGAACTTGCTCTAACTTGATTTGAGGTTCTCAAAACAATCTTTGGATTTAAAAAAGCAAACTGATTTTTACTTACTCTGTTGTCAACGCAGCAAACACCCTCCTGAGTCCTCAAGCGACTCTGTCTGTTCTTGACTCTGCCACAACAAAATGTGTCAATGTCATCAGTAACTTAACACGTTAAGCTCGTTTCCTGTCCACCCCACCCCATCCCATCTTTTAAATAAAGCGTAAATAGATAACTTACAGACCTTTCTCGCGGCTGTACCTCTGATTCTGTAAGATCAAGATGGGGGCATCCGTACATCTCTAGTTGTGCTGCAGTGCGCCAGCAGCTCAGCATCTAGAACGAGCGAGTAACGAATCCAGGCATGGAGGGTGCTGTCCTCCACTTGGCTGCTAAGCTCTTCCCTCCGCATGATGCCTTCACAACTCCCCAAGAAGCGGTGCTGTCTGCTCCTTCGGCCTTGCCCTCTTCTGCCCCCACATCTGAATGGGCACAAAGCTCCCAGCCTGTGGGGGTCTGGAAAGGACACAAATCGAGCCTCTGCTCCTCCCACCCGTGCTCTAGATCTCTAGTGAGGTGTCAGCCCAACGGGTTGGGTGTCCTCCTAGGAGGGCCCCTGGGCCCTCGCCCCCCACCCTTCCCTTCTTACCCCACAACAGCTGCTTTGCTCCAAGACAGCTGGGCCTAAGCCCTTTGGTTCGAATCCTCATTCAAGACAGAAAGCTCCTACATCTTCCTGTCACTTGAGCCATGAGCTGGACCCTCTGAAAATGCCCACTGGTGCTAATGGGGACACAGGCGAGGCTGGACAGTGCCGGAGGGCCTGGGGTGCCTCCCTCCGCGTGCGCGGCCTCACAGGTCAGTGGAAACAAGAAATTCCCCAATCCACAGCCACGATGACTTCAAAATACTTCCCGAAGACATCAGGCAATGAAGCTGCGACCTGCGAGGACACAGCAAGCCGAGTGACGCTGGCCAGAGGCTGGGTGTGGAGTCCGCGCCTGCAGGGTCCCTCCCCGCCCCGCGGGCGCTTCCCCCCACCCCATTCGCCTCGGCATCGCAGTGACACCGCGGCGACGCCGACCACAGGTGGTTGTGAGGACAGCGAGATTCTGAGGGGAAAGAATGAGAGAAGCGCGCATCTATTGGGCAGAAGGCCCGTTTCTGCGCCGTCCTGCGGAGGCCTCCGGGCATCCTTCACCTCAGGGAAGAGAAAATCCAACCTCACTTGTCACAGGCGCGGGACTTGCGCATTCCCTTTGGGAGCACAAGAACCGAGGCAGGATTCGGACCCAGGCCAGGCGGCAAAGGCGTTCCCTCTCTCCCACCCCCAGGCCGCGCGGAACCCCCAGTCCACCCTCGCCCCTGCCCTCCCTTACTCACCCTCCGCGTCCTCTACCCGGACGCCAGGAGATGCCGGGAGCCCTCCCCGTCAGAGTGCCGGGGAGAAAAACAAACCTGGAGCCATATGGCAGACATGCCCAGAAGGCCCGAAGCGGCTCCCGCGACGGGGGCCGAAAAGTGCACACTACATCTCCCACAAGTCCTCGCGCCGCTCCCTTAGAAAGTGCACGCTTCATTTCCCACAAGCCCTCGCGCCGCTCCCTTAGAAAGTGCAGACTACATTTCCCACAAGCCCTCGCGCCACTCCTTTTGAAAGGGCATGAGGTTTCAGCCGCATTGGGCAGTTAGTTCCCAGATGCGGCAAGTGCAGTACTGCAGTTTTATTCGTTAGCTGAAATAAATTATGAGTATTTAAATTACACAGCTTTCTCATGAATTACATCCCCCTGATGATTTGGCCGTCCTCAACACTTCCTCATTTGGCAGAATTCACGAGTGGAATTTCTCCAGACGAGGTCGGTTCCTGTGGCCCCGCGACGCTGCCGCAGCACCACCTACACTTGCGCCAGTGTGGAGAGCTTCACTTGCTCCTTTCTGGTCCATTGGACGCTAACCGTGAGAAAACACGCTGGACATGAGCATTACCAGCCTGTAAGCTGTCGTAAAGATAACTCGGAATTGCTCTTCAAATTTTATTTGTTAAACCACGTAATACCATCTTGCATGGCAAACATGCATTTTCCATTCTTCAGGAGTATGCAGGATCTCTTGATCACGATAACTTTTTAAAGTTCACAGGCAGAGGTAATACAGGAGTGGAAAACCAAAAACCGTAGGTTCTCACTTATAAGTGGGAGCTAAGCTATGAGTACGCAGAGGCATACAGAGTGATATAATGGACTTTAGAGACTCAGAAGGGGCTGGTAGGAAGGAGGCCGGAGGTTAAAAAAACTACACATGGCCAGGCGCGGTGGCTCACGCCTGTAGTCTCAGCACTTTGGGAGGCGGAGGCGGGTGGATCACGAAGTCAGGAGTTCAAGACCAGCCTAGGTAACACGGTGAAACCCCGTCTCCACTAAAACTACAAAATTAGCTGGGCGTGGTGGCACACACCTGCAGTCCCAGCTATTTGGGAGGCTGAGGCAGGGGAATCCCTTGAACTCGAGAGGTGGAGGTTGTAGTGAGCTGAAATCGCGCCATTGCACTTCAGCTTGGGCAACAAGAGCAAAACTCCATCTCAAAAATGAAAAAAAAAAAACTATACATTAGGTACAGTGTACACTACTCAGGTGACAGGTGCACTAAAATCTCAGAATCCACCACTTTATAATTCATCCATAACCAAAAACCACTTGTACTCCAAAAGCTATTGAAGTTTAAGTTAAAATAAAAATAAAAAATAAATGTCCACTGACCAAAAAAGAAGCATTTTTCTCCATTTCTATTCCCTTCTTTACCACCACTGATGATAATCCCACTTGTTCCCATGCTGGAAAAGCATTTAGTACCATCCATGTAAAAGAATCAAATTATTCAAGGGTTGAGATGCATTTCAGAAGACAGTCATGGTAAGTACAACAATGATTATCACTTCGAGACACAATTTATTTTCCTGCTCATAATGTTTTTTTTTTTTTTTTTTTTTTTTGAGATGGAGTCTGGCTCTGTAACCCAGGCTGGAGTGCAGTGACATGATCTCGGCTCACCGCAACCTCCGCCTCCTGGGTTCAAGCGACTCTCCTGCCTCAGCGTCCCAAGTAGCTGGGACTACAGGCTTGTGCCACCACACCCGGCTAATTTTTGTAATTTTAGTAGAGATCGGGTTTCACTGTGTTGGCCAGGCTGGTCTCGAACTCCTGACCTCGTGATCCGCCCGCTTCGGCCTCCCAAAGTGCTGGGATTACAGGCATGAGCCACTGCACCCAGCCTAATGCTTTTGCATTTTAAGAAACAGTCTTGACACTTGTGAATATTCCATTATTTCTTTTTTTTTTTTTTTTTAGACTGGATCTCATTCTGTCACCTGGGCTGCAGTGCAGTGCCAAGACCTCGGGTCACTGCAACCTCCGCCTCCCAGATTCAAGTGATTCTCCTGCCTCAGCCTCCCCAGTAGCTGGGATTACAGGCACATGCCACCACGCCCAGCTAATTTTTCCTGTTTTTAGTAGAGACTAGGTTTCACCATATTGACCAGGCTGGTCTCAAACTCCTGACCTCAATTGATCCATCCGCCTCAGCCTGCCAAAGTGCTGAGATTACAGATGTGAGCCACCTCTCCTGCCCTCCATTATTTCTTTAATGCATTCAGGTTCCATTATGCCATGGATTATTTCAGTAACATTGTTTGCTCTTCTTTCAATTTGCATAATCCTATCCCTAAAGAGATTGAAAACTAGGGACATGCCACTCTTAGGCTCCTTGGGACTCGACACATCCTCCTGGGATCATCTCAGGAAGGGGACTGGCTGTGCAGGCACCATGGAGGTGGTGCTGATATTCCTATGCAGCCTGTTGGCCCTCATTGTCATGGCCAGTGCAGCTGAGTAGGAGAAGGAAATTGACCATTTTCATTATGACTAACAGACCCTGAGGATTCAGGGGTTGGTATGTGCTGTGGTCCTCTTCTCCGTTGGGATCTTCCTTATCCTAGGTTGCAGATGCAAGTGGAGTTTCAATCAGAAGCCCGGGACCCCAGGGGAGGAGGAAGCCCAGGTGGAGAACCTCATCACTGCAAATGCAGCAAAACTCCAGAAAGCAGAGAGCTGAATGAAGTGCAGCCCTCCAGTGGGAAGCCTCCGGAACCTGAAGGCAGCTGCTTGAACTTTTAGATGCAAATATTGATGCTTAAGAAAACAGCCACTTCAGCAACAAATCTTTCCAGAAGAGAAGCCAAGAACTTTTTTGTCCTGCCATGCCCTTCCCTGTCCCCTCTAACACCATTCCTCCACCTGATGATCCAACTAATCTCTTGCCTCACCACTGCAGCCTGCAGGCTCCTCCAACTCGTGTTATGTGTCTGTGTGTGTGTTTGCTGACTATAGTGTTCATGGCTACTTGTTCATGGTGATTATAGTTAGTGAACTGTGGACTCACTTTCCTGGGCAGGGGCTGAGCCATGTGGCCGTCTGCTCCTCTCTGCCCCCCATCACCTCTCACTCCTGGGAGTCTGCTTTTTTCCCTGGAGAGTCTAGCTCCTTCCCTTTAGAGCATGGGCAGGAGTCTCCAGCTGTCTTGGGACCTGGGAAGGTTTGCACCACTTTCCTCATCTTTCTTCATGGAGTCTCTTCACTTCTTTTACAAGAACCTCACTTCCTTATCCCACTCCAACCCGTCTGTTCTGAAGATCAGCAATTGGAGATACAAAGCAAAGCAAGGAGTTTGTGAGCCCGGCATTACCTTCAGGAGGCTACTATACCCTTCCATGGTTATTTTTCTCCCTGGGGAAGCCCCAGGGAGCCCCATCTGCCCTGCCTTTCACATAGCACCCAGGGATTCCAGGCCCAGGGCTGCTGCTTTTTTTCTTTTTCTTTATTCAGACAGAGTCCCACTGTGTCACCCAAGCCGGAATGCAGTGGCACGATCTCAGCTCATGGCAACATGGGTTCAAGGGATTCTCATGCCTGGGCCTCCCGAGTAGCTGGGACTATAGGCACGCACCACCATGCCCAGCTAATTTTTGTATTTTTAGTAGAGATGGGGTTTTCCCTGGCCTCAAGCAATCCACCTGCCTAGGCCTCCCAAAATTCTGGGATTACAGGTGTCAGCCACCGTGCCCAGCCTGGGCCCAGGACTAATAATCTACACTTGGGGAATGTAGCCCCTGCATATCTTATCAGCAATAACCACAGGGGCTCTGGTGCCCCACCCATCTCCAACCTTCCTGCTTCTGAGACTTCAATCTATAGCCCAGTTTTTCTGGACACAGGCTCCCATCCCTGAAGCTGAGTCTCCAGCAGGTGATGACTGAAGGATTCCCATTCTGTTGCGGCCAGCACACTGGAATGGACAGAGGGAGAGTAAGGGGCCTTTGCTTCTCTGCCCATGTCCCCTTGGTCAGCAGAGACAACTCCCGCATCCTCAGTGGTCACAGAGGTGAGTTAAGTAGGTTAGAGACCCAGTAGGCTCCATGCTGCACTGCTGCAGAGGGTACAGGAAGAGGTCAAAAGTCATAATGAGACTGGGAGCTCAAACCGGATCCCACCATTCCTGTCCTCCATGTGCCTGTGGAAATCAACCAAACCCAGCCTCTGTGGCTAGACTGCTGTTTTCTGTATCACGATCTGTCCTCTGAGCAACAGAAAAAAGGAATAAAATATTTGTTTCCTAGTGAAAAAAAAAAACTATGAATAAAAAACAAGTAAACTTCACTCAATGGAGTATTTTTAAAGTAAACAAAAATTTTGGAGTCTTTTCTTGAAAATTAAAATTATTATTTCAAGACTTTACGTAAACTAACAACTTTATCAACTGTGTTAGTTACAGGAGCCAATGAGTTTCTAACTGCAAAGGAAATGAAGAATATCGAATGCCAAAAAAAAAATCACACAATCCTTTAATCACTCAATTCTAATAGTGTAAATGCTGAAGTAAGAGAACAATTTTGTGATAATTACTTCAATGAAAATGCAAAGAACATCAGATGCTATTTTGACATCATGATGCAGAATGTGGGCAGGACGGTCCACAACTTGGAATCTTTACTTCAGCTTGGACCAAGCATGTCTGTGCCCTTATGCAAACATCAACCACAATTTGTATTTGTATCATTGCCACCAAAAGCAGTTCAGAAGCAAAGGGAAAATATCTTCTGCCTTGTGATTACTTGTATCCATGGCTCTGCTGAAAATAGGTGAGGCATTTAGATCATTGATCATCTCTGTGATCATAGTGAAGCTATTACTTTTGTTGTTGTAGTAGATTTCCTCTTGGCTCTTCAAAATTTGATTGCATCTTTGGAATCAGAAAATACTTCTAGCAGTAATACTTTCAGTAATACTTTCAAACTGTCATTTGAGCTGAAAGACTGCTGCTGTTATATAGTGTGGCAGATGTTTACAACTTCCATTGCCATTACTATATCTCAATCTGAATTCTCTTTTTTTTTTTTTTTTGAGACAGTCTCACTCTGTCACCCAGGCTGGAGTACAGTGGCACAATCTCAGCTCACTGCAACCTCCACCTCCCAGGTTCAAGCAATTCTCTTGCCTCAGCCTCCCGAGTAGCTGGAATTACAGGTGCTTGCCACCACACCCAGCTATTTTTTTGTATTTTTAGTAGAGACAAGGTTTCACCAAGGTTTGCCCAGGCTGTTCTCGAACTACTGAGCTCAGGCAATCCACCCACCTAGGCCTCCCAAAGTGCAAGGATTACACGTGTGAGCCACCACACCTGGCCTTGAATTCTTTTTAATAAAAAAAAACTGTTTACAATTTTATATATTAGTTGAGGAAATCATATATCTTCCATGTTTAGCTGTTATTATGTGCTGGTGTCTTTCTCCATTTTTGCATACTGCACAAAAAGTTTCAAAAGGAATCGTTCCTCATTTAATAAATCTCCACTTTTCAAACAATCCATCACAAAGTTTATGCTTGAATTTTGGTATTTGGCATTCAAATATACACAAATAAAAATAGATAATAGCAACCACCACAAAAATTAAGCTGAGTGAATTTGATAGTCTCGTAGCTGCCTTTGTGTGTCTGTCACTCACAAGTCTGAACTCAGAACTAACATCAAACGGGTTGAACCATTGAAAGCATTACAAACTTGCAAATTAATAATCAATTGAAGTGGCCGGGTGCGGTGGCTCACGCCTGTAATCTCAGCACTTTGGAAGGCCGAGGCTGGCAGATCACAAGGTCAGGAGATCAAGACCATACTTGCCAACACGATGAAACTCCGTCTCCACAAAAAAAAAATACAAAAATTAGCCGGTTGTGGTGGCACGCGCTTGTAATCCCAGCTACTCAGGAGTTGAGGCAGGAGAATTGCGTGAACCCCGGAGTTGGAGGTTGCAGTGAGCCAAAATCACGCCACTGTGCTCCAGCCTGGTGACAGAGTGAGATTCCATCTGAAAAAAACAAACAAAAAAAAAACTCAATTGAAGTAGAGTTGCCATTGAAGTGGCCTGAGATGGCTATCCTATCCTTGGCTGGTATCTGGGAATGTGAATTTTGGGAAGGTTTGGGAACCTGGATTTCAGAAGGGTTCCCCCAACCCTCACTGATCAAATGGCTCCATTGTACATAAACAATATGGTTTCTGCGGAACACCTGGTTTTTTTCTGGGAATCTGGAATTTTGATTTGTGCACAATAGACAGTGTCTACATGACCAGCCCCTAATTAAAAGCCCAGGCACTGAGTTTCTAAGGAGCTTCTGTGGCAACATTTTGCATATGTTGTCACAACATGTTGCTGGAGGAATTCAGCATATCCTATGTGACTACACTAGGAGGGGATGCTTGGAAGCTGGTACCAGGTTTCCTCTGGACATGGCCCTGTGACCTCTCCCCTTTGCTGACCTTGCTGTAATAAGTCATAGCCATACTGTGAGTCCTGTCAGTCCTCCTAGCAATTTGTTTAACCCAGAAGTGTTCTTGGGAAACCCCAATACAGCTGGCATCAGAAGCAAATTTTTTTTTACTTCTCACTCTGTCACCCAGGCTGGAGTGCAGTGGCACAATCATAGTTCACTGCAGCCTTGAACTCCAGGGCACAAGTGATCCTCCTGCCTCAGCTGGGATTACAGGTATGTATCCTGCCGAATAGCTGGGACTACAAGCACGTGCCACCATTCCGGGCTCTTTTATTTTTTCTGTAAAGATGGGGTCTTGCTATGTTGCCCAGGTTTATCTTGAGCTCCTGGCCTCAAGTGATCCTCCTCCCTCAGCCTCTCAAAGTGCTGAGATTACAGGTATGACTCATTGAACCTGGCCCAGAAGTGGAATTTGCTAGTGATGCCTTTGTTTTTTGTTCTCTTCTCCAGGTGGGAGGTAAGAAAAACAACATTGACAAATTATAAAGGTGAGTGTTGGGTGGCCCCAAACTGTTAAAAGTTCTCAGGGCTGGAGCAAAGCTGGGGTGGAAGGGTGGGAGGGTGGGGAGGGTGGGGAGGGTGGGGAGGGTTCCAAGACTCCATCCAGCCTCTTCTTCAGCCCAGCTGCTGCCCTGTTGCAAGAGCTGCCTCCTTCTTTGCCACCCCTGTACCCTCCCTCATCTGCTTTCCAACCTGAATAGTTCCCACAGCAGTAATGCTAACCTAACTGCAAATGCTGGATTTACTGCTATGGGTTTAATTTGCAATATTAAAAAAAATGTTTAATGGCTTTGTGTTTTGTGGCTATTACATCTAGATGTATTAATATGATAAAATTGATATAAAATGTTAAATGCTTTCAATTTCATAAATTCTAGACGGAACACACTGATCAGGAAAAGCCGCAGAGGAAATTGAGTGTGACAACTTCCTTGCTTTTTGCAGCTAGTGGACAGCTTGGAATTTAAATTCTCAATACTAGAAACAGAACAAGTCTCCAAAATTAACAATTTTTCTATGTTTTTTGCCTACTGGAGCCACTGGAAAAAAGGAGACAATATGAAGAGAGGCAATCTTGAGCTAGAGATATGCTTTGGAATTCACAAAGCAGTTTTTCATCTCTAATGAGCTCTTGTAAGATCATATAGCTGACCTTCAGAGGGTGATGATTTTCTGGCCCCATGTGTATAGTTTTGAGTTGGTCAGCTTGGACTCTAAGGTGAATAGGTAAAAAGCCCAGCAAAGCCTTGCTTGTCACTCGGCTAAGAACACAGCTGTCTGGCCCTGAAGCATCTCAGTCTCCAGTTACTGGAAGAACATATATTAGATGCTGGGGAAACTATAAGGCTACAGGGTGACTCTGCATGTTGGCAGGGAGAATTGTTCAAGGTAGAAACTGGGGAACAAAGAGAGAGATTCTCATCTGTCTAGCTGCTGTTATGTGCTAATTTGGGGGTAAGAAAACTGTTAAGGAATAAAAAAGCCAAGACCTCTGTTCTCACAGGGCTTTCAGGATGGAAGGGAAAGTGGTCACCATACAAATTGTATACAATTCCATTAGTACTTAAGAGGTCTGATTTATTGCTTTGAAACACAAGTGCAGGATGTTTAAGGTTTATCAGTAGCCTTTCCCTTTGCAGAAATTGTAAACTAAAAATAAAATCCTAAGCCCCCACCAACTGAAGGACGCTCCCCTTAGCCAAGGGGACCCCAGAAAAACCTTACAACTGAGTTCCTGGCCATGACGAGATGGGAGGTCAGACATGTCTCATTATACCCTCTCATGTTTGTGGTTTAGACACAAGAACTGACCAGCATTAACATTAAAATAGAGATCATAAGACTGGCAGAACAGACTTTTTGTGGCAATGAGATACCAAATTATAAACAATACCTAAGGCCATGCCAGGCAAGTGTTAGGTCAAGCACCTTAAACTTTAACTATGGTCTAACTGCCACAAGGTTTTTCTTTTTTCTCTAGCAGCTAAATAAGCACTGGCCTTGAGATAAGCAAAATGAAAACAACTGTAGGTCTTCACCAGACACTAATTGGCTCCCAACCCTTGTCCCAAGCACCATAACTACAGCTTTGATTAGACAAGAGACTGATTTCAGTAACTTTCTCCTGATAAGAAGACCACCCACCATAAACTGGTTCTGGCTGGGTTTACAGAGGTTGCACACTTGAGTGCCTTTGTGTCCTGAAAAGACCTTTTGACTGATAGGGCCTAATTATAATACATTCAAATGTTAGGTCTCCACCCCAGAGTGAACACAGGTCATATGTTACATGCATATTGGTTCAATACACGTGCATTGGGACCACCTTCATGCATATTCATAGCTCCTCCTCTAACCTGTTGAAGATGTATGTTTAGCTAACTTGTCCAGCATAATGCTCCTACCCCAACCTATCTTCCTTCAAAGTGCTTGTCTCTGGTCTTAGCCAGAGGCATTCTTCTCAGCCTGTTGCAGGCTGTAATCCCTTATAACAAATAAAGCCTCCTCTCCATTCCAAATAGTTAAGTCTTGTGATTTTTTTTTTTTTTTTTTTTGAGATGGAGTTTTGCTCCTGTCGCCCAGGCTGGAATGCAATGGCGCAATCTTGGGTCACTGAAACCTCTGCCTCCCGGGTTCAAGCGATTCTCTTGTCTCAGCCTCCTGAGTAGCTGGGACTACAGGCACCTGCCACCACGCCCAGCCAATTTTTGTATTTTTAGTAGAGGTGGGGTTTCACCATGTTGGCCAGGCTGGTCTCAAAATCCTGACCTCAGGTGATCCACCTGCCTCCGCCTCCCAAAGTGCTGGGATTACAGGCATGAGCCACCACGCCCAGCCTAAATCTTGTGATTTTTAAATTTAACAGTCAATTAAATGGTTCCTTGATAGAGCAACATTTAAGGCAGACATTAGTTTTTATTGCCCCACAATACAATGTTATGTTTGCATTTACTTGTCAATCAACTCACTGGGACTGAGGCAGAAGTAAAACCCACAATTACCTTCTCACTGGGACTGAGACAGAAGTAAAACCCACAATTACCTTACCCCTGGCCTATGTGATAAAGTAACGTATCTTTTATCACGTATTTGAGAGGCATCTCTGCTACCGAGAACTTTTTTTTTTCTACCTTTTATTTTAGGTTTGGGGGATATGTGCAGGTTTGTCATGTAGGTAAACTCATATCACAGGGGTTTGTTGTACAGATTATTTCATCACCCAGGTACTAGGCCTAGTACCCAATAGTTATTTTTTCTGATCCTCTCCCTCCTCCCACCCCACCCTCATGTAGGCCCAGTGTCTGCTGTTCCCCTTTGTGTCCATGAGTTCTCATCATTTAGCTACCACTTATAAGTGAGACTAGGCAATTGCTGACCTGCATCAGGTGGATCTCCCAGGACATAAGCAAAAGACCCTTGGCCACAACCACTACCAAGGTCCCTTTCTCTGCTGCCTCCAAGTTGAGGAGGAAACATAAGCCCTAAGGTCACCCCAGAGCTGTGGTGGAAAGCCCAGGAGAGATAAAACCTGAGTAGTTTTAAACTAGAATGTGCATGTGGCTTTTTAAACATGTTTGCAATTTTTTTGCTATTCTCCCCTTGAGATTTGGGGGGCTATGCCCACCCTTAACAGACTAGACACTAGTGCTAACTTGTCACTGACACATGACATGAAAGTGATGCTCTGTAACTTCCAAAGTTATGTTTAAAAAGGCCATGGGCATCTGCCTTGTTCACTCAGGTCACTCACCTATGGTGCTATTGATCACCAAGTCAAAGCTCTGAATGTCCTGAGACTGCTCTGCTACCTGGAATCCCAGAGTACCTGGGAGGTCTCCTATAGGTCCTGCAGCCAAGCCCCATGTCCTCTGCAGACATGTGAGTGAAGTCACTTCCAGATGATGCCAACCCTTTGCTGTGGATTCAACTCCAGCCAATGAGTCTTCTCTGCAGTCCCCAAAACCAATAAGCAGCAATAAGCCAGCTTTTCTGTCTTCCTAGCCCTGTGAACCATGAACAAAATAAAGTGGTTGTTTTATGCATTATTTTGGTGGTGATGGTTCTTTCTTAAAAAAAAAATCACAGTAAAAGCACCAAGAATAACACACTTGTAGGACATTCATAAGGTACAAAATAACACACTGAAATCTAGGTTTCCTTCTTTCCCTCTTCCACAACCTATCAGGTTCTGCCTCTGGAAGTAACAATTAAGTTTCTGCACATCTTTCCAGATTTATTAATTAAACAATCATATAGCACTGACACTGTGAGGAAGCTTTTAAGGGCTTTGCTTATATTTATTCATTTACTCTTCATTCACTGTGGACACTCAGGTGGCAGCAGGAAGGAAAGTATTTTGCTGAACCAAATGAAAGTTGATCTGCTCTTTGAATGCTGTTCCTTCAATCAGATGGTTCTATTTTCTTGATATATTCCCAAATACTTTTTATTTTCTCCCCTAATTGAGCATTCAGAGATGTAACACTGTTTTCTAGTTTTTCTTCCGTTTCAGCACTAAATCTTAAATTTCATATGAAACAGGCAGTGGTGAAATTCCTGAGTCACTGGACATGTATATGTATGTTTGTGATGGGGACACACACACACACACACACACATTTTTCTATCTAGCTATTAACCATTAAAATTCTATACTCAGAGTGAGGAAATATTACACGTTCCTTCCCAAACACTGTCAACTACCCCTTCAATTAAATAATCCCTGAAAAAATGGCAACATCTATATTAATGCAGTTTTTATCTCATCAGTGACCCATTTGATAAAATAGTTCTAGAAACTTGTAATGAATCAGCAGTGATGGAAATTTGTACTGAACCATTTCATATCTAAAAGGGTATCTACTTTGTTTTAGACATGACAACTCTCTCATGTTTATTTTAGAATTTTCCATTGTTGCGTGTTTAAAGGGCTTGTCAATTCCCTTCCCTTTCCTAATTCTCATGACCAGATCATAAGAATGTGTGTGATCAGGCTGACTGATGTGCCACAACACATATATAATCCTGGAATTTAGGGTTATCAGAAGTCTCCATTTAGGGTACATGTGCACAACGTGCAGATTTGTTACATATGTATACATGTGCCATGTTGGTGTGCTGCACCCATTAACTCCTCATTTACATTAGGTATATCTCCTAATGCTATTCCTCCCCCCTCCCCCCACCCCACAACAGGCCCTGGCGCGTGATGTTCCCCTTCCTGTGTCCAGGTGTTCTCATTGTTCAACTCCCACCTATGAGTGAGAACATGCGGCGTTTGGTTTTTTGTCCTTGCGATAGTTTGCTGAGAGTGATGGTTTCCAGCTTCATCCATGTCCCTACAAAGGACATGTACTCATCATTTTTTATGGCTGCATAGTATTCCATGGTGTCTATGTGCCACATTTTCTTAATCCAGTCTATCATTGTTGGACATTTGGGTTGGTTCCAAGTCTTTGCTATTGTGAGTAGTGCCACAATAAACATACACGTGCATGTGTCATTCTGCTTATTATTACAGTTATCTGGAGACATCAGTAAATAGGCTGCATTATAAATAATGTTTCCCATGAATCTTAGCTTGTTTCATGTTGCTATAACAGACTATCACAGACTGGTTAATTAATAAAGAATTTATTTCTCACAAAAAAAAGAAGTCTCCATTCAAAAAATTATTAATTATATGTTTTCATACAACTGACTGGTGAACATATACTGCTTCATTTTTCTTAATGTTTCAGTGAATAGCCAGCCTTTTATGTATACATTAATGGAGGATCTCTCCATAAATTCAAAGAGATTCAGAAATAAGTACATAAACGTAGTTGCATAGAGAGAAAAAGTAGGTACTATACATAAGTGATAAAAGAAGGTTTTATATAATTACTTTTTAAAATTAAATTTATAATAATGCTTTTAAAACTAAATCTGGAACAAATTTTAAATTATTTAATCTAGAAATGTCCAGTGATTCAGGAACAGTAGAAATGGGTGGGGAGGGCATTTCAACTCAAGCATGGAACTCCTTTTATTCTCATCATGTTAGCTTTTTCCCTCTTTACTCTGAAATGTTCACTATCAAATATATTTGAGAGACAGGTCTTTTGCCTCATTTAACATTTATCTCATACACAGAGAATAATACTGTGGGTCTGGGATTCAGTTTTTGAAATGCAACATATACTCTAAGTGACCCTTTTACTCATGTCAAAATAGCAGCAGTTGGACCCCATAATGTGGCATGTATTCATTTGAAAATTCTACAGCGACCTATCACTGTGATCATGTGATGAGGCATATCTTGCCTTCCATTCTAACTATCACTCTATGAGCTTTGAGGTTCAAGTTTGACAGCATTTGTCAATTTTGGAACGTCATACAAAGAACGCTCAAATATGGGGAATTTTGTGTACTGTTGCTGAGGCATGTTCACTTTCATCTTCTGATTGTGGTTTCTTCAGATAAGCCAGTTCACTTGTACTCAAAATGTCTTCCTTATTTTTTTGTTTCCCCCACTCCAATTCGTCTATGGATTTATGAACATGTTTTATAGTATTATTACTGATTTGTACTTTTGATTCTTCCACCAAGCTTTTTGTCTTAAATATTTTCCTATTTTTAGAAAAATGTACTGTTTCCCCACACCACTTTTGTACACAATCTTTCATAGAATAGATACAGAAAAAACACAACCACACTGCCTTCATCAGATGAGGAGAATCTTGATACAAAATACAGTATGAGACATTCTATGAAAGGGAAATTATAGACCAAAATCTTCTGAGTATAAATGTCAAAATCTGAAACCAAATATTAAAGTGGCCTAAGTCTGGAGATTTTGAGGAAAAAAAACTGAAATTTCATGGTGGGAAACATAATTTTGCCTAGTTTAGAAGTTTTGAGGGATTGTTTTAAAGAAAAATGTAAAAGATAAATAACATTAAATGGATATAAAAGGTTATAAAATAAAATATTATAAAAGGTTATAAAAATGTTTATGAAATTCTTTTGCAGTCAAGATTGGGATTAGATTTGTTTATAAGGTCTTATTAAAATTAGCCATAATATTAAAATGCATTAATACCCAACTAAATTTTTTTTAAAAATTAAGCTTAAGATTTGTTCTCCATCGAACTTAACAAAAAGAGTATATATTCCCGTGTGCCAGAGTGCCAGGTCACCACATACTATTATGTTGGGTTTGCATATTTGATGATGTGTCACTACCAGGATGCCATCCGGGTCTTTGCCAACATCCTCCTCTACATCCAGAGGACCAAGAGCATGTTCCAGAGGACCACATACAAGTATGAGATGATTAACAAGCAGAATGAGCAGATGCATGCACTGCTGGCCATTGCCCTCACGATGTACCCCATGAGTATTGATGAGAGCATTCACCTCCAGCGGTGGGATAAATACAGCAACAAGATGCTGTGCATGCAGAAAGGTGACCCAGAAGTCTATGAAGAACTTTTCAGTTACTTCTGCCCCAAGTTCCTGTCGCCTGTAGTGCCCAACTACGATAATGTGCACCCCAACTACCACAAAGAGCCCTTCCTGCAGCAGCCGAAGGTGTTTTCTGATGAAGTACAGCAGCAGGCCCAGCTTTCAACCATCCGCAGCTTCCTCAAGCTCTACACCACCATGCCTGTGGCCAAGCTGGCTGGCTTCCTGGACCTCACAGAGCAGGAGTTCAGGATCCAGCTTCCTGTCTTCAAACACAAATTGAAGAACCTGGTGTGGACCAGCAGCATCACAACCCTGGATGATGAATTTCAGTCAGCCTCAGAGGTTGACTTCTACATTGATAAGGACATGATCCACATCATGGACACCAAGGTCGCCAGGCGCTATGGGAATTTCTTCATCCGTCAGATCCACAGATTCGAGGAGCTTAATCGAACCCTGAAGAAGATGGGACAGAGACCCTGACGACATTCACATACATTATTCAGGAACCTGTTTTGATATATTATAGGCTACCGTGAAACCTTTACCTAGATCAACCATCAGCCTGTCAACTCAGTTAACAAGATAAGGACCAAAGTGTTTCAAGTGGATCTCAGTAAAGGATCTTTGGAGCCAGAAAAAAAAAAAAAAAAAGAAAAAAAAGATTTGTTCTCAATGAGATTACACGTGGTAATAATTTTTAATTCTCAAATCTGTCTCTTTTTAAAACTTCTGAGATTTATATCTCAGAAGTTCAACCTTTACTATTGTTTTACACATTATTTACAGATCACACATCATTGCCCTCTGTTTCTTTTCCCCTTCAAAAGGTGTATCTTTTTACTTCACTAGAACGGTAATTTTGTCCTTCAACTTTTCCATCAGCTCTTTTAACTTTTCCCTCATATTCTATTTCTGCTGTTATAATACTAAAATATTGATCTCAAAGGTTAAAAAAAATTTTTGCAGATGTAACATGATTTTATATTCTTAACTTTTTGATATGTCTGAATTGTTGCAAGTAATCAGGAAACTTCCCATTCTATTATTAGGTTGGTGCACAAGTAATTGTGGTTTTTGCCATTACTTTCAATGGCAAAAAACCACAATTACTGCACCAACCTAATACTAGGAGCCATATATCTACCTGCTCATGGTGCTAGTTTTCATGTTTACATTCCTCTATAGTACAATGTTCACTCACGACCTTGAATACATTATGCCTGTGTCTAATTAAATTCAAGTATTCATTTCATCAGGTTTGACTTCCAAGTTATTTAAATAGGCTTTATTTAGGTACTCCCCATTCTCAAGTATGCCTTACTCCAGGTTGCTCAGATAGTTGCTCAGATTAACTCAGTGAGACAGTTGGGGTCACAGATTTAATTCATTAAACCACTAAAGCATCAGCCCAGACAGGCATATTTTCAGTTAATTTCAATTAGCCACTCATGAAAGGTTGGCCAGTTGAATGGAAGTTGATTCTTGGCACAGCCATCAACTGGCAATTGGTTTAAAATGTCCTGAGTTCTGAGCCAGATTGGGGGCTGATATAGTTTGGATATGTGTCCCTGCCCAAATCTTATGGTGAATTGTAATCCTCAGTATTGGAGATGACTGGGTGAGAGGTGACTGGGTCACGGGAGTGTATATCTCATAAATGCTTGTTGTTGCTCTTGCAATAGTGAGATCTGGTTTAAAAGTGTGTGACACCTCCTCCTACCTTGCTCCTGCTCTGGCCATGTGATGTGCATGCTCCCACTTAGCCTTCTGTTATGATTCTAAGTTTCCTGAGGCCTCCCCAGAAACCATGCAGATGTCAGTATCATGCTTCCTGTAAAGCTTTCAGAACCCTGAGCCAGTTAAATCTCTTTTCTATATAAATTACTCAGTCTCAGGAATTTGTTTTTTGGTTGTTGTTGTTGTTGCTTTTTTTTGGGGGGGGGGGGGTTGTTTGTTTTGAGACAGAGTCTCGCTCTGTCGCCCAGGCTGGAGTGTGGTGGCGTGATCTTGGCTCACTGCAACCTCCTCCTCCTGGGTTCAAGCAATTCTCCTCCCTCAGCCTCCTGAGTAGCTGGGATTACAGGCGTGTGCCACCACGCCTGGTTAATTTTTGTATTTTTAGTAGAGACAGGATTTCACCATGTTGGTCAGGCTGGTCTCAAACTTTTGACCTCATGATCTGCCCACCTTGGCCTCCCAAAGTGCTGGGATTACAGGCATGAGCCACCGCACCTGGCCAGGAACTTCTTTATAGCAATGTGAGAATGGCCTAATACAGAAAATTGGTACCAAGGAGTGGGGTATTACTATAAAGGTACCTGAAAATGTGGAAGCAGCTTTGGAACTAGGTAATGGACAGAGGTTGAAAGAGTTTGGAGAACTTGGAAGAAGACAGGAAGATGAGGGAAAGTTTAGAACTTCTTAGAAACTGGTTAAATGATTGTGACCAAAATGCTGATAGGGATATGTAAAGTGAAGTCCAGGCTGATGAGGTCTCAGATGGAAATGAGGAACTTATTGGAAACTAGAGCAAAAGTCACACGTTATGCCTTAGCAAAGAGCTTGGCTGGATTTCATCTATGTCCTAGGGATCTATGGAAGTTTAAACTTGACAGTGATATCGTAGAGTATCTGGCAAAAAAAAAAAAAAAAAAATTCTAAGCAGCAAAGTGTTCAAGTGGCATGGGCCAGGTATGGTGGCTCACACCAGTAATCCTAGCACTTTGAGAGGCCAAGGCAGACAGATCACTTTAGCCCACATGGCAAAATCCCATCTCTAAAAATATAAAAAAAATAGCTGGCATGGTGGCTTGAGCCCATAGTCCCAGCTACTCAGGAGGCTGAGATGGGACAATTACCTAAGCCTGGGAAGTCTAGGGTGCAGTGAGCCATGATCATGGCATGGCACTTCAGCCTGGGTGACAGAGTGAGACCTTGTCTCAAAAAAAAAAGAAAAAACAAACAAAAAAAAAACACAAAAAAACTGATGTGACTGCTTCTAACAGCCTATGCTTTGATTTGGGAGCAAAGAAATAAGTTGGAACTTCTATTTAAAAGGTAACCAGAACATAAAAGTTGGGAAAATTTGCATCCTGCAGCCTGGCCATGTGGCAGAAAAAAAAAACAAAGTCTATCTTCAGAAGAATTCAAGTGGGCTGCTGAGTAACCACAAGCTAGAGAAATTTGTATAACTAAAAAGGAGGCAAGTGCTGATAGCCTAGACAATAAAAAGGCTTGAAGGCATTTTAGAGATCTCAGAGGCAGCCCATCCAAACACAGGATCAGAGGCCCAGGGAAGAATGGTTTTGGAGGCCAGGCCCAGGCCTGCACTGCCCTGCACAACCTCAGGACACTGCTCCCTGCCTCTTGGCAACTCCATACCCAGCTGTGGCTTAAAGGGGCCCAGGTGCAGCTTGGGCTGCTGCTCTGACAAGTGTAAGTCATAAGCCTTGGTGGCTTCCATACGGTGTTAAGTCTGCTGGTATAAAGAATGAAAGAGTAAATGAGGCTTGGCACCCTCCACCTAGATTTCAGAGGATGTATGGAAAAGCTTGGGTGTCCAGGCAGAAGCCTGCTGCAGGGGTGGAGCCCTCACAGAGACCCTCTACTAGGGTGGTGTGGAGGAAAAATGTGGGTTTGGAGCCCCCAAACAGAGTCTGTACTGGGGCATTTGCTAGTGGAGCCACCATCCTTCAGACCCCAGAATGGTAGATCTATTGGCAGTTTGCACCCTGCACATGGAAAAACTGCAAGCAGTAAACTACAGCCCATGAGCTTTGGGAGCTGAACCTTACAAAGCCACAGAGGCAGAGCTGCCCAACACCTCGGGAGCCCATTGCTTGCACCAATGCCCTGGATGTGGGACATGGAGTCAAAGGAGATTATTATGGAGCTTTAAGATTTAATGATTGCATTGCTGGGTTTTGAATATGCATGGAGCCTGTAGCCCCTTTCTTTTGGCCTATTTATCTCTTTTGGAATGGGGTTTGTTACCCAATGCTTGTACTCCCATTGTATTTTGGAAGTAAGTTTAACTTGTTTTTATTTTACAGGTGGAAGAAATTTACCTTGTCTCAGATGAGACTTTGGACTTCGGACTTATGAGATAATGCTGGAATGGGCTAAGACTTTGGGAGACTGTTGGGAAGGCATAACTGTATTCTGAAATGTGAGAAGGACACGAGATTTGGGAGTGGCAAGGGGTAGAATAATATAGTTTAGATATGTGTCCCTTCCCAAATCTCATGTTGAATTGTCTTCCCCAGTATTGGAGGTGGGGCCTTGTGGGAAGTGATTGGCTCAGGGGGGTAGTGTTCTCATGAATGGTTTAGCACCATCCCCTTGGTGCTGTCCTTGCAAAAGTGAGTTCTCATGAAATCTGGTTGCATAACTGTGTGGGGCATCTTGCTCTCACTCTCTCTTGCTGCTTCTCCTGCCATGTGGGATGCCTACTTCCCCTTCACATCCCACCATGATTAGAAGATTCTAGAAGTCTCCCAAGAAGCAGATGCCACTATGCTTCCTCTGCAGCCTGCAGAACCATGAATCAATTAAACCTCTTTTCTTTATGAATTACCCAGTCTCAAGTATTTCTTTATGTCAATGCAAGGATGGACTAACACGGGGCCAAGCAGACCATGGTCCCTTAGGATGGTCAACTGATTATAAGCTGGCTTATACTGCAAGGTGAGATCAGGGATTAAAACCTAGAGGTTGAAGGATTCTTTTTTTATTATTGTTTCAGCTCTTCTTTTGACTTAGCCACCTCTTCCAGGGAATCAGCCTTCCTGAAGAAACTTTGGGGTAGGAGCAGTTGAGAAAGCAAGTGAAAATAGCTCTTTGTTAAGGGTTCAGGGTATTATTTCAAGGTCTCAGGTCTTCAGAGACCTCAGTCCACAGAAAACCAATTACCTTCTTGTGCCAGGTCCATCACTCATCGGTGCTGTGATTCTGGGCAGACCATTTCAAATCTCTCCATTTCACTTCCCTGAACTGTCAAATATGGGTTGTAGCCCCTGCTCTGCCCATTCCTCCAGGCTGGTGTAAGCATCACAAGAAATAGCAGATATTCTCCATGAGCTGTAAAGCATCATACCCATGGAAAGAAAGAAGAAAATTCCATCCTCCACTCCCCTGGAGCCACCCATGTTTCTTCTCTGTATTCAACCACTACCAAGGTTCTGGCATATTCTTCTAGACATATAATGATTGAACACTTTAGGGCACTTATGAATCACCAGTCTTCTAAAAGCTTTACCTCCATTTCACCATTTTTAGCCTTATAACATAACATAGGCCATATTAACATTTCAATACCTCAGAACAGGGAGCTGAGGCACAGAGAGACCTCCATAACTTTCTCAGGTTTGTGCATCTTCTAACTAGGACTTGAACCCATACCTTTATGCACCAGGCCCAGTGCTCTTGGTCACTCCAATAGTTCTATATTGTTTCATCTCAATACAGGCATTTGCCTACACAGTCTGTCTGTTGGTTATGAGTGCAGCCCGCACTGCAGGTTCTTGTTAAAATCCAACTGAGATTCAGGGGGTTTCACTATGCAGATGGTGAACAATGGGTCAAACATTTAAGCTGTAAATAAATGATTACTCATTTATCTGCGGCCTCTGGCAGGAAGATGTCAAAAGCTGTCTTTTTCATAGTACGTTTCCCAGCATCTTGCCTCCAGGATATGACAGTAGATATTGAGGGATCAAGAGAATCTACCGTCCACACCAAGCTGAGGAAGAGAATAATCTGCCACTGGCCTCATAACTAGGTGCACACTGGAAAGCAGTCAACTGAAAGTACTGTGGAAATTAAATTGTTAAGTTCATTCAAGGATAACAATTCTAGATTATTCAGCATCCCATATTTCAGACAACTCTAAAATTGCTATGCTATATTCTTTATTTCATGTGTGCAAATTTAAGTTTATTAAGTCAATCACTAGTGCTACAACTACAGAAGATATATTTACAACTTCAAAATTGTTTCAGTTTTAATAGTATAGAATATCTCAATGTAGTATTTAGATATTTAGCTGCTTGTTAAACATTAACTAAAATGAAACACTTCCTGAACAATGCTACCATATTTTTTAAATTAATGGACATTATGTGAAACTGTTTTGAATTAACATAAAAACTGAAGAAGTAGTACAGAAAGTTCTCATATACCCTTCCCCCACCTCAGCATCCTTTTGGTAATCACATCTTACATGACTGTGGTAAATGTTACAATGACTGAACCAATATTGATACATTCTTATTAATGAAAGTCTAGAGTTTGGCACAGAGGTAGAGATGGACAATCTTGATGTCCAGTTTTTTCATAATTGTGTGTATCCAGTGATTAATTTCCCATTTGGTAGGAGGGCAAGTTTTATCTTCATCAACATTGGTATCGTATGTTAGTGTACATGACATTACTTCTCCATTAGATGCCGGCTTCATTTCGTGATGTACCTGAAATTAGACCAGCAAGGGGCCTGCAAACATTCACAGACTATTCAGGGTTGCCATGGTTATGCTGGCCCTACAGGAGCTTGACAAACTGTAGGTGGTCTTCTTATCAGGAAAAGTTACTGAAATCAGTCTCTTGTCCAATCAAAGCTACAGTTATGGCTTGTGGAACAGGGATTGGAAGTTAGTCAGTATCTGGTGTTGAGCTACAATTATTTTAATATTGCTTATCTTGAGGTCAGTGCTTGTTTAGCTGCTAGAGAAAAATTAACTTGCGGCAGTTAGAACACAGTTTATTCTTTAAGTTTAGGGTGCATGACTTAACCCTTGCCTGTTGTGGCCTTGAGTCCTGTTTATAATTTGGTATCTCATTGCCACAAAGAGTCCATTATGTCTGTCTTTTTTTTTTTTCTTTGAGACGGAGTCTCGTTCTGTCACCCAGGCTGGAGTGCAGTGGCACAATCTTGGCTCACTGCAAGCTCCGCCTTCCGGGTTCACGCCATTCTCCTGCCTCAGCCTCCAAAGTAGCTGGGACTGCAGGAACCTGCCACCATGCCCAGCTAATTTTTTGTATTTTAGTAGAGACAGGGTTTCACCATGTTAGCCAGGATGGTCTCGATCTCCTGACCTCATGATCCGCCCGACTCAGCCTCCCAAAGTGCTGGGATTACAGGCGAGAGCCACCACGCCCAGCTATGTCAGTCTTATTATCTCTATTTTCACACTAATGCTGGGCAGTTCTGTCTAAACCATAAACATGAGGGGGTATAATGAGATGTGTCTGAACCTCCTCCCATCTCATCATGGCCAGAAACTCAGTTTTAAGGTATTTCTGGGGTCTCTTTGACTAAGGGAGGGCCTGTTCAGTCAGTGAGGGGTTATAATTTTATTTTTAGTTTACAACTCCCACAAAGGCAAAGGCTGCTGATAAACATCTGCACTTGTGTTTCAAAGCAACACACATACTTTTTTTTTTTTTTTGAGATGGAGTCAAAAGACGGGGCACACAGAAAATTCATGCAACATGGTTGTCCTACCACTACCTACAGCCTCTCCTCCTCATTAAAGTGGCCTGTGGAGGGCTTAGCCCAGCAGGCTTAGAGCTTCTGCAGAATGGGTATCTGCTCCCTGGGAGGATGTTCTCAGGAAATCCTTCATTTGCCTGCAGGGATTTTGGGGGTTGTTTTCAAAGTGCAAGTGTGGTCCCAGCTAACAGCAGCCTATCACCACTCTCCTCAGATGTGTTGGTCTCCTTGATGGACCAAAAGAAAGTGAGAAGCCACTGAGAACACATATACTTATTTGGCTTCCCTTTTTTATGTTACCCACTCCACCATCACATTTCCTCTTCCTCTTTCTCTCCATCCTTCATATCCTCCTTATCTTCTCCAAGATGGAGGACAAGAAGTCAGCAAGTTTGTGCCTCAGTGAGTTATTTCAAGGTACATACCACTCTCCCCTGAGGCTGATGACATCTGCAATCATATTTTAAAAGCACTGTGAGGATTATATTATGCTGTGCACTTCACACAGGTCTGTTTTTTCTCTTGATGACTTTAGAAACCCAGAAGGGGTACAGTGGTTAAGTCAAAAATCAAAGTTCCCCAAAACTAGCACGGAGGATAACTGTGGAAAAGATAAGATATTTTCCTGCCAAATTTATCTTTCAAGTTGATTTAGATTAGCTGTGGCAGTGTCCTTAATTCAAAGGGGAAAACTAGAGCCTCTTCATTACAGTTTATAATGGAAACTGTCAGTTAGTAAGAGATGCCCACCTAATACCACCTCAACTAAGGATATTTTATATCTCCCATAATGTACATTGTCAGATTTTTATCTCTAAATTTGATTGGAAAAGAAATAAACCAGGAAAGCAAAATTTCTGTATAAGAAAGAAGCATGGTCTTACATTGACAAGATCTTCTTTACTTGGAGATGACTTGTCCACAAGTTTCTCCAAAAGCTGGGAGGACACAGAGTGACTGTCAGTGCCTGGAGGTTGATGATTATGGATCACTCAGGGAGCTGTGCTTAATGTGGTGCATGGAGGTGGTGGGTTCACATGCATGGACTGAGTTGATGCAGGGCCATCCTGCTGAATGGAGGAAGGATGGCAAAGAGGAGGAGCAGGAAAAAAATGAGAAACCACCGGGAGCCAGGAAGGACAGGTTTCCCCTAGAAGCATCAGAGGGAACCTGGTCTTGCCTATGAATTTTGCACTACTAGCTCCGAGAACTGAGACATTTCTGTTGTTTTAACCCACCCAGTTTGTGGTCCATGTGATTTCAGGCCTAGGACGCTGATACACCAAGACAAATCAATATACCTATATTTTGAATTTGCATGCATTTATTTCATGTATACCCCTAATATTTCCACAATTGTGATTATTTTTCTGTTTATCTTTCTATATTTTATATACCATTAGTGTCATTTTAGGTTAATTTAAATAATTTCCCTGGTCATGAGGATACATGAAAAAATATATATATATTATATATATATATATGGTGTATATATATGTATATACACATACACACACACACACACACACACACACACACACACATATATATATATGTTTGGTGTATATATACATTTTAGATGGAGTCTCACTGTGTAGCCCAAGCTGGAGTGCAGTGGCGCAATCTCGGCTCACTGCAACATCTGCCTCCAGGGCTCAAGCGATTCTCGTGCTTCAGTCTCCCCAGTAGCTGGGACTACAGGTACACACCACCATGCCTGGCTAATTTTTTTTTTTTTTTTTTTGAGACAAAGTCTCTCTCTGGTCCCCTAGGCTGGAGTGCAATGGTGTAATCTCAGCTCATGCAACCTCTGCCTCCAGGTTCAAGCGATTCTCCTGCCTCAGCCTTCTGAGTAGCTAGGATTACAGGCATCTGCCACCATGCCCAGCTAATTTTTGTGTTTTTAGTAGAGACAGAGTTTCACCATGTTGGCCAGGCTGGTCTCGAACTCCTGACCTCAGGTGATCTGCCTGCCTCAGCCCCCCAATAATTTTTCATATTTTAGTAGAGACAGGGTTTGATCATGTTTCCCAGGGTGGTCTCGAACTTCTGAACTCAGGCGATCTGCCCGCCTCGGCCTTCCAAAGTGCTGGGATTACAGGTGTGAGCCACTGCGCCCGGCCACAATATTATTTTTATCATAGGTACTAATACATATTGATTTTTAGCTAATTGTAATTGCTTATTAATATCAATAAAAATGTGCAGATCATCTTGTTATTGAAGCGCTATGGATCTGTGAGCTCAGGGGAGATGTCTCCGTGTGCAGTGGGAAGCCTCAAGTGCAGCATGCCTGGCATCTCCTGCTCAAGAGAGCGTGCAGGCAGGGAGCGTGCTGGGCACATTTGCAGGAGGGAGACTAGACTGAGGCATGAGAAACAATCTGTCACAAACACCCACCAGTGCTTTCATGCCTGAGTCAGACCAGAGCTTTTCAGATGTTACTGTGCGCACACATCATCTGAGATCGTGTAAAGTGTGAATTCTGATTCCGTGGGTCTGGAATAGGACCTGACTTCGCATTTCTAAAGGGTCCTTTCCCCCAAATTTTCCCATACATATTTTAATATCCTCAAATTCATAAGAATGGTGGAAAACAAGAAGGAAAGCCATGAGCAGACAGAAACCAAAGAGTAATCTCTTGCGGAGAGAACTAGACTTTTGACTTAAACATTTCCCGGTCCAGGGCCAGGCACCATGGCTCACGCCTATAATAGCAGCACTCTGGGAGGCTGAGGCGGCTGGATCACCTGAGGTTAGGAGTTCGAGACCAGCCTGACCAACAAAGTGAAACCCCATCTCTACTAAAAATACAAAAATTAGCCAGATGTGGTGGCAGGAGCCTGTAGTCCCAGCTACTCAGGAGGATGAGACAGGAGAATTGCTTGAACCAGGGAGGCGGAGGTTGCAGTGAGCTGAGATCATGCCATTGCACTCTAGCCTGGGCAACAGAGCAAGACTCCATCTCAAAATAAATAAATTAATTAAATTAAATTTAAAAATTCCTAGTCCAGGTAGGAAGATGGCTAGAGAGGACAGTTGAGATGCTGACAGAGGTGCCACTTTAAGAAACAAACCAGAAATGAAAGTAAACACACCCCAAACCTCAACCTGCCCTCTGACTCCTGTTCAATGTCCCCACTGGCGCCTCCTCCAGTCTTTGATAAAGTGTGGAACATACTCACCCTCTCCCATTCCTCATCTCTGATTCACAATTTCCTGTCTTGATTCTCCAGTCTTTCTTTCCTACCATCTCCTTCTCCCCTGTGACCTCCTCACTTAGTCAGCAAGTTCTCTATGTCCAAACAGCCATGGGAAGTTTTTCAGATCTTGTAAGTTGTCACTTGCATCCCCTTCCTTTAGTGAATCTCTCTAACCCCTCACTTCAGAAAAACCCCCAAGTCTTCTGATTCTCCAGTACTTTCTCCTTCTACTCCCGGGGTTCTCCTCACTTGACAGAGAATTCAGTGGATCTATCAATCAGGTGAATTTGTCCTCCCCAGCACTCACCAGACTGCTCACTATATGCTGATCTCCTGAGCAATCAAGTGGGGAGAGAGAAACCTGGCTTCATGAGTACCCTGGCAAGTGGGTTCAGGGCTGAATGGCCCCTGCTTGTAGATAATGTATGCTTATTTCAGCTGCAATTTGTATATGAGATAACCCTTCCCTTAAGAACTCCTTATGAAGTGAGAATTGTGCACCCTGTTCCCAATGAGGAGGCCTACATAGAAAACTAAAGACTGAGACATCAGGCGGCTGCCCTGAGGAAGAACCTCACTCTGTCATTGGGCAGTGAGTGGGCAGGGGTCCTGGCTTAGGTGGAAGCAGGAGCCTCTGTGAAAACCACTCCTCCTCTAGTCACAGAGAGGATAACCTGTGGGCCTGCCCTGAGGGGACCTGTGGGGCTCTCAGCTGGGGAAATGGGGAAACAGACACTGATCCTGGCCTCCACTCAGGACTCACTGGGCTAGCAGCTGAGTCCTCCCTGGGCCCCTGCAGAGCCTCAAGCCAGGGTAAGCACAGGCCCACGCCTCCCAGAAATGACACCTAGTCACAGGGCAGGAAAGACCCCACGAGGGTTTGGTTGGCCAAGGGTTTGCATGAAGGGCCCCTGTTTCTCTAGGGACTGGAGGATGGATAAGAGACCTGCAGCATGGCTGCCTCAGTAGAGCACTGGGGTATCTGGACTGTGGCATACACCGTACTCCTCCTCTTTATCCTCCTCCTTCATGGAACAGGCCAAGATGGCCCTCAGCATCCTGATCCCTGGCTCGCTCATGACAGAATTGTCCCCTCTTCTCCTTCCTCCAGGATGTAATGAGTTTGTTTTCAGGGTCCCTCTTCCAGCCTGGGAGCCTCAGACAAACTCACCTGCACACTGAGCAGTAAGCGTAGCACCTACACCACTGCATGGTAGCATGGTCAGGGAAGACCCTTGGTGTGTGATGTGGCTTAAGAGTGATGGAAACCATGGCAAGGGGGACGGGATCCCTGATCACTTCTCAGGCTCCAGGTCTGAGGCTGACCACTCCTTAACCATCTCTAACATCCAGTCCCAGGACAAAGCTGACTGTATCTGTGGTGTATCTCACAGCACTGCAATGCCATGTGAGTGAAGCACAGTGACCCAGATGAATGGAGATGTGGGACAAAAACTGTGTTCTCCACTAAGAAGGCTGCCACACAGCTCTCAGAAAATGTCTGGCATCATAAATACTAGGAAATGTTGCCGGGTTTTTTGTTGTTCCTGTTGTTTCCTTTTTAATTTTACAAGGAGTGACATAGATGCATTCTGATTCCTGCCAAGAGTTCCCTGGGAACCAGTTTGCTACACAGATCTTCAGTAATGGTGCAAATATTACAACAGATCTTGACACCCTGCTGGTCATTGTCCCTGCATGGGGGATGCAAGGCCATTCACTCTCCTCTCCAGATATAAACACTGGGACTCAGCTACATGCCTCCCTCCGACCACATCAAGGTTCATCCTAATGACCACCCTTTGAAGATAACATCTTTAATTTTTTTTTGACAATTTTAAAAATAATTTCTATTTTTATCTTAGATTCAGGGGGTACATGTGCAGTTTTGTTACATGGGTATACTGTGTGATGCTGAGGTTTGGGGAACGATTGATTCTGTTATTCATGTAGAGAGCATAGAGCGCAACAGGTAGTCTTTCAACCCTTGCCCTATATGTGTTTAACCCAGAAAGTCCAAATTTGATTTTCACATTTTGAAACTGAATGTTTCGTTCAATGTCTCCCTTTTCAACTGGTTTCTGAGTTGTTTGTGTGCAATGTTATGAATGGCATGAGATTCACTTTTTGGTGTGGATCTCTGGATGAAGGCTATCACCCTTTCTAATCTGTGTAATGCCCTGCACCCAGTTAATCATGGAGTGTGTATCCAAAAAGTACAAACACAGAGTGACCACTGGGACTCAACACCTTGAACCCGGTATCAACAGAAGGCCTGTATACACTGAATCACAGATGTGAATCCACAACAAATCCTTCCTATGGCTTTGACCCATTTCTCTAAACCAGGCTGTCTCCCAAGAGAATCTCAACAAAGAATTGTCTTGAACTCGAGTCAAAAGGATGCCCTTCAAGCATTGTTTAAGCAGAACTCCTACTCTGGCATACCAACCAGAGAACAACTGGCCAAAGAAATCAGCAGTCTGGAGTCTAGGATACAGGTGGGCTTGTATTTTTGTTTCATTTCCTTGGGGTCAAAGAAAAAAGACAAGCTGGGCTAAGCAGTCTCCAATTACACCATGTTAAGAATGAACTGAAAGTAAGACCCCTATCTCTGCCTTTTACCAATCATGGAACATGTGGTCTGGTGTATTCATTGATGGGGGAAGGAAGTGAAATTGGGCCTTTTTCCTGGTAGGAGAAAATTAAATCATATTTGCATGCTCTAGAGAATATAGGTAATAGGGTCACCATGATCATGATAGGTTGTAATTGATACCTGGAACCAATATTACAGAATGCTCAGAATGCTTGTTCTTTAATAGGTCATATTGAGGACAGTGAGGTCAGTGCTGCCATAAAGTCCCGTTTCTCATCACATGGTTTTTGTTTCTTTTCTACTGTTTTGTTTTGAGACAGAGTCTCACTCTATCACCCAGGCTGGAGTGCAGTGATGCAATCTCAGCTCACTACAACCTCCACCTCCCAGGTTCAAGCCATTCTCATCCCTTACCCTCCCGAGTAGCTGGGATTACCAGTGTGTGCCACACCTGGCTAATTTTTGTATTTTTAGTAGAGATGGGGTTTTGCCATGTTAGCCAGGCTGGTCTCAAACTCCTGGCCTCAAGTGATCCACCCACCTTGGCCTCCCAAAGTGCTGGGGTTACAGGAGTGAGCCACTGTGCCTGGCCTCTACTAAGTGTTTTTATGTGGGCTTTACACACTGGAGAGTTTAATGCCTGATCCTGTTTTGGAATACTTTGAGTGGAATAATGGATATAAAAATAAAACCGGCTGGGTGCGGTGGCTCATGCCTGTAATCCCAGCACTTTGGGAGGCCAAGGCGGGTGGATCACGAGGTCAGGAATTCAAGACCGGCCTGGCCAAGACGGTGAGGCCACATCTCTACTAAAAATACAAAAATTAACCAGGTATGGTAGCAGGCACCTGTGGCAGAGAATTGCTTGAACCCAGGGGGCAGAGGTTGCAGTGAGCTGAGATCACAGCACTGCACTCCAGCCTGGGTGACAGAGTGAGACTCTGTCTCAATAAATAAATAAATAAATAATAAAAAAACCCTTCTGTTTCTCCAGTTAAGAAAGAAATAGCTGGAAAGATCACAATCACACCAGGAGAAGTGTATCCAGACTGTCAATAACTAAGTAAAAGGGACTGTGTCGAAGAAAAGCCTATGGTCAGGGTTTTATATCAAATGCTATAATCCTGAGTAAGCTCTGGGATACAGGGTTCTGAGTTTCAGGAAGGCCAGATGAAGATGTATTTCCTTCTCTTTATGCACCCAGTCCAGGTGTCAGAGTGCTACATCAAATCCCAGAATGAAAGTGTGTCCCAGGCCAGGGGCAGTGGCTCACGTCGGTAATCCCAGCACTTTTGGAGGCCGAGGCAGGAGTTCGAGAACAGCCTGGCCAGTATGGTGAAACCTTGTCTTTATTAAAAATACAAAAATTAGCCAGTCGTGGTGGCATGTGCCTGTAATCCCAGCTACTCAGGAGGCTGAGACAGGAGAATTGCTTGAACCCGGTTGGCGGAGGTTGTAGTGAGCCCAGATAGGGCCATTGCACTCCAGCCTGGGCATAAGAGCAAAAATCCGTCTCAAAAAAAAAAAAAAAGTGTGTCCCATGGGAAGACATGGAAATTGGCTGGTGCACTGGCAACCAGCCCACTGGAGTTGGTGGTGCGGAAGGAAAGCACAAGAAACCATGTAGAATGAGGCTGGATCTGCCAGGGTGTTCACTAATGTATTTGTTGCCTCTACATTTCCAGCCATGTTTAAGCTTTCTTTCCTGATCGTATTTGAAGTGACATATTGAGAGAACAGATGTAACAGTTTTACAAACTGCCTGGGACATAAGAGCAGGTCAACAGGTATCGCTTGTCTTTTAGGATAGAATCCTTATCGTGAGTTATCAAGTCCCCACATGAAACACTAAGGAATGATTAAAAGCACATTCCTGGCCGAGCACGGTGGCTCATGCCTGTAATCTCAGCACTTTGGGAGCCAAGGCGGGTGATCATCCAAGGTCAGGAGTTCAAGGCCAGCCTGGCCAACATGGTGAAACCCCGTCTCTACACAAAATACAAAAATTAGCCAGGGCACGATGGTGTGTGCCTGTAATCCCAGCTACTCGGGAGGCTAAGGCAGGAGAATTGTTTGAACCTGGGAGGCGGAGGTTGCAGTGAGCCGAGATCGCACCATTGTACTCCAGCCTGGACATTGCAGCGAGATGATCTCAAAACAAACAAATAAACAAACAAAAAACTGCATTCCTCTACACCCTCCAGTAAGGAGGAGGCAGCCACAGGGTTTGATTATGACAGTCACTATCTATTCAGAGTTAGATATTTGGTTCATAGGAGTCTCCTTATCTAGTATTGCATCTGGAATGAATGAACTCTGAGGTATATATGAATGATTCCAGGCTCAGCAGTAAGTATTGATAATTAGTGAGCTCCTCTTTAAATGGATTTTCATCAGAGGTCCCTTCACATGGATTGTGTGTTATGAAATGCTTTTGACTATGGGGAGATGACAGAGAGCCAAGGAAAGTCAGTCAGTCTTTGGCCAAAGCCTTTGTGAGACCTAAAGAGTGAGAGGGAGGCAGAAAGAGCAAGTGAGCGTGAGACAAAAACAAGTGTGGGGTGGGGAAGAGGTGAAGGAAGAGTGGACACACACCCTTTGGCCAGCTCTGGCTTTAGGATGCCAGCCAGTGTCTCCTAGCCCGGGGACCTTTCCTCTGGAGATCACAGATGGGAGAGAGAAGGAAGTGATTCTTGGTATTGAGCTCAAATAGATACTTAAAATTATGTAGACTAAATCGGATAAAACTTGAATCTTCTTTTCCCACTTAGATTTGGTTTCAAAACCAGAGAAGACACCTGAGGCTGAGCTGGCTGCAGTGTGGACACTCCTCGGGAGGACAGCAGCTCCAAGGACACGAGAAGCCTCAGCCCTGGGCCCCAGGTGAGTCCCCAGCAGTGCCAGTGCACTTCCTCAGTGCAACTCTTTGAAGTAGAAATGTCTCTTTAGGCTGTTTCCAGATTTGTTGCAAGAATGCTGATGTCTCTTCCACAGCATGCTAGTGTTGGAGATGTGACCACCATCCCCATCTTGTGGGAAGGTAGTTTGGAAGAAGGGAAGGCCATGGATCTTCCAGTCCTGGTGTGGCAGGCAGTGCAGAGTCCTCTTCTTCCAGCACTGCAGGGGTTTAATCCAAGGGCATGAGCATCTCAGGGGCCTGGGAGGGAGTAAGGATGGTGAGAACAATATTTGAAAATGTCTGTCGTAGGGTTGATGTGAAGATGGCCTGAAAGCCCTCTTTTCTTCCTGTTTTCCTACAGAATGCACTGTCCTGCAGGCACCACAGACACCAGGCAGTGGATACCTTTGCTGAATCCTAAGGAGCCAAAGCATTTTTATGACAAACATGACCTCCTCCCTGCAATCGTCACATCCTGGGTAGTCTGGACAATGCATAAACCAGAACTGAACCAAGGTGAAAATAGGTAAAAGAGACACATCCACACTTCACTCCCTTTGGTGAGTTCACAGGGTGAGCCTGAAGGCAGACTGACGCAGAGAAAACAGGGGTGCTATATTTCATCTTGATGTCAGTTCATCACAAAGAGTTTGCATCTTAGCTCTTACCAGAGGAGATGGGAACTAGAAGTTACCTCACTATCTATCTACCAATGATTGGTAACACAAGCTTAGATGCATAATACCGGATAGTGTTCACATGTAATCCTCCCTTTAAACATGTAGACAGAGAACATGACAAGGAAATGCAAAACAACTCCATGAAATCACTGAACAAAGCAGGATGTTCATCTTCTGATACTATTAGCATTTTGTATATATTTACATGCACCTCTATGCACAAAGCTGCCCATTTTGTTATAAATAATTTTTGTCAAGTTCAAGCCTCTTGGTTGTCTTTGTCTGTCTCCTCTTTCCCATTCAAGTGGTACCTTCCGAGAATACACCACAGATTACCAAGCTATGTCTGCTTCCACCGGTGCCTTAAAAATATCCTTAAAAAGGAAATGTGATTTATTAAGATATCTGTCTTTCCCACAGTTCCTTCATTCATTTGTGCTATCTCCTTTCCATGTGAACCTGTGGGACCAGTCAGAATGCCTTGCTCTAGTTCATAGCTTGTATCTGCAAAGATGCCAGTCTGTTATTACTACACACGGACACAGTTGCATTTTGCTTTAGGGTTTCTTTAGAGTGTGCATACTCCAAACTCACTGTTTACTTCCAGATGACCGGCACAGGATACTTTTCCTCTTTTTTTTTTTTTTTTTTTTTTTTTTTTTTGAGATGGAGTCTCGCTCTGTCGTCCAGGCTGGAGTGCAGCGGCGTGATCTCAGCTCACTGCAAGCTCCGCCTCCTGGGTTCATGCCATTCTCCTGCCTCAGTCTCCCAAGTAGCTGGGACTACAGGCGCCTGCCACCACACCCAGCTAACTTTTTCTATTTTTAGTAGAGACAGGGTTTCACCGTGTTAGCCAGGATGATCTCAATCTCCTGACCTCGTGATCCGCCCACCTCGGCCTCCCAGAGTGCTGGGATTACAGGTGTGAGCCACCGCACCCAGCCTTTTGTTTTTTAAAGAGACAGAGTCTTACTCTGTCACCCAGGCTGGAGTGCAGTGGCACCACCATAGCTCACTGCAGCCTTGAACTCCTGGGCTCAAGCAATCCTTCAGATTGATTCTATTAACTGGGGTATTACAAATCTCTCTCCCAACCTCACCTCACATACACAGAGGCTGCATGCCCATACACACGCACTCATAATAGTCTCACAGTTTCCCCTGAAAATAATCTGACAAATGTCTTACGCAGCATTGGGACCATGCCGTTAGGTGTTGAGTTTGATTTTTTTCAATAGTGTCCCAACATATTCCTCATGTGCAGAGATGAGAGTGTAGCATGGCCAAATGCCAAATTTCCAAGAGACATTTTGTCTTCGTCCATTTGTGTGAACCATGGACTATAACAAACCACCTGAGACTAGGTCATTTATAAACAATAGAAATTTACCTCTCACAGCTCTGGAGGCAGGGAAGTCCAAGATGAAAGAGCCAGAAAGGTGAGTATCCGGTGAGGGCCAGGTCTCAGCTTCCAAGGCAGCCCCTCCTTGCTGTTTCCTCTTGAGGGGAGTGACACTGGGCCCTCACATGTCAGAAAGGGGAGGGGCAGAAAGGGTTCTAGCGTGTTCTCTCCAGCTGGCTCCTAAGATCACTAATCGTTCATGAGGTAGAGCTCTCATGACCTTACCACCTCCCAAAGGCCAAACCTTTGCAAGCTATTGCACTGAGGATTCAGTTTCAACATGACTTGTTTTTTGTTTTGTTTTGTTTTGAGACGGTCTTGCTCTCTTGCCCAAGCTGGAGTGCAGTGGCACCAACTTGGCTCACTGCAACCTCTGCCTCCTAGGTTCAAGCGATTCTCCTGCTTCAGCCTCCCAACTAGCTGGGATTACAGGCACGACCATGCTCAGCTAATTTTTATAGTTTTAGTAGAGACGGGGTTTCACCATGTTGGCCAGGCTAGTCTTGAACTCCTGACCTCAAGTGATCCTGCCGCCCCAGCCTACCAAAATGCTGGGATTTGTGCTTGGCCTCCCAGAGTGCTGGGATTTGTTGAGCCACTGCACCCAGCCTCAACATGACTTTTGGAGGGGGCACAAACACTCAAAGCATATTGGATGTCACAGTCACTCTCCCTATGTTCAAGGTAAGGTCATGTAGTCTGTGGCCCAGGTGTAGGCCATCAGGCCCCATGATTGCAAGGTTGACCCTGTGGCATGTTGGCAAGCAGCAATGCCAGGCCACGCTCAGGCACACTGGCAAGGGGTTTTGCATTGGGAGGGCAGGAGAGTTACAGAGATTACTTCCTCTGGTAATCTGGGGAGAACTGGTATCCTTTTCTCTTCTCATCAGCACCTGGACCATGGGCCACCATGCATGTGCATCTTGACACTCTTAGGGGTCAGGAAAGCATGTGTGGTGGCAGCAAGTGAAGGAGCAGCACAGGAAAGGGATGCAGGTACTACCCTTCCTGAATGCCTTGTTAGGCAACTGGAGTGCCACACTCACCTCCCTCAGTTGTCTCCTGCCTTTCCACAAACCTCACAATAGGCCATCTGCATGCCCAAGCCAGGGGTGTGCAGTAACAAACAATAGTCTGTAGGGATGTTCCATGCAGCCAGTGATGATAATCAGAGAGCTCCAGCCAGACCTTTGGAAAGTGGGGCTCAAATGCTGATCAGTTCGTCACTGTACAGTGACTGTCAAGTGCTGTACAGTGTGGTCACTACCTGTACAGGTGGGAGCCTCAGAGACCACCTGCCAAACAGGCTGAGCCCAAGTCAAGTCATGAAGGGATACAGCCAATGGGTGAGCACTCTTGTCCTGTGCACAACAGCATTTTAGAATGGGAAGAGATGCGACACTCACCTCCCCCAAGAAAAGTGCATTACAGCACAGGCCAAGTGCAAACCTGCCAGCAACTGGTGGTTCTGTCCAAGAAGCCTTTGCCATAATATGGAACCTGTCAGTTAGCTAAGAGCAGTTAGTTAAAATTGGACTGGATGACCCTGGCTTCGGATGGGCCATCCTGTTTATGCCAATGGTTGTAACTGCTTCCTTTTCACCCTGATGGTGAAGGAAGGATCCCCACCCCAATGCTATAGAAAGGTTGAACACTGAACGCCTGACACTGGACAGATAAGATCTAGGTGAGTTTGTCAGTCACACCAACTCTCAGAAAGGTGAGAAGGACACCACATGCTGGGAAGAGCCACACAGGGTTCGACTAGGGAGCAGAGTGGAAAAGGAGGGGTTGTGGCGAGCAGCTGTATTATCCAGAGTACAGTGACCACTGTTTGCTGTGGGAGGATGTGAGGGGTTTGGTGATAATTCCAAGAGCTGGCAGGGAAGCAAATCTTACTACTTAGGAATAAGCAGGAATTGTGCCTGGCCCCCCTGACAAGGAGGACTGTCTGCTAAGTTACCTCACCTGTGGAAGCAGAGTGGGGATGGAAATGAGGTTAGGTCATTTGAGGCCCTATTGGCTTCAGATGTCAAGAGAACCAAAAATACTAGTCCTTAATTTCAGGTCACAGTTACCATAATTTAAAATATATTAAGGATGTACAAAAGCAATTCAATTGTTCACTAATGATGATTTACATGTTCAGTCAGAAACATACAACTAACAAAAGAACACCTTAGTACAGAAACAAGATGTTCCTCAGGGTTGGTTGGTTGGTTATTTATTTACTTGATACACTTCATTTTTTAGAGTAGCTTTAGGGTTACAGAAAGTTGAGCAAAAAGTATAGAGAATTCTCATATAACCCTTTCCCCTCCCATCTTCCACAGGCTCCCCAATCATTAACATCTTGCATCATTATGGTTCATTTGTTACAATTAATGAGCCAACAGTGATACATTATTATTAACTGAAGTCCAGAGTTGACATTAGGGTTTACTCTGTGTTTTCCGTTCACTGTTTTCCATTCTCTGCGTTTTGACAAATTACAGTACCCTAGAGAGTACTTTCACTGCCTTAAAAATCACCTCTCTACCTGCCATCCCTCCTTTCCCCTCAACTCTCAGCAACCACTGGTCCTTTCACTGGCTCAATAGTTTTGCCTCTCCCAAAATGTCATATAATTGCAATCATACAAAATAGAAAGCCTTTTCAGATTGGTTTTCACTTAACAATAAGCATTTAGGGTTTCTCCGTGTCTTTTAATGACTTGATGTCCAATTCCTTTTTATCATCTACCTGAGGACTGTATCCTGCAATCCTGCTGTAATTGCTTATTAATGTCAGCAGGGTTTTTGTTATTTAGAATTCTCTACAAAGACAATCATGTTACTTGTGAACAAAGTTGTATTTCATCCTTTCAAATCTATGTGCATTTTATTTCTTTTTTTTTTAACACTGCATTATATAGCACTTCCAGTACAATGCTGAAAAGCAGTGGTGTGGTGTTCCTTGCCATGTTCCTGATCTTAGTAGGAAAGTGTCTAGTTGGAAACATCAAGGATAATGTTAGCTGTAGGGTTTTTTGTAGTATGTTCTTTACCAACTTGAGTAAGTTCTCCTGTATTCCTTCTGTGTTGAGAGGTTTTAACATGAATGGATATTGGATTTTGTCAAATGCTTTTTCTGTACCTATTGATATGATCGTATTTCATCTTTGAGCTGCTAATGCATGCAATGGATTACACTGAATATCAAATGTTGAACAAGCCTTGCATTCCTGATTTGCTAATATTTTGAGGATTTCTGCATCTGTGTTCAATGGAAATATTGATCTGTAGTTTTCCTTTCTTGTAATATCTTTGCCTGGTTTTGCTATTAGGGTAATACTGGCCTCACAAAATGAGTTGGGAAGTGTTATCTCTGCTTTTATTTTCTGAAAGAGATGGTAGAGACTTGGTATCATTTCTACCTTAAGTATCTCAAAAACACATCAGTGAACCCAGCTGGTCCTGGCACTTTGTTTTGGAAAGTTTCATTATTATTTTTTGAGATGCAGTCTCATTCTGTCACCCAGGCTGCAGTACAGTGGCACAATCTCAGCTCACTGCAACATCCACCTCCCAGGTTCAAGTGATTCTTCTGCCTCAGCCTCCTGAGTAGCTTCGACTACACACGCATGCCACCATGCCCAGCTAATTTTTTGTATTTTTAGTAGATAGGGGGTTTCACCATGTTGACCAGGCTGGTCTCGAACTCCTGACCTTGTGATCCACCCGCCTCAGCCTCCCAAAGTGAAGTGCTGGGATTACAGGCATGAACCACTGTACCTGGCCTTGGAAGGTTATTAATTACTGCTTTGGTTTATTTAATAGATACATATGCCTATTGAGGTCTATCTTGTGTGAGCTTTGAGAGAATGCGTCTTGCAAGGAATTGGTCCATTTTAGCTAAGTTATCAAATTTATGGACAGAGTTGTCCATGTTTCTTTCTAATCCTTTTGGTGACCATAGGATTAGCTGTGATGGCCTCTTTCATTTTTGGTATTAGCAATATTTGTCTTCTGTTTGTTCTTAAGCTAGCTAGAGGTTTATCAATTTTACTGACCTTTTCAAGGAACCAGTTTTGGGTTTTATCGATTTTCTCTTTTCAATTTCAATGATTTTTACTCTAATGTTTTTTCAGGTTACTTTGGATTTAATTTGCTCTTCTTTTTCTAGTTTCCTAAAGTGGAAGCTTAGATTACTTGTGTAATCTAGGATCACTAGACTGTATAATCTTAGATTATTTGTATGATCTGATCATGTAATATAGTGTACAATCTTCACACTATCAATAAAAGCCCCACACCAGCTTGATTCTGGTTCTGCTCCAGCCTCAACCCTCCTCTTCATATTCTCAAAAGTCTGAGGGCCCAGATCCCTGTCTGGGGACAATGAGCCTTGAAATGACAGTCCAACAGCCCTGGGCAGCCCTGGGCTGTATGTGTGGGCCTTTCCAGGGCCCTGTCTTGGAGAGCAGCTGCTTAAAGAAAATTTGGACTACCACTTATGCTGAAGGCTGGAATGTTCACATATGTACCCTAGGCACTTCATGGCATGGCATGAGCCACAGGTAGGAAGAGAAAGGGAGTAACATGGAGGCGAGCCTAGATCTTCACATGTACAGGATAGATTTTTTTTAGATAATTTGTTATTTTGATTTATACCTTTTAAATGGATAAACATTAGCTCTGTGGGTCTCCTTTTAAATTGTTTCAGGACATCACAAACATCTGGGATGGGCCTGATAATGTAACCACTACTAAACTAGGATACCTACTTCCTATTCACAATTACGTTAAATTCCATTATGCATATGAAACACACGATTTATATCACATACCACTTATACATATATAAGTCTTTTGAACTTCAGGGATAATTCGCAGATGTGCTTAATGCTATTGCCCTGATTATTCAATTTATCTGTGCTTTAAAAAAACTTCATAGTCAAGTGGATGCAAGGGATAGGGTTGCAGAAAGCGTGTGGTTATTAATACAAAAAGGGAACTACTTGAGGCTAAATCCTTTGTAATCCTGATACAGTACAGATCTCAGATTCCTTTTCAGTTCTGTAAACTAATCGTGTTGATGGTTACTCAAATGTAAAAGTCGTAAAAGTTTGATATAACCACACACACACACATACACGTACACACACACACAGAGTGCATGCAAACCATAGTAAAATCTGACTAAGTCTCTATCTACCAGCAAGGTAACATCGATTTCTTGGACTTGACCATATACTATGATTATACATTATCCTTAGAGGAAGTTTGGTGAAGTGTACATGGGAATTCTCTCTACTCATTAAACTTCTTGTGAGGTTATTTTAATTATTACCTTTGTTTAAGTTCTTAAAGCTTTACATTCCACAATATACATCTATAAATTATTGTTAGGTGCCCTAAAAACTATTATGGCATCAAACTCAAAACATAACTTGTCGTATTTTATTTCTAAGCAAAATTTTCACTTTAGATTTCTTAAATTGACAATTTTCTCCTCAGTGTAAATTCTAACATAACCTTATTTGCATTTTTGCCAAAAACTTTCACAAATTCAAAAAAAATCTGTAAGGTGTTATGCCCGTATTAACCATCTGATATTACATAGAATATCACTTCCTAACAAAAGCTGTCCTATAATTGTTGTAGTCTATGGGTTTATCCCCTACTATTACTTTGGAGTAACATAAGGTGAGTTTGTGGATAGTTACTGAACATTCAGGATGTCATCAGGGCTTTCTCCACAGTGTGAATACTCTGAGGCATTATGGAGGCTGACTTGTGGCTGGAAATTTCTAATATCCATTTCATTCATAAGGTTTTCTCCTATATGTCTTCTCTGATGTACAATGAGATTTGACTTTTGAGAGAAAGTTTTCCTGCATGTGTTACATTCATAGGGCTTTTCCCCTGTATGTGATCTCTGATGTTGAGCAAGTTCCGATTTACGGTAAAAGATTTTTCCACATTCATTACATTGACAAGATTTCTCTCCTGTGTGAGCCCTGTGATGTACTGTGAGTGATGATTTGTGCCTGAAGAATTTCCCACATTCATTGCATTCATAGGGTTTCTCCCCCGTGTGCTTTCTCTCATGGAAAATAAGTCCTGATTTTACACAGAAAGATTTTCCACATTCATTACATTTATAGGGCTTTTCTTGTGTATGGGTTCTCTGATGTACAATTAGAGCTGACTTATGGCAGAAAGCTTTTCCACACTCATTACATTTATAGGGTTTCTCCCCTATGTGAATTCTCTGATGCTGAGTGAGTTGTGACTTCTGGTAGAAGGCTTTTCCACATTCATTACATTCATAGGGTTTCTCCCCTGTATGTGTTCTATTATGTTTAGTTAGGTATGATTTATTGTAAAAGATTTTTCCACATTCATGACATTCGTAGGGTTTCTCCCCTGTGTGTGTTCTATAATGTTGAGAGAGGGTTGACTTATGGCTAAAGAATTTCCCACATTCGGGACATGCAAAGGGTTTCTGCCCTGTGTGTGTTCTCTGATGTACTGTGAGGTCTGACTTCAAGCAGAAGGTTTTCCCACATTCATAACATTCATAAGGTTTCCACCCTGTATGAATTATCTGATGCCTGGTGAGTAATGACTTGTGGTAGAAAGTTTTCCCACATGCATTACATTCATAAGATTTATCTCCTATGTGAATTCTCTGATGCTGTGTAAGATTTGACTTTTCACTAAAGGATTTCCCACACTCAAGACATTCAAAAGGTTTCTCACCTGTGTGAGTTCTCTGGTGTACTTTAAGGTGCGAAGTCACACGGAAGGATTTTCCACATTCATAACATTCATAGGGTTTCAGCCCTGTGTGTGTTCTCTGATGTTTAGTGAGGTCAGATTTCTGGCAAAAAGTTTTCCCACACGCATTACATTGATAGGGTTTCTCCCCTGTATGTGTTCTCTGGTGTAATGTGAGGGCTGACTTATGGCTAAAGGCTTTCCCACATTCATTGCATTCAAAAGGTTTCTCCCCTGTGTGTGATCTTTGATGTTTAGTGAGGTTTGACTTATCCCAGAAAGCTTTTTCACATTCATTACATTGAAAGGGTTTCTGTCCTGTGTGCACCCTCTGATGTCGAGTGAGATGTGACTTCTCCCAGAAAGCTTTCCCACATTCATTACATTCAAAGTGTTTCTCTCCTTTATCACCTTTCTGAAGGTGTGACAGACACAATTTCCTCCTGAAATTATTCCCACTTTCACCACAATCATAGTGTTTCATAGATACCCCATGAGGTTTAGAAAGGGTGGACTTCACACATAAGAACTTCTCACAATCACTAAATTCATAGTGATTGTCCCTTGACGGAGATATCTGATGGAACAAGAGGGATGAACTATCACACAAAGTTCTCCCAAATTCATTATAATCACAGTTATTCTCTTCTGCGTTCTCTCTCTTCTGTGTATTGAATACTGCCTTTTCAAGGAGGGTTTCCTGACATATACTGTATTCAAAATTGTGCTCTAAAGTTTGAATCTTCTCATGCTGCAAAGTCTCCTCATGATGACTCAGTGTGTTCCTATTTTTCAAAACTTCATTTTTCTCTTGAGTATGAGTTTCATCATGCTTAATATTGAGTAACAATTTCCCACAGGCATTAAATTCATCAGACTTTTTTCCTAAATAGTTTATCTTACTGATAACCAATTCTGAAACAGTGTTGAAACTCATTCCACATGAATCACACTGACAGAACATTTTTCTGGAAGGAAAAGAACTTACATCCACATTAAATGGTATTCCTATTACATCACCTTGTTCCTTAGTCAGCATTTCATTATTGATGAATACAACTTCCCACAAATGTTTAGATTGGTTTTCTTGGCTCCTCTCTTTCAGGTGATCAGCTGTCCAGACTTCTAGAAACAAGCAAAATTAATCTTACCACATAAATACCAAAACATTTCTTAGGGAATGAAATCGCTAAACAAATGCCCCATGTTGCAGCTGACTGGTTTTTTGGCCAGTTTCCAGAGATGAACATAATTGCAAGTGCATATTTTTTGTATTTCATGGGTTTGGGGTCAAAAAACAAAAACAAAAACCAGAAACAAAAGTCCTAGGCTAGTGGAAAAACAGAGAGGAATTTAACTATTGAAGGCACACATTTGGTTTCTAGTGTAAGAAGAATAATAGCAGCTGCTTACATCTGCGTTTCCCCATGCATCCTCCCAAGAATTATAAAGGTCACCATAAGTGGAGCAAATAACACTATCTAAACAATCCATGACTTTAACATAACTAGGAGATGGAGAATATTACTAATTTCAAATCACCACTAAGCAACAGATACTCAAATACAGAAAAAAGTGACAGCCCATGCCTACAAAGAGAGTCAGCCAGAGACTGTGGTGATTACATGGAATAGAGGAGACACACAGCCCAGAGAGGATGAAACACAAAACTACTCCCAGAAAGGGAAAGTTTCACTATGAGTGGGAAAATACTCAGAAGATGTCTGAGTTCACGTAGATTAAAGCTCAGGTTAGTGGGAAATCCAAGAGAAGAGACTTGGACTGTATGCAAACTAAAGAGGCAAAGGGTAATCAAACTCAGGAATGAAGTTGTAAAGAGGGCAGAGTAATCACAGAAAATAAGACTTGTAATTCAAGTCTTATTAAGACTTATTAAAGACATTCCTTATTAAGGAATCTGTTATGGACTAAACTGTGCCCCCCAAAAATGTGTATGTTAAAACCCCAACCTCCAGTGTGACTGTATTTGAAGATGGGGACTTTAAGGAGATTAACTAAGGTTAAATGAGGTCATAAGGGTAAGACACAAATACAATGGCATTGGTGTCCTTATAAGAAGAAGAGGATACTGGAAAGCACATGCATGAGCTCTCTTTCTCCCCCAACCCACCACCCCCAACCACTGGTCATATGCACAGAGAAAAGGCTGTGTGAGGACACCAGAAGAAAATGCCATCTGCAAGCCAAGGAGTGAGACCTAACCAGAAACCAACCCTGCTGGCACCTTGACTTTAGACTTCCAGCCTCCACAATTGTGAGAAAATTTATTTAAGCTACCCAGTCTGTTGAATTTTGTTACAGCAGCCTGAGTCAACTAATACAGAGCCAAAGGGGAAACTACACTTGACTGAAACTTGAATAAACAGCATTGCAAAGGAGAATGAAACAAGAAAAAGAAGAAGCAATAATTTTAAAAGAGTAAGAAAAAAGAAAATTGGATCAGAAAGAAAGTTCTGGATAAAGATGGTCTACAATTAAATAAATAAATAAAATTATAATATAGTATATATGTTATTGCAGTCCTTAAAGAAGAAAAAACAACAGAATAAATCTAATATTAAAAAGTATAATCTAAGAAAACTGTCCAAAAATAAAAGACCTGATCCACATATTCAAAGGAACCATCATGAACCTGGGAAAAATGTTCAGCAACAGTTTTCTCCAAAACATAGCTTAATAAAACTACTAGATGTGAAAATTGAAGAAAAAGTACTCTGGACAAAAAGACCAAGTCTCAGCAAACTTTTACTTTGAGTCTTGAAATCAGGTAATCCTATCCATACAACTCAGCTTTTATTTTTCAAAGTTTTAGTTACTCTAGAAGTAGAGTAACTAAAGTAGACAAGTTTCCTGTCTACTTCCACATAAAGTTTAGAATTACGTACTCAATTACTACAAGAAATCCTGCTAATTACTACATGGAATTATATTATTTTGAATCTATAAGTCATGTTAACAACAAAACATGTTAGCAATATTGAGCTTTCTGACATAAGCAGGGAGTTCCACTTGTTTAGGTCTTCAATTTCTCTCTGCAGTGGGTTATTGTTTCTAGTGTGGTCTTTCACATCTTTTGCCAGACATAGCTGCAAAAAAAATATTTTTGATACTATTGCAAATGGAACTTTTAAAAATTTCAAGTTCCAATTGATCATTGCTAATATATAGAAGTAAAATTCATTTTTACATATTTTTCTCCTGCCACCTAGCTACACTTAATAATTATAGTCATTATTTTTCCCATTCTTTTTCTTGGGTGACTCCATTAGATTTCCTACATAGATAATATTATCTTTTGTGAATAAAGACATTTCTACTTCTTTTCTATTCTAATCTCCTTTCTTTTTCTTCCCTGGTTATACTAAGTAGTATATATTACACTATCAAGTATGGGTGGACATCCTTGTCATGTTCCTGATATTGGAAAGAAATCATTCCGTTGTTCACAATTATATACAATGTCAATTGTACATTTTCTATAGATGACTTTTATCAGATTAAAGAAAGTTATCTTCTATTCTTCATTTGAGAGTTTTAATCAGAAATGGATGCTAAATTTTGTCAAATGCCTTGTCTGCATATATTGAAATGGTCATATGGATTTGACTTTTTTTCTGTTTTTTTCTTTTTAATACAGGGCAGAGATGACTACATAATTGATGGGGCCAGTGCAAAATAAAAATGTGAGGCAGTTACTCAGAATGTATAAAAAGAAGTATAGTAAAAGGTAAAATAAATTATGCTTTTTTCTTTTAATATATTTTATTACTTGTAAAATGTAATAGGTATAATCGTAATATATAATAACAAATTTACAAATCACAAAAAAAGTTTTGTTGCAATAACTTTAAATGATACAATAATTACTAATAGTTTTTAATATGATATCTTGATTGATCATAAGATTTTCTGGCCCTCTTTTTGCAAATTCATTTAAGTCATCAAAATTTATATTTTTAGCAACTTTATTTTCAATATATAATTGAAAGTAACATGTATTCTTGGCAAATGCATGGTAAGTAATTTTTGCTCATTTTTAATTTTGAGAAGGTTGATTTTTCAGCTGATGCGATCATTAGGAACCTGTTGGTTCTTTATACGTTGTGACAATATGGGTTAAATTTCTGATTTCTGATACATTGTTGCACAATAAAAGTTAAAAAAATACAAGTTTCGGTATATATAAAGACTGGAGTAGCAGTACTCTGAAATTAATTCTTCGTGAATATTAGTTTTGTACAAAGCAGAATTCAATTTTACATGTAAATTTATACAATGGCATTTTAATGTTTCCTCTGACATTTCCTACATCTTGTACAAGAAACCAAAAATGGCTTCATGATTTGCATATATAACTGGAAACACCTGTTTATGCAGTGTATTGCTGTATTTTCAAATGTAAAAAAAAAACTATTTTTAAAATTGACTTCTTTGTTAATACTTGATTCATCCAAAATTTTATATGAAAATCATGTTCTCTCCCATCAAATGAAATTCCTATTTCTAAGCCTGTGGATATTTGCTTTGCAATGTTGCAGCAGTTCTTAAGACCAGAGAATCTACACTCCAAAGAATTCTAGGAACTGCCTAGTGTGCCTTAACACAATGTCCACAAGTATGCTTTTATTTTCTAATACTTTACTGACAATGGTGACTGCCTGAAAGCTGGAAGTTACTGCCCCAGTATTCAGCCCAGAAAATTAGTATTTCCTAAGAATGTCAGAGGGACAGGCTCAGGGGAGAGACAAGCAAGCCAGCCTCACACTGTGGGTCCTCTCTGGGGTGCAACTGTTTGTGAGTTTGCTGCTGCTGCAACCAATGCAGACAAAGGTCATGGCCCTGGCTACCCACACACAATTCCAGGACACTCCCAGGCCATACTACACAGACCAACAGCTTAGTAGGGCAGTGCCTCTCAAGTATCCTGTCTACTTGCACACATAGTCCAGTGTCCATCAGACTTTACATACAAATCACAAGTTCAAAGATAAAACTGTGAAGAACTTCAAGATGGCAACAACAGGGCATTAAGCCAAGTACAGGATCCCTTCTTACAAGAGTGCAGCAACATGTGACTGCACAGGTCACCTAGCTATGAAGTTGGCCTAGACACAGGGAATTACACTGACTGCTTTTCAAATGTTGAAAAAGCCTGCCAGGGATTAACCACATTTGGTCATGAGGTATTAATAACCATGTTATACACCACTGGTTTCCAATCCCTAGAGTTTTTGAATTTATGTTCATGAAGGACACCGGTCTATAGCTTTCTTTCCTTGCAGTGTCTTTGTCTCGTTTTGTTATTAGGGCAATGCTGGACTCAAAGAATGATTTAGGAAGTATTCCCTCTTCTTGAATTTTCTGGAAAAGTCTGTATAGAAGTGGTACTATTAATTGTTTGCTGGAATTCACTACTGAAGCATCTGGGGACCTGGGGTTTTCTTTGTGGAAAGGTTATCTATTTGTTTTGAAGTAAGCAGTAGTAGCTGTTTATTTGAAGGAAACTGTTCATTTCATCAAAATCGTCAAATTGATAACTTACAGGTATAGTATTTCCTCACTTCCTCACAGAATCTTCAGTGATTCATCATTCTTATTTTTGATATTGATAATCTGTTCCACCTAGAAGTTTATCCATTTTATCGATCTTCTCAATGAAACAGCTTTTGGTTTCACTGATTTTCTAAACTGTTTTTCTGGTTCTACATATTATATTGTTCTCCATTTTGTTTTTTGTTATTTCCTTTCTTCTTCTACTATATGGATTTGTCTTCTTTTCTACATTCTCAAAGTGGAAGTAGCTAAGACCATTGATTTAGACCTTTCTTCTTATCCAACACAAGTTAAACTTCATACATGTGTATATTAGATATATACATATACATAAATACATACACATATGAAATTCCCTATATGTGAAATTTACACAATATACATTACACATAATACATTATATCCCATATAGGAGAAACTTCATATATGCATTTACATATGGTAGATATATACGCACATAATACAAACACACACAATGCATATTTGTGTTGCCTAAGAAAGATCTCAAATCAATGACCTCAGGTGCTTCCACCTTAAAAAGCTAGAAAAAAGCAAATTAGACCCAAAAGTAAGTAGAAAAAAGGAGTAAGGATCAAAATGGAAAACAATGAAATCAATGAGTATTATAGGTATTTTATATTTGCTATACCTAAATTTCCTATATGTAAATTTCCCATAAATTCTGTTTTCATTAACCCAAAGTTCAAAATACTTTCTAATTTCCCCTTTGAACTCTTCTTTGAAGAATCCATTATGTAGAAGTATATTCAGTTTCCAACTATTAGGGATTTTATAGATAGTTCTGTTATTGATTTTTAATTTAACTAAATTTAAACCCCTTATGGTGGGAGAAAATACTCTATATGACTTCAATCCTTTTACATTTATTAAGATTTGCTTTATAATCAAGAATGTGATTTACCTTTGTTAATATATTCATTCATCTGCCCTTGAAAAGAATGTATATTCCACTGTTTTATTTGGGGAGGAGGGTGCAGAAGATATTTTATAAATGTCAATTAAGTTATTTAGGGTTAAGTCTATTATATCTTTGCTCCTTTTCCTTTTCCTGTTTTATCAATTATTAAAAGGATGCTAAAACCTCTGATTATAACTGTGGATCTATTTCTCCTTCCAAGTCTATCAGATTTTGCTTCAAATATTTTGTAAATCCATTACTAACCTAAAGCTTAGGATTGTTAAATCCTCTCGATGAATGGATCTCTATCGATATGAAAAAAATCTTTATCACTGGTATTCCTGGCTCTGAAAGCTATTTCATCTGGCTGTCACATCACTGCAGCCTTGTGAATAATTTTACCATTCTATATCTTTTCCCATTCTTTTTGTTTATCTGTCTTTGAATCTAACATGTTTCCTTTGTAGGCAGCATGACTGGATCTTATTTTTATTTATCTTATCAAGAAATCTCTGTCTTTAAATGGGGTGTTTTAGACCATTTATATTTTCTGTGATCATCAATGTTTATAAAAGCTTTTGCAGTGTACTTTTCAGAAATAGTACATATATGGATCTTCCAATAGTATATACTTTACTTCTTTTTCACAGCCTTTTTAGGCTATGTTTGTCATATATTTTAAATGTTATAAAACCCACAATACATTTGATGTTATTTTTGTATAAAGACAATATACTTTTTAGAGATTTACATGAAGAAAAATATCTTGTATACATATCCAAGTAGTCAATATTTCCTGTCCTTCATCCCCCTAGGTAGATCCAGATTTCCATCAGACATCAGAACACCTCTTGTGGTGCAGGTCTGCTGGAGAGGAAATCTTTCAGCTTTGTTTAACTGGAATGTCCTTACTTCTTCACTGTTTCTTATAGCTATTTTTACTGAGTATATAACTCTACGTTGAGTTTTTTTGCTTTTAAAACTAAAAATAATGTTCTACTCTTTTCTCTGTTGCCTCATTTAAGGAGAAATCTGCTATCAACCTTTCCTTTGTTCCTCCATAAAACATGTCCTTTGTCTCTGACTGCTTTGAGGATTTCATTTTAACACTGATTTAGAGCATTCTGGTTATGACTCATGTGGCTTAGTGTAGTTTTCTTCATGCCTCTTGTGCTCAGGGTTTGATGAGCTTCTTAGATCAGTAAGTTCCCATCACATTTGGACATTTTTTCATCATCTCAAAATATTGTTTTCTGTTCTTTTCCCACTTTCCTTTTACAGACTCCAATTCCATGTGTGTTAGAGACTACTTGAAGTTCTCTTAAAGCTCACAGGGGCTTGCTTTTTTTTTTTTTTTTTTTTTTTTTTTTTTTTTTTTTTTTGAGACAGAGTCTTGCTCTATCGCCAGGCTGGAGTGCAGTGGTGCAATCTCGGCTCACTGCAACCTCCGCCTCCCATGTTCAATGATTCTCCTGCCTCAGCCTCCCGAGTAGCTGGGACTACAGGCGCCTGCCACCACGCACAGCTAATTTTGTACTTTTAGTAGAGATGGGGTTTCACCATGTTGGCCAACATAGTCTCGATCTCTTGACCTCGTGATCCACAGGCCTTGGCCTCCCAAAGTGCTGGGATTACAGGGGTGAGCCACCACACCCAGCCCAAGGGCTTGCTTATTTTTCACATATGTTTTTTCTCTGTTTCATTTGGATGGCTTCTATTACTATGCTAAGTTCAGTAATCTTTTTCTTCTGCAATGTTTAAACTGCCATTAGTTGTTGCCCTATGTGTTATTCTTTTTTTTTTTTTTTTTTTTTTTGGCAGGGGTGGGGGGAGACGGTCTCACTCCATCACCCAGGCTGCAGTGCAGAGGTGCAATCTTGGCTCACTGAAACATCACCTCTCAGGCTCAAGTGATCTTCCCACCTCAGCCTCCCAAGTAGCTAGGACCACAGGCATGCACCACCACACCCAGCTAATTTTTTTGCTGTTGCATTTTTGGTACAGACAAGGTTTCACCATGTTGCCCAGGCTGGTCTCAAACTCCTGAGCTCAGGAGATCCTTCCCTTGGCCTGCCAAAGTGCTGGGATTTATAGGCATGAGACAACAATGGCTGGCCATGTATTTCTCATGTCAAGCATTATAGTATTCATTTCTAGAAATCTGATTTCTATCTTTTCTGTTATACTGAATTTTGATTTTTTTTTTAAATCTTCCGTGTCTCTACTTAAGTTTTAGAACATATGGAATCCAATTATAATACTATTTTCAATGAACTTGTCAGTTAATTCTAATATCTATGGCAATTCTGAGTCCATTTCAATTTCCTGGTTAGTCTCTTTGAGAAAGCTCATGTTTTCCCACATGTCTGTAAGTCTGGTAATATTTCAATGGACAGAAGACTGAGAGTTTTACTTGGTTGGATGTTGGGTCCTTTTGGCTTCCTATAAGTATTTTTGTGCTTTTTTCTAGGATGCACTTAAGTCACTTGGAAACAATGTGACACTTTCAGGTCTTGCTTTTATGATTTCTTAGGCAAATCTGGAGCAGTGCTCAGTTTGGGGCACATTACTCCTCACCACGGAGAAAAGACCTTTCTGAACACTCTACCCAATACTCTGAATTACGAGTTTTTCCACTCTGGCTGGCAGGATCAGTCCTTTTCCAGGCCCTATGTGAGTATTGTGTACTGTTCCCTTTGATTCTTTTCAAAAGTTATTTCACTCATTTCCTCATATACATGAGCCGATTAGTACTTTGCTGAACATTCATGGAGGCCCCTTTACAGATCTCCAGACCTCTCTCTGTGTGCATCTATCTCCTGCAAGCCACCAGTGCTCCTCAACCCCTACAGCTTCAAATTCTAGAAAAGAACTGCCAAAAGGCCTTGAGCCAGCTTCCTCCACCACCCCAATTAAAATATCCAGCCCAGTCATGGCAGTCTGAGAATAGCGGAGTACAATGCCCACCTAGGTCATTGAGAAGAGATTCCAAAAGAAACCAAGAAGACCAGAGACTACTGCCCCAACCCAGATCCCTGATCATAAAGCACAGTATCACTCACCCAGAGAAAAGCAAAACACTGCTGTAGCCTCTAGATCCTGAATAATGGAGCAGGACTCTCACCTAGGGCCAGCTGTAAGGACAGAGAGTTCCCAAACTCTCCTCCAGAAAACTCACTTTGTTCAGAGCAGAGTGTGGGTGAGTGCAAGCCTAAGGTCACCCTCAAAAAGAATGGAAATTCAATGATAACCAATTAAGAAGAGGGTGGCAGTTCTATGACAGCAACAAGCTAAACCACAGACCAACTGAAAGTTTACTGGAGAGAGCAAGGGAAAGAGATGGCTAAGAAGAGACATCCAGGGCAATTAGATGTGTTCCTATCTACCAGAAACACTCATACAAACACATACACAGATTTTCTACAGTAATGATTTTTAAATTTATGTTTTCTAGGAGGTGACTTTCAGAATGGCAACATAAAAAGCAAACTCAAAGCCTCAAAGACAACCCTCTAGAAGGAACCCAAATTTAACAAGAGCAAACTAAGAGCAACATATGGTCCAGGACAGTGTTGAAAACAATAGAGCAATACGTCAGCAATCAGTAGCGGCTATCAGCAAAGTATAACAGCAACAGAGGCAGACAGGCTAACACAGCAATCACAGAAAGAGACACTCAGAGAGCACTGTTAACACCACTGCCATCCCAAAGATAGTGTGCATTTCCAAGGAGGAGCCCTCTGATAAGCAACATCAGTGAGAACCCAATGGGAGTGAAAAAGCTTCTCTCAAATAGTACAGTCAAGTCACCTAAATAAATAACAACAAGCCCTAGAGAGAATAGAGGAACCAGTATCTAGAGGAAGCACAAAGTATTCTCTAAAATGTCTATACTTCAACAAAAAAATTACAAGACATACAAAGAAACAGGACACTGTCACCTACATACAGGAAAAACGACAGGCAACAGCAACTGCCCTTGAGAAGACCCAGCTATCAGACTTAGCTGACCTCAAAGCAGCTATTATAAATATGTTCGGGCCAGACACGGTGGCTCACGCCTGTAATCCCAGTACTTTGGGAGGTCGAGGCAGGTGGGTCACCTGAGGTCAGGAGTTCAAGATCAACCTGGTCAACATGGTGAAACCCCGTCTCTACTAAAAACACAAAAATTAGCTGGGCATGGTGGCAGGCACTTGTAATCCCAGCTACTCTGGAGGCTGAAGCAAGAGAATGACTTGAACCTGGGAGGCGGAGGTTGCAGTGAGCTGAGATCATGCCTCTGAACTCCAGCCTGGGTGACAGAGCGAGACTGTCAAAATAAAAAATAAAAATAAATATGTTCATAAGGAAACACTACTTAGAAAAGGGAGTATGATGATGCCTCATCAAACAGAAAATATCAATAAGAAGACAGAAAAGAATACAATGAAAATTCTGGATTCAAAAATTATAACTGCAATGGAAAACTCACTAGAATGACTCAACAAAAGATTGGGCCAGGCAGGGTGGCTCATGCCTGAAATCCCAGCACTTTGGGAGGCCAAGGCAGGTGAATCACCTGCGGTCAGGAGTTCAAGACCAGACTGACCAATGTGGTGAAACCCCGTCTCTACTAAAAACAGAAAAATTAGCTGAGTGTGGTAGCACACGCACCTGTAATCCCAGCTACTCTGGAGGCTGAGGCAAGAGAATTGCATGAACCCGGGAGGCAGAGGTTGCAGTGAGCTGAGATAGTGCCATTGCACTCCAGCCTGGGCAACAAGAGAGAAACTCCATCTCAAAAAAAAAAAAAAAAGAAAGAAAAGAAAAGAAAGGTTGTAGCTGGCAAAATAATCAGTAAACTTAAAGATGGATCAATAGAGATTAAGTAATCTAAAGAACAGAGAGAAATAAGAGTGATGAAAAATGAAGAAATGCTCAAAAAAATGAGGAACACCATTAACTACACCAATATATTCATAACAGAAGTACCAGAAGGAGTGGAGAAATATCAAGTAGCAGAAAAAATATTCAAACAAATGAATGGCTATGCTCACCTTGCAACACATATACTAAAACTGGAACAATACCAAGATTAGCACAGCAGCTACACAAGAATGACACACAAGTTCATGAAGTGTTGCATTAAACAAAAAAAAAAAAAAAGAGGCCAAAAACTTGCACATCTGTTGACGAAGAGAAAATCTTGAAAGCATCAAGAGAAATACAACTTCTCACATGAAGGGAATGTCCTAAGATTAACATATGGCTTCTCATCAGAGACTACGTAGAGGCCAGAAGGAGGCAGGATGACATATTCAGTGACTGAAAAAAAAATTTTTTTTTTTGCAATGAAATACCTTTTATTCATACAGGAAATTATTTCTTTGATCTTCACCACAATACTGGTGGAGTTGTTGGGGGGAGGTGGGGAAAATATTGTGTTCCCAGTTGTCAAATAAAGAAGCTAAGACTTACAGAATTTGACCTGGGGTCACACAGCTATTTTTTTTTTAATTTTATTATTATTATACTTTAAGTTTTAGGGTACATGTGCACAACGTGCAGGTTTGTTATATATGTATACATGTGCCATGTTGGTGTGCTGCACCCATTAACTCGTCATTTAGCATTAGGTATATCTCCTAATGCTATCCCTCCCCCCTCCCCCTACCCCACAACAGTCCCTGGTGTGTGATGTTTCCCTTCCTGTGTCCATGTGTTCTTATTGTTCAGTTCCCACCTGTGAGTGAGAACATGCTGTGTTTGGTTTTTTGTATTGTGACAGTTTGCTGAGAATGATGGTTTCCAGCTTTTTTAATAACCTGTCACCTAAAATAGCAGAACTATTTGCAAAACAGAGGGTGAAAATTTAAAATCCTCAAATTAAAAAACAAATAGAAACCAAAAAAACTTGAGAATCCATTGCAAGTACACTAACCATAAAAGAAAGAAAAGAAGTTCTTTAGGGTGAAAACAAGTGATTTCAAACACTAGTTCAAATCCACAATTATTGTGGGTAAAGGCAATGATACGAGAGAGTAAAAAAGGCACATTTTTTCTCCTTTCTTTTCCTACCCAATTTAATAAGCAAATATGTATAAGTCAATGTTTATAACTGTATTGTTGGACCTATAACATATAAAAATGCAATGTATTTAACAATAAGACAGGCCAGGCACAGTGGCTCATGCCAGTAATCCCAACACTTTGGGAGGCTGAAGCAGGAGAATCACTTAAGCCCAGGATTTCAAGATCAGCTTAGGCAACATATTGAGACACCATCTCTAAAAAATAATTTGTTTAATAAGCTGGGCACAGTGGTGCACACCTATAGTCTCAGCTATTCAGGAGGCTGAGGTGGGAGTATTGTTTGAGCCCAGGAAGTTGAGGCTGCAATGAGATGGGATCCTACCACGGCACTCCAGCCTCGATGACTCAGAGAGACCTTGTTTCAAAAAAAAAATAAATAAATACATTGATAAACAAGGAAACAAATAACAAAGCAAAAAAAAAAAAAAGAATAAAGCAAAAAAATAGAGTGGCTGGGTGTGGTGGCTCACGCCTGTAATCCCAGCACTTTGGGAGGCCAAGGCAGGCAGATCACCTGTGGTCAGGAGTTCAAGACCAGCCTGGTTAACATGGCAAAACCCCATCTCTACTAAAAACACAAAAATTAGCTGTGGTGGCACATGCCTGTAATCCCAGCTACTCGGGAGGCTGAGACAGGAGAATCGCTTGAACCCAGGAGGCAGGAGGTTACAGTGAGCCCAGATGGTGCCACTGCACTCCAGCCTGGGCAACAAAGTGAGACTCCCAGGGGAAAAAAAAAAAAGACAGAGGAACAAATCTGTGCCAGAGTAAGGAAATTACACTAGATGGTAACTCTGAATCCACACAAACAAATGAATTGAAGCAGAAATGATGAATAAGAAGGTTAGTATAACAAACTCTACGAATAGATACTTCCTATCTTTCTTTCAGCTTCTTTAAAAGACATCAACACATGAACACAGGGAGGGGAACAACACACACTGGGGCCTGTTGAGGTGTGGGGGCAAGGGGAGGAAACTTAAGAAGATGGGTCAACCACCATGGAACACATATACCTATGTAACAAACCTCCACATTCTGCACATGTATCACAGAACTTAAAGTAAAAAAACAACAACAACAACAACAAAAAGCCATCAAATGACATAAAGTAACAATTACAGGTTGAGTATCCCTTATCTGAAATGCTTGGCATCAAAAGTGTTTCTCACTTTAGATTTTTTCCAAATTTTGGAATGTTTACATTATACTTACTGGTTGAGCTTCCCAAATCCAGAAATCTAAAATCTGAAATGCTCCAACAAGCATTTCCTTCTAGCATGTTGAGCATGTTGGCACTCAGTTTCAGATTTGGGAGCATTTGAGATTTTCGGATTTGGGATGCTCAGCCTGCATACAATGTATTGTTGGGTTTTAAATATATATGTAATATATATAAAAATAACAAATAGAGAAGAGAAAATAGAGATACATATAAGTAATGTTTCTGTATTTTACTAAAGTTAAGGAAGCAGAAATCTGAAGTAGATTTTGATAAGGCAAGACTTATTAGGTAAGTTCTAGAGCAACCACTAGGTAAATAAATTTTCAAAGAGACATCATAATTTTAAAAATTAAAATGTTATACTAAAATATATTAATTTCATGTTGTATACACATAATCATAGAGAGTGGAATGAGAGACACTGGACACTTGGAGGGGTGGGGAGGAGGGTGAAGGATAAGAAATTACTTGATGGGTGCTATTCTGCTGATGGCCACACTAAAAGCCCAGACCTCACCTCTATGTGCTATGTCTGGGTAACAAAACTGCACTTGTACCCTCGAAACCTATAAAAATAATAAAATAAAATATATTCATGTCATGTAAAAGAAAGCAAAAGTAAAAGGAATAGAGTACCAAAAAAGCAGGAGACCGAAAACAAAAATGGCAGAGGTAAAACCAACTACAGATGCTCCTTGACTTACGATCAAGTTACATCCTGATAATAGTCAAATTAGTTGAAAATATTGTTTTTCCACTTAAAATGGAAATACATTCTAGTAAGGACAGAAAAAATACTAAGTTGAACCTCTGTAAATCCTAAACATACAAAGGGGTTTCAACCCAATAAACCTATTGAAAAGTTAAAAAATCATAAGTCAAACCATTTTAAGTCAGGAACCATCTGCATAGCAATAACAACAGGAAAAAGGGAATGATTTGAAAATCCAATCAAAAAGCAACAATTCTCAGGTTGTCAAAAGTGTGAAAATCCAAACATGTGCTGTCTATAAGAGATAGATACAAACAGGTTGAAAATTTGAAGACAGAAAAAGATATATCCGGCACATGGCACCTATAAGGCTGGAGTAGCTATCCTAATATCACACAAAATACACTTTAATACAAAAATTTTACTAAGGATAAAGAGGGGAATTTTATTAATATAACAATAAAAGGGTCAATCAATAAAGGAGACATAACAATTCTAAGCCTATGTACTACTAACAGAGCCTCAAAGTATGTGTAGCAAAAACTGACAGAATTAAAAGAAAAAAATATACAAGTCTACAATACTTATTGCAAACTGTAATACCCCATTTTCAATAATGGTTAGGACAACTGGGCACAATATAAACATGGAAACAGAAGATATAGATGACACTCTAAAGCAACCAGATCTAAGAGATATAGACAGAACATTCCACTCGAACAGTGGAGCAGGTATGCTTCAAAAGTACACATGAAACATTCCCCAGAATAAATTTAAAATGATTCTCTGACCACAGTCGAAATTACAAATCAGTAAGACAAAGGAATTTTTAGAATGCACAAACATGCACAAATTATATAACATATTCCGAAGTTAAAAAAAAAAGTTAAAGAAGCAATAAGAAGGAAAATTAGAAAAAATGCTTTGAGATAAAAATGAAGACATACTCAAACTTATGGAACACAGATAAAGCAATCCTTAGAGATTTGTAGCTGTAATAACCATATTTAAAAAGATCTCAAATCAGTAAACTAATTTTCCACCTTAAAACACTTGGACAGGAGCAGCAATACAAAACCAAATCAAGCAGAAGGCAGGAAAGCAGAAAGATTATAGAGTAAAAATTAATGAACTAGAGAACAGAAAAACAATAGCTGATTCCTGGAAAAGATCAACAAAATATACAAACCTCTAGCTAGACTGACATTGAAAAAGAAAAAAAAGAGAGAGAAGGTTCAAATTACTAAAAGTAGGGATTAAAGATGTATTACTAGTACTCTTACAGAAATAAAAATAATTACAAAGAATGGTATGAACAATGTATGCCAACAAATTATTTAACTTCAACAAAATGGGAAAATCCATAAAACAAAAACAACTAAAACCAACTCAAGTAGAAAAAGAAAAATCTGAAAAGACCTACACAAGTAAAAAGATTGAAGTTGTAAATTTAAAACTCCCCATTACAGGTGGGATGCTGTGGCTCATGCCTGTAATCCTACCACTTTGGGAGGCCAAGGCAGGTGGATCACTTGAACTCAGGAGTTTAAGACCAGCCCAGGAACATGGTGAAACCCCATCTCTACAAAAAAAAAACACAAAAAATTAGCTGGGTGTGCTGGCATATGCCTGTAGTCCCAGCTACTTGGGAGGCTGAGGTGGGAAAATTGCCTGAGCCTGGGAAGTCAGGCTGCAGTGAGCCATGACTGCACCACTGCACTCCAGCCTGGGCAATATAGTGAGGCCCTGTCTCAAAAAAGACAAAAAACAGACAAGAAAACTTCCCATTACAAAAACAAAAAAAAAACCCAGGTCCATAAGGGTTCACTGGAGAATTTTATCAAACATTTAAAAAGAATTATCAATTACTCAAAAACTCCAAGAAAATAAGAAGAAACACTTGCCAGCTCATTCTATGATCCCAATACTACTACTCTGGTACCAAAATCAGACATGAAAAAAAATACAGATCCATGTGTCATGATTACAGACATATAAATCCTCAACAAAATACTAGCAAATTTCATCCAGTAGTATATAAAAAGGGTTACATACAATTATCAAGTGTGATTTATCCTAGTAATTCAAATTTGGTTTATCATTTGAAAATCAATTAATACACCACGTAAGGAGAAAAGAAACAATAACCACATGATCATCTCAGTATACAGAGAAAAAGCATTTAACACAATCCAATGACCATCTTCTCTATAAAAACAATCAGCAAACCAGGAATAGAGTTAAACTTCCTCAGCCTGATTAAAGGCATCTACAAAAAGTCCACCACTAACATCATACTAAATAATGAAAGGTACAGTGATTTTACTCTAAGAACAAAAAGAAGACAAGAATGTCCTCTTGCTGGTTACACATCACACAGGAGATTCTAGTCAAGAAAAGCAAGGGGAAGGGGAATTTAGATTGAAAACAAAAGTGAAACTATCTGTATTTGCAGTTGACTACTCATGCATATAGAAAATCTTAAAGAATCTGCTGAAACACTATTAAAACTAATAAAAGAGTTCAACAATGTTGCAGGGTGCAAGTTCACTAACAACAAACAAATCATAAATGAAAATTTAAAAATAATTCTGGCCGGGCATAATGTCTCAAGCCTGTAATCCCAGCACTTTGGGATGCCGAGGTGGCTGGATCACCTGACGTCAGGAGGTTGAGACCAGCCCAGCCAACATGGTGAAACCTCATCTATACTAAAAATACAAAAAAGTTATCCAGGCTTGGTGGCATGTGCCTGTAGTCCCAGCTACTTGGGAGGCTGAGACGCAGTGAGCCGAGATCGCACCATTGCACTCCACCCTGGGCAGTAAGAACAAAACTCTGTCTCAAATAAGTAAATAAATAAAATAAATTCCATATACAATAGCATCAAAAAGAATAAAATACTTATAACTTTAATCAAGGAAATACAGAGCTTATAGTCTGAAAACCACAAAACAATGATAGAAGAAATTAAAGACAGCCTAAATAAATGGAAAGGCACTGAACAGTGTTCATATGGTTAAGATGGCAATAACTGCCAAATTAATACCTAAACTCAACACAATCCCTACCAAAATCCCATCTGCCTTTTTGGAGAAACTAACAAGCTGGTCTAAAATTTCATGTGGAAATTTAGGGAACTGAATATAATCAAAACAATCTTAAAAAAGAAGTAGAAAGTTAGAAGACATACACTTCTCAATTTGAAAATTTGCTACAAAATTACAATAATCAAGATGGTATGATACTGGCATAGAGGAAAACATATGAAATAAAATTGAGAGTTCACAAATAAACACTACTATATATTATGTTCAGTTAATTTTCAACAATGATGCCAACACAATTTAATGTTGAAAAATCACCTTTTCGGCTGGGCACAGTAGTTCACACCTGTAATCCTAGCACTTTGGGAGGCTGAGGCAGGCAGATCACAAGGTCAGGAGTTCAAGACCAGCCTGGCCAATATGACGAAACTCCATCTCTACTAAAAATACAAAGACATTAGCCAAGCATGGTGGCGCATGCCTGTAATCCCAGCTACTCAGGAGGCTGAGGCAGGAGACTTGCGTGAACCCAGGGGGCAGAGGTTGCAGTGAGCCAAGATCGTGCCACTGCCCACCAGGCTGGGCGTCAGAGACTTCCTCTCAAAAAAAAAAAGAAAAAAGAAAAATTACCTTTTCAAGAAATGATGCTGAGACAACTGAATATTTGTATGCAAAACAATCAAAATTATTCCTTTCCTCACACCATATACAAAAACTAATTGAAAATGGATCACAGGTCTACATTTAAAAGCCATTACTTAAAGAAAATACAGGAGTGGATCTTCATGCCCTGGGGATAGATAAAGCCCTCTTAGATAAAGTACCAAAAATACAAGCAACAAAAGAAAAAACAAATTAGACTTCATGGAATGAAAAACTCTTTTGCTACCAAGAACAAAGACAATAAAATGACAACCCACAAATGGGAGAAAAATATTGGCTAATAATGTATGTAATTAGGGACTGCTAAACAGAATATGGAAAAAACTCTTACATCTCAACAATAAAAGGACAAATAACACAACTACATAATGAAAAAAGGAACTGATTTTTCTATATTAAGCTTCTATCCTCCAACTTTGCTACAAAGACTTAATAGTTTTGGGAGTTCTCTAGAATTTTCTCCTTAGGCAATCATGCCTGTACGAAGAAAGTTTTATTTCTTCCTTTCCCATCTGTATGCCTCTTATTTTGTTGTCTTATGGCATTACCTACCATTTCCAATGAGATGTTGAGTAAGAGTGAAGAGACAGGACATCTTGTTTCCTTATCTTAGGGAGAAAGTATCCAGTGTTTCACCACTAAGTATGCTCTTAGCAGTAGGTTTCTTGTAGATTTTTTTTTTACCAAGTTGAGGAAGTTCCTCTCTATTCCTAGTTTGCTCGGTTTTATCATGAATGGGTGTTGGATTTTATCAAATGCTTCTTGTCCATCAATTGACATGATATGGTTTTCTTCTGCAGGCTGTTGATGTGGCGGGTTACAGATTTTTTATTTTTATTTTTTTTTTGAGACAGAATCTTGCTCTATCACCCAGGCTGAAGTGCAATGGTGCAATCTCAGCTCACTGCAACCTCTGCGTTCCAGGTTCTAAGCGATTCTCCTGCCTCAGCCTTCAGAGGAGCTGGGATTACAGGCGCATTCCACCACGCCCAGCTTATTTAGTATTTTTAGTAGACAGGGTTTTACCACGTTGGCCAGGCTGGTCTCAAACTCCTGACATCAGGTAATCCATCTGCGTCAGCATCCCAAAGTGCTAGGATTACAAGCATAAGCCAACGTACCCGGCCACATTAATTGATTTCCAAACTCTGACCAGCCTTGAGTGGTCACAGCATCCAATTATTTTCATACAATGTTGCATTCTATTTGGATTTTTGCATCTATATTTATGAGGGATATTAGTGTGTGGTTTTTCTTCTTTGCAAGGTCTTCATATGCTTTTAAGATTAGAGAAAAAACAGCCTTTTACAAAAGTGTTAAGAAGGTTCCCTTTGCATCTCTTTTCTGAAAGACACTGTAGAGAACTTATATATTTCTTCCTTAAATGTTGCACAGAAATCACCAATGAAACCAAAAAAGTCTGATAATTTATTTTCTTTCTTTCTTCTTTTCTTTTCTTTTATGAAAGCTTTATGGATTCAATTTCTTTAACTGATATTGGTCCATTTGAATGGTTTATTTCTTCTGTGTAACTCTTGGTAGTTTGTGTATTTCAAGGAATTACCCATTGCACCGAAGTCATGAGTTCAGGAGGAGCCAGGAATAAAGGCATCCTGCACCAAAACATCTAATTGCATTACAAATGTAAAAAATAGTATCAATGAAGGACCCCTTTCAATACAGGAGGAAGTCCTGACCTTAATTACTTTGGAAAGAGAAGTCTGTGAGACTAAAGGAAAATCTGCACGTAAGTACTGTATTTTAGTTGATAAAATTATAAAATTATTTTCCACATAGGCATAATTAACAATTCTGACAGTGCCATACATGTATGTATACAGGGAAAGAATAATGAAAGTAAATGGAAAGCCAGGCACAGTGGCTCACAACTTTAATCCCAGCACTTTGGGAGGCCGGGGCAGGTGGATCACCTAAGATCAGGAGTTCGAGACCAGCCTGTCCAACATGGCAAAACCCCATCTCTTCTAAAAACACAAAAATTGGCTGGGCATTGTGGTATGCACCTGTAGTCCCGGCTACTTGAGAAGCTGAAGCAGGAGAAATACTTGAACCCAGGAGGCGGAGGTTGCCGTGAGCTGAGATCACACCACTGCCCTCCAACCTGGGTGACAGAGGGAGACTCCATCTCAAAAAAAAAAAAAAAAAAAAAAAAGAAAGTAAATGGATGATGGATGGTTAGAGCCAGATTTCTTACTGTTGGGTATGGTAATTTGCAGGGAAGCAAGGGAAGAAAGCTAGAATGATCCATGTGGTAGTGAAGAGTTGAAGAATATAAGTATAAACACATGTTTAGCTTAAGAGAGATACAGATGGTTACATGTAGAACTATTTATAAGTATATTACATGGTTTATACACGTGTATTTCCCTGTTCTGTCAGCTGAGATGGCCACGCCCTACTGCTGCAAGCACACCATTAGCCCCTATCTTGGTTTCTAATACCATTTTCAAATAAAAGGAACCAGGATTACCTGAAGAAATGATGGCTGATTTTAGAAAGAAAATATACAAGATGAGCCTGGACCATCTTGTAGTGACAGAAAGAAAGTGCTCTAAAAAACAACAGCAACAAAATTCATATATCTCCACTTCTTATGTGTGAGTTGTGCAGAGTAACATTGTTCCAATGTGTACAATATGGAAAATAGGAAAAAGATGTAACTTTATAGTGGACAAACTCTGTTTGCCAAGACATTTCAGGCCAACATCAAAAGTCATAAAACATGGTGACAGTATGCATGCTTGATATAATGTGACAAAAAAGGTACTTTACCACTGTGGGCTTTTTCCCCCAAAACCTATAATCCCAGTCTTATCTTGAGAAAAACATCAGACACATCCCAATAAATGGAATTTATATATACCTCACCAGGACTCCTCAACTGTCAAGGTCATCCAAAACAAGGAAAGTCTGGGAAACCACCATAGCCAAGAGGAGCCTAAAGAGACATGACAACTAAATGTAATATGGTGCCCTGGAAGGGATCCTGGAACAAAGAAGGACATTAGGTAAAAATCAGCAGGTGCTAAATAAAAATATGGACTTTAGTCAATAATCATGTACCAATGTTGGTTCAACAGCTGTTGCAAACATACCATCTTAATATGTTAACGACAGCAGAAACTGGGTAAATGGCAATTCTCTCTACTATCTCCCCAATTTTTCTATAAGTCATGAAATAAAGTGAATGTTTTAAATTGACAAAGGAGATACATAAATAGCCAACAAGTGCATAAAAAGATGTTCAACATCAGGCCGGGAGCAGCAGCTCACGCCTGTAATCCCAGCACTTTGGGAGGCCGAGGTGGGTGGATCATGAGATCAGGAGTTCAAGTCCAGCCTGGCCAAGATGATGAAACCCCGTCTCTACCAAAAATACAAAAATTAGCCTGGCATGGTGGTGGGCACCTGTAATCCCAGCTACTCGGGAGGCTGAGGCACAGAACTGCTTGAACCCAGGAGACAGAGGTTGCAGTGAGCCAAGATCCCACCACCGCACTCCAGCCTGGGCAAACAGAGCGAGACTCCATCTCAAAAAGAAAAAAAAAAAAAGATGTTCAACATCACTAGCCATTGGGAAATGCAAAAAACCACAATGAGATACCTCTTTACAACTACTGGATTGGTATAATACATATTAATATTAATAAAAAATGTTGCAAACTAGAGAAACTGGAAAATTCATGCATTGCTGGCAGGATTGTAAAGTATTGTGGCTGCTATGAGCAACAATCAGGCAGTTCCCAAGAAAGTTAAACACAGAGTCACCATATAACCAGCATTCTACTTCTAGGTATATATCTGAAATGACTGAAAATACATGTCCATGTGAAAACTTATACGTGAACAATTACAGCAGAATTATTCATAATAGTCAAGAAGTAGAACTAAAACCAAACGTCCATCCACTGACAAATGGATACATAAAATGTAGTATATCTATACACCATGTTATATGGCCATAAAAAACAAGTGAAATATTGATACATGCTACAACATGGATGAACCTTGAATATGTTATGCTAAGAAAAAGAAGCCAGGCAGAAAAGGTCACACACAGTTCCATTTTTATGAAACATCCAGATTAGGCAACTCCACACAGCAGAAAATTCAATTTTGGTTGCCAAGGGCTACAGGAAATGGGAAAGAGAAAGTAACTGCTAACGGATATTTGCTTTGTTTCAGGGATGATGACAACGTTCTAAGAAACACTGTCAGCCGGACGCAGTGCCTCACGCCTATAATCCCAGCACTTTGGGAGGCCTATGCAGGCACATCACTTGAGGTCAGGAGCTTCAGACCAGCCTGGCCAACATGGTGAAACCCCATCTCTACTAAAAATACAAAAAATTAGCTGGGCATAGTGGTACACACCTGCAATCCCAGCTACTCGGGAGGCTGAGGCAGGAGAATCGCTTGAACCTGGGAGGTGAAGTTGCAGTGAGCCAAGATCGCGCCACTGTACTCCAGCCTGAGCGACAGAGTAAGATTCTGTCTCAAAAAAACAACTGTCGGCAAGGTGCGGTGGTTCACACCTGTAATCTCAGCACTTTGGGAGGCTGAGGTGCCAGATAACCTGAGGTCAGGAGTTTGAGACCAGCCTGGCCAACATGGTGAAAATGTAAAAACAGCTGGGTGTGGTGGCATGCACCTGTAATCCCAACTATTCAGGAGGCTGTGTAATCCCAGCTACTCAGGAGGCTGAGGCAGGAGAACTGGCTTGAACCCGGGAGGCAGAGGTTGCAGTGAGCCAAGACCTTGCCACTGCACTCCAGCGTGGGCAACAGAGCAAGACTCCATCTCAAAAAAAGTAAAAAAAATTGTCAGGAATGTTGCACAATCCTGCAAATACACTAACAATGATTGATTTATACACGTAAAATTGGTGAAGAGTACAGTATGTGAATTATATCTCATATAATTCTCAAGAAAATTGTTTCTTATATACCTGTTTCGTGGTGTATAAATAACACACAACTGATATTATGTATTGTTCTTACAGCCAACCACCTCACTAAACTAACTTTTTTTAGTAATTTGAATCACTTCTGTGTAACATTTACTTTTGCTTGTACAGATAATCAAATTGTCTGCACACAAAATGACAATTTGACTTCCCAACCCTTGTTTTATTTTTTTTTATTGTCTGTGTAATGGACAGTAGATCCTCTATGAGATTCAGTAAAACTGGCGATACAAGAGATCCAGCATCTCTCATATAGAAAGTGTGCTGTGATTTTTCAACAAATAGTATACAATATGTTTTTGTCCATTACCTTTATTTTATTTTATTTTATTTTGTAAGATGGAATCTTGCTGTGTTGCCAGGCTGGAGTGCAGTGGCGCCATCTCAGCTCAGTGCAACCTCCGCCTCCCGGGTTCAAGCAATTCTCCTGCCTCAGCCTCCCGAGTAGCTGGGACTACAGGAGTGCACCATCACGCCTGGCTAATTTTTTGTATTTTAGTAGAGATGGGGTTTCACCATGTTGGCCCGGATGGTCTCCATCTCCTGACCTCATGATCTGCCCGCCTCAGCCTCCCAAAGTGCTGGGGTTATAGGCGTGAGCTACCGCACCCGGCCTATTACCTTTATTAAAGATTAAGAAGCTGAATTATTTATAGTTGGCAGGTAATTTACAAAACTTTTTATTTGGAGACAATTCTTTTTTTTTTTTTCTTTTCTTTTTTTTTTTTGAGGCAAGGTCTCACTCTGTCACCCAGGCTGGAGTCGAATGGTGCCATCACAGCTTACTGCAGCCTTGACCTCCTGGGCTCAAGCGATCCTCCTACCTCAGCCTCCCAAGTAGCTGGGACTGCAGGCACGCACCACCACACCTGGCTAATGTCTTTACTTTTTGTAGAGATGGGTTTTCACCATGTTGCCCAGGTTGGTCTCAAACTCCTGAGCTCAAGTGATCCACCCACCTTGGCCTCCCAAAATGCTGAGATTACAGGCATATGCCACCACACCCAGCCTGGAGACAATTCTTAAACTGACATGCAGCTGGAAGAAATAATGAGAAGATTCTATGTACCCCTCACCCAGTTTTCTCCATGGTAACAATTTGCAGAACTATAGTTCAATATCAGCCAAGAACTGACATTGATTTATTCAATCAACCTTATTCAGATTTCACAAGTTTCACATGCATTAGTTGTGTATATTTAGTTCTATAAATTTTGCCACAGGTATAGATTTTTGTGAAAATCACAACATTGGTGATACAGAACAGTCCCATCACAAGGATGCCACACATGGTAACTACAGCCATCTCCCACCCTCTCTGCCTTCCTAACACTGGCAACCACGAATCAGTTCTCCATCTCTATGTTGTCATTTCAAAAGTGTTATCCAAATAAAATCATGAGGTATTATGATAAACAGCCTAACTGCATTTGTGGTAATTGGCTGCTAATAGATTTCAAATCCCACCCATCTCCCCTCTTACCCTACATTTGGGCAAGCCAATAATAAAGCCTAGGTGGTCACTCCCTCAATGCCAGTAGGAAACTCAAACCACACAAACTCCATCCCTTTTGTGTGCGCTTACCCCACCCCAAATTCCTACTGACAAGCAGCCATTCTTCTCCCTTCTTTCTCAACCCACATTTAGATCTCCTTAGGAGCCTTCTCTAGTCTCCCTAGAAACCTGTCTCTATAACTAATAAACTCCTTTTTACACTCTTAATATCATTACCAGTTTTGATATCCAAACCAAACATTGGGGGTAGGAGGGTTCACCCCAACACTATGGGGTGGACCAGAACAAATATGTAAATTTTTGAGATTGGGTTTTTTAAAACTCAGCTTAATCTCTTGAGATTCATCCATAATGTTACATGTATTGGCCATTCATTCCATTTTAATGCTGGGTAACACTTCATGGTATGGACACACCACACATTATCCATTCAAGAACATCTGGATTATTCAGGTTTGGGCTATTACCCATAAAACTGCTATGAAATTTTTTTGATGGAACATAAGTTTTTATTTCTCAAGGATAAATGTCTAACAGTGCAACTAGTGATTGACATGCTAAGTTTGTTTTTAGTTTTAAATGGAACTGACAAACTATTTTCTAGAATGACTGTAGCATTTTACATGCCATCAAAAACATATGAACATTTCAGTTCCTGTAAGTCCTCACCAGCACTTGTATTATCACTTTTATAAGGCAGGTCAAATAAGAGCATGATAAAAACATCTTTCAGTATAACGTGTCTGGGTATAAGTCTCTTTGCATTTATCCTCATATGAGTTTGTTGAGCTTCTTGGATGAATATATTAGTGTTCTTCAACAAATTGTGGGTGTTTCTGTAATTCTTCAAAAAATTTTTCTTTCCCTTTCTGTTCTCTCACATTGATACTCCCATTTGTATATGCTGGTGCACCTAATGATATCCGTTTCCCAAGGTTTTGTTCATTTTTCATTATTTTACTGGCTCTTCCTCAAATTACACAATATACACTGATCTGCACCAGACAACCCCGTTTCTGCCAACTTAAATGGCAGAAACCATATTATTGTGTTGCCTGTTGTTAGTCCTGTGCATAGGTCACATTTTTCCCGTTTCTTTGCAGATCTCATTTTGTTGTTGTTCTTGAGTGGACAACAGGTCCATGTTGTTGAGTGACATAACCAAATGGTGGAGTACACAGCTCCAAACTGTCTCCCCACAGAAACACCAAAAAACAAGAACTATAAAAACCAACCTTGTTAGAACTCTGGAAAACAAAGGTTTACAGTAACCAAGTGAATGCCAAATCAGGAAAAAGGCGACTTCAAATGGTGGGAAAGTTTTGTGGCATTTTTACTTTACAAGAGATCCTCATTAATATTAGGAGCTGATATCTCCTTAGAAATCAATTGAAGGCCTGAAGACAGATGGATGACATATATAAATTGCTGAAAGAAAAAAACTATCATCTGAGAACTCTCTAGCTGGTAAAACAGTCCTTCAAAATGAAAGAGAAATGGAGTTAATCCCAGATAAACAAATGCTGAAGAGTTTGTTACTACTAAGCCTGCTATACAGGAAGCACTAAAGGGTGTCTTTAAAGATGAAATAAAAACAAACTAGACTCTAATCTGGAGGAAAAAATAAAGATTTCCAATAAAGTTAACTATATAGACAAATATAAAAGCCAGGGTCACTGTATGTTTGCTTTGTAACTCCATTTTTTTACTTCCTGCGGGACTTAAAAGATAAATGGATAAGAACTAAATAAAAATTTACATTATCGGTACACAATGTATAAAGACGTAATGTGTGAAAACAACATAAAGGGGATGAGTAAGGTGCTAGGTAGAAGCAAGGTCTTCATATGACATTGAAGTTACGAGGGAATTAATTTAAACTAGATTTTCATAAATTTAGAATGTGAAAGCAATCCCCATGGTTAACTACAAAGGCAATATCTAAAAAATATACACAGAAGGAAATGAGAAGGGAATAAAGAAGGGAATAAAAATGATTCACTATAAAAATCAGTCCAGGCATGGTGGGCTCATGCCTGTAATTCCAGCACTTTGGGAGGCCGAGATGGGTGGATCACTTGAGGCCAGGAGCTCAAGACCAGCCTGGCCAACACAGCAAAACTCCATCTCTACTAAAGACACAAAAATTAGCTGGATGTGGTGGCACGTGCCTGTAGTCCCAGCTACTTGGGAGGCTGAGGCATGAGAATCACTTGAACCCAGGAGAAGGAGGTTGCAGTGAGCCAAGATCGTACCACTGCACCCCAGCCTGGGCAACAGAGCAAGACTTTTGTCTCGAAAAAAAAAAAAATCAACAAAACACAAAGAAGACAGTAATAAAAGGAATATGAGACCAAAGAAGGTATACAACATACAGAAAACAAAATGCAGTATGGCAGAAGCACTGCCTTGTTGGTGATTAGTTTAAATGATAATTGATTGAATGTACCAATCAGAAGGCAGAGGCTGGCAGAATGGATTTTATTTTATTTTATTTTATTTATTTATTTATTTTAGACAGGATCTTGCTCTGTCACCTAGGCTGGAGTGCAGTGACACAAACATGACTCACTGCAGCCTTGACTTCCTGGGCTCAAGGGATCCTCCTCCCTCATCCTCCCAAGTAGCTGGAACCACAAGCGCATACCACCACACCCAACTATTTATTTTATTTTTTTGTAGAAACAGAGTCTCACTTTGTAGACCAGGCTAGTCTCCAACTCCTGGGCTCAAGAGATCCTCCCAAAGTGCTGGGATTACAGGTGTGAACCACCCAGCTTCAGAATAGATTTTTTAAAATCATGATCAAACTACACATTGTCCAAAACAAACTGACTTTAGATCCAAAGACACAAATAAATTAAAACTGAAAGGCTGATAAAAGATATTCCATGAAAATAGCCACCAAAAGGGAACTGGGGTGGCTATACTAATTTCACCCAAAATAGATTAAGTCATAAGCTGTTACAAGGGACAAAGAAGGATACTATATATGAATAAAGGGTCGTTCCATCAATAAGATATAAAAAGTATAACTATGTGTGTACCAAGCAGCATCCTGAAACATGTAAAGCAAACACTGACAGAATGCAAGGGAGAAACTGACAGTTCTTACAGTTAACAGTTTTAGACTGAGGCTGGGCATAGTGGATAGCACCTGTAATCCCAGAGGTTTGGGAGGCCAAGGTGGATCACTTGATGCCAGGAGTCCAAGATCAGCATGAGCAACATGCCGTTTCCACCAAAAAAAAAAAAAGATAGCTGGGCATAGTGGGCATGGTGGTATACAGCTGTAGTCCCCTCAGCAGGATGAATGGGGAGGATCACTTGAGCCTGGAAGTTCAAGGCTGCAGTGAGCCGTAATTGTACCACTGCACTACAGCCTGGGCAAGAGTGAGACTCTGTCTCTTAAAAAAAAAATACAAATGCAAATGAATAAATGAATGAATGAATGATGCATATGAATACAGATACAAAGCTATACACACACACACAAAAATTCCAGTAAAATATATTTAATGGTATATTAAGAGGACTAATTTATCCTGGAAATGCCTGTGTGGTTCAACATAAGAAAATCAATGTTAAAAAAAAAAAGAAAAGAAAATGAACAAGAACAAAGTCAGAAGACTCAAAATCTCCAATTTCACAACTTATTAGAAAGCTACAGTAATCCAAACAGTGTGGTCATGGCATTGGTATAGACAGACAAATGGAATGCAAGTGAGAGCCCAAAAATACACTACCTATGGTCAACTGATTTTTGACAAGGGTGTCAATTCTATTCACTGGGAGAAAGAAAAGCCTTTTCTTTCAGTTGATGCAGGCCAAATATTGTCACACTACTGACAGGAAATATTCACAACAGTCATACTCACAGAGACAAAATAGATTAGAGGTTGCCACAGACTGGTCGGAAGGGGGAATGAGTAGTTACCGCTTAATGGCGACAGTTTCTGTTTGGAATGATGACAAATGACCAAAAAAATGATGCTGGGTCAACTGGATTTCCACAAGAAAATAAAGTGAGAAAATAAAGTTAGATCCCTACTTAAAATGTTTAGAAGAAAACATAAGGAAAACTTTGGGTTTGCTGATGGATTCTTACCTATGACATAAAATGCACGAGCAACAAAAGAAAAAGTAAGTTAAGGCTGGGTGCAGTGGCTCACGCCTGTAATCCCAGCACTTTGGGAGGTCAAGGCGGGTGGATCACCTGAGGTCAGGTGTTCAAGCCTGGCCAACATGGTGAAACCCCGTCTCTACTAAAACCACAAAAATTAGCCAGGCATGGTGGCATGTGCCTGTAGTCCCAGCTACTCGGGAAGCTGAGTCAGAAGAATCACTTGAACCCAGGAGGCGGAGGTTGTGGTGAGCCGAGATCGCACCACTGCACTCCAGTCTGGGCGACAGGGTAAGACTCTGTTTCAAAAACAAATTATCTATCTATCTATCTATCTACACATTAAAAATAATTCAGTGGTACCCCAAAAAGCTAAAAGAAATACTTTGATAAAAGAATTCTACTCCTAGGTTTATATCCAAAAGAACTGAATACAGGAACTTGAGCAGATAATGATATGCCAGTGTTCACTGAAGCATTATTCACAACAGCCAAAAGGTGTATGACCCAAGTGTATATCAACAGATGAATGGATTAAACAGCCAGAAAAGAAAGTCTTGATACTTGTTACAATACAGTTGAAAGCTGAAAGCATCATGCTAAGTGAAATAAGGCAGACATGAAAGGCCAAATGTTGTCACACTACTGACATGAAATATTCACAACAGTCAAAACTCACAGAGACAAACTAGATAAGGGGTTACCATAGGCTGGCAGGAGGGGGGAATGAGTAGTTACTGCTTAATAGCAATAGGGTTTCTGTTTGAAATAATGAAAATCTATTAGAAATTGTGGTAATGGCTATACAACATTGTGAGTGTAATGCCACTGGACTGTTAAAATGGCAAATTTCATGATACATATATTTTACCACACACAAAACAAGATACGTTAAAATGCTCCAGCATCATTTGCTGAATACCTGGCTGAATTTCTTTTGCATTTTTGTCAACAGTTTGTCAAATGTCTTAGCTTCGGCTGCCATAACAAAATACCACAGACTGTGTGGCTTAAACAACAGAAGTTTATTTCCTCACGGTTCCAAATGCTGGAAGTCTGAGATCAGGACGCCAGCATGGCCAGGGCCTGGTGAGGGCCTCTTCCTAGCTTGCAGAAGGCCACTGCATATTCACATCGCCTTTCCTCTATGCACATGGTGAGTGAGCAAGCTCTCACTTCCTCTTCCTGTAAGGCACTAACCTCATCTTGAGGGCCCCACTCTCATGACTTAATCTAACCCTAATTACCTGCCAAGGGCTGCATATCTCCAAACACCACCACACTTGGGGTGAGGGCTCCAACATATGAATTCTGGGGAGACATGAACATATAGTCTATATAACAGCATAATCAATGTTGAGGTTTTCCATTCTTTTCCATCATTCTATATGTATGTTCTACCAATGTGTATATTCTACCAACATCCTGTCCTCTTGATTATTATAGCTATTAATATATACATACAGTAGTCACTCCTTATCCAAGGGAAGTACATTCCAAGACACCCAGCGGAAGCCTGAAACCTCAGATAGTATTGAGCCCTATAAATACTATGTTTTTTCCTAAATATACAAACCTATGATAAAGTTTAATTTATAAATTAGGGACAGGGAAAGATTAACAAGATCATAAAATAGAAAAGTTATAACAATATGCTATCATCACTACTCTGGCACTTCAGGGCCATTATTAAGTAAAATAAGGGTTACCTGAACACATATTGTGACAATAAATAATCAAGACAGTTACTAAGTAATTAACTCATGGGTAGCATATACAGCCTGGGTATGCTAGACATAGGGTTGATTCATGTCCTGGGACAGGACAGTGCAAAATTTCATCATGCTACTCACAACAGTGTGCAACTTAAAACTGAGGAATTATTTATTTCTGAAGTTTCCTATTTAATATTTTTGAACCACAGCTGGCCTCAGGTAACTGAAACTGCAGAAAGCAAAACCACAGAAAAGGGGAGACTAATGTAATAAGCCTTAACACTGGATACAATAATTCCTACTATTCTTTTTCTCAAAACTTTTGAGAAAAATTTTCCCAAATTGTTTCAACTGTTTATGACTTTGACTGTTTATGCAAATTTTGGAATAAGTTTATTTAAAGCTGAGAAAAACCTTACTGGAATCTTGACAGGAATGCCATTAAACCTACAGATCAATTTGGAGAGAACTGGCATACTTACTAAGTTGAGTTTTCCAATCTATCAAGAGACCATGTGTCTTCATTTATTTCTATTATTTCTTTCATCAGCATTTTGTAATTTTCAGCACAAAAGTCCTATACATATTTTGTTCAATTTATACCAAACTATTTAATTTTCTATGGAATAAGTGGTATTATGTTTTTAATTTAGATTTCCATATGTTCATTGTTAGTAGAGAGAAATTGATTATATGTGTTCATCTTGGATCCTGAAACTTTTTGGAAATCATTCATTCTTTCTGGGAGGTTTACATTTTTTCTTTTTTTTTTTTTTTTTTGTTTTGTTTTTGAGACGGAGTTTCACTCTTGTTGCCCAAGCTGGTATGCAATGGCGTGATCTCGGCTCACCGTAACCTCCACCTTCCAGGTTGAAGCAATTCTCCTGCCTCCCACGTAGCTGGGATTACAGGCATGCACCACCACACCCGGCTAATTTTGTATTTTTAGTAGAGATGGGGTTTCTCCATATTGGTCAGGCTGCTCTTGAACTCCCGATCTCAGGTGATCCACCTGCCTCAGCCTCCCAAAGCGCTGGGATTATAGGCATGAGCCACTGCGCCTGGCCTGAGGTTTTTTTCTAAGATTCCTTGTAATATTCTACGTATACAATCATGTCATATGTAAATATAAAGTTTTATTTCTTCTCTACGTGTATGACTTCTATTTCACTTTCTTGCCTCATTGTGCTTGATAGAAGTTACAGTACTACAATGAATAAGAGTGGCAGGAGCAAACATCCTTGCCTTGTTCCCAGTTTTACAGGGAAAGCATTCATCTTACCAGCAAATATATTTGCTATAAATATTTTGTGCATGTTCATTCATCAAATTGAGGAAGATCCTCTCAATGTCTAGTATGGAGAGTTTTTATCATGGATGGATATTGCATTTTGTCAAATCCTTTCTCTATTATTAACTGATGTTATGTAATTTTTCTTCTTTAGCCTATGCTGGGTTAATTACATTGATCGATTTCTGAATGTTGAACCAGCCTTGCTTGTATAACTCAAATAAATCCCACTTGGTTATTATGGTGTATACTTTTTACATGACTGTTTTCTATTTGCTAGTATTTTGTTAAAGATTTTTGCTACTAAATTTATGAGAGGTATATGTCTGTAGTTGTATTATTTTTGTACTGTCTGTATGATTTTGGCATCAAAATAATTTTTTAAATGTGTTAAGAAATGTTCCCTCTTGGCCGGGTGCGGTGGCTCACACCTGTAATCCCAGCACTTTGGGAGACCAACGTGGACAGATCATGAGGTCAGGAGTTGGAGAACAGCCTGGCCAATATGGTGAAACCCCGTCTCTACTAAAAATACAGAAATTAGCCGAGTGTGGTGGCATGTGCCTGCAGTCCCAGCTACTTGGGAGGCTGACGCAGGAGAATCATCTGAACCCGGGAGGCAGAGGTTGCGGTGAGCCGAGATTACACCACTGCACTCCAGCCTGGGTGACTGAGCAAGACTCCATCTAATTAAATAAATAAAATAAATATTCCCACTTCTATTTTCTGAGGACATTGTGTAAAATCATCATTAATTCTTGTGTAAATGTTTGGTAGAATTCTCTAGTGAGGACTACAACTCTCTTGTACTTGGAAATTGGTTTTTTGGAGGTTTTTAAAATTTAAATTATTTGATTCAAATTATGTCAACCTTTATGAAAACCTATGGGTCATTCAAATTATCTATATCACCCTGACTGAGTTGTAATAGTTTGTGGTTTCTGAAGAACTGGTACATTTCTTCCATGTTGTCATTTTTTTTTTTTTTTTTTTTTGAGACAGAGTTTTGCTCTGTTGCCCAGGCTAGAGTACAATGGAGCAGTATCAGCTCACTGAAACCTCCCACTCCCTGGGTTCAAGCCATTCTCCTACCTCAGCCTCCTGAGTAGCTGGGACTACAGGCGTGCACCACCACACCAGACTAATTTTTGTATTTTTAGTAGAGACGGAGTTTCACCATGTTGGCCAGGGTGGTCACGAACTCTTGACCTCAGGTGATACACCCACCTTGGCCTCCCAAAGTGTTGGAATAACAGGCATGAGCCACCACACCTGGCCTATGTTGTCATATTTATAAACATAAAGTTGTTGACAAGATTCCCTTATTATACTGTTAAATGGATGGTGGAGTGATATTCCCTGTTTCATTCCAGATATTGATGATTTGTCATCTCATTCTATATTTTAAATCAATATTGCTAGACGTTTATCAATTTTATTGATTTTTTCCCAAAGAACCCTATGTTTCATTAGTTTTCTCTACTTTTTCCTATTTTCAATTTTACTGATTTCTGCTTCCAGTGTTATTTTCGTCCTTCTACTTAACAGAGGTTTTATTTTGCTCTTTTCTAGTTTCTTAAGGTAGAAAGTCAATTATGGGTTTGCAACCTATCGTCTTGTCTACTGTCAGCATTTAGTGCCATAAATTTCTCTATCAGCACTGCTTTAGCTACCTCCCACATATATTGATACGGTATGGTCTCATTTTCATTAAGTCTATGCATTTCTACTATTGAATTTGAGGCCCCTTCTTCACTCCAGACTTTATTTAGAAGTCTGATGTTTAATTTCTAAATGATTAGATATTTTCCTATTGTCACTCTATTACTGATTTGTAGTTTGGTTTCATTATGGCCAGAAAACATACATACTCAGAATGATTTCAATTCTTTTAAATCTGCCAAGGCTTATTTATGGCCCAGAATATGGTCTATCTTTCTGAATATTCCATGGACACTTGAGAAAAAAATTTTATTTTGCTGTTGTTGGGCACTACTCTTTTTTTTTCTTTTCTTTTTTGAGACAGAGTCTTATTCTGTAACCCAAGCTTTGTAACACAATCTTGGCTCACTGCAACCTTCGCCTCCCAGTTCAAGCGATTCTCCTACCTCAGCTTCTTAAGTAGCTGGGACTACAGGCATGCGCCACCATGCCTGGCTAATTTTTGTATTTTTAGTAGAGACAGGGTTTCACCATGTTATCCAGGCTACTCTTGAATTCCTGACCTCATGGCTAGTAATTCTACCAATTGCTAACAGTGAAGTGATGAATTTTCCAAATACAATTAAAAATGTGCTTTTCTCTTTTCAGCTCAATCAGTTTTGTTTTGTGTACTTTGAGGTTTGCTAGAGACACATTTAGGATCATTGCATTTTTGTTGGATTGATCCTTTTATCATTATATAATGTTCCTTTTGTCTAATAATTTTCTTTGCTCTGGAGTCTACTGTATTTGATATTAATAGTGTCACTCTGTTTTGATTAATGTTTGTACAGTTTATCTTTTTATATACTTTATCAACCTATGTTGTTCATTATGTTATGAGTTTCCTAAGAAAACATTTTTAGGATGGGTGGAGCAAGATGGTGGAATAGAGAACACCACCGATCATACCCACTCCCCCCGCAGGAAGACTAAGATTGGCAACTATCCACACAAAAGCAGCAGTTTCACAGGAACTAAAAGTCAGGTGAGCACTTACAGAGCATGGTTTTCACTTCATATGGCTGAAAGAGAACAGTTTGGAAGTTCCTGAAAAAACTAAAAATAGAGCTATCATATGATCCAGCAATCCCACTGCTAGGTATATGCCCAAAAGAAAAGAAATCAGTACATCAATGAGATATCTCTGCTCCCATGTTTACTGCAGCACTGTTCACAAGAGCTAAGATTTGGAATCAACCTAAGTGTCCATTCACAGATAAACAGATAAAGAAAATGTGGTACATATACACAATGGAGTACCATTCAGCCATAAAAGAGAATGAGAGATCCTGTCATATGCAACAACCTAGACGGAAATGGAAGCAGAATGTTAAATTTTGCATGTTCTCACTTATTTGTGAAAGCTAAAAATTAACATAACTGAACTCATGGAGGTGAGGTAGAAAGTAAAAGGACGGTTACCAGAGACTGGGAAAGGTAGTGGGGTGGGGTCGGGGGAAGGTGAGGATGGTTAAAGGGTAGAAAAAAACCTTTAGAAAGAATGAATAAGACCTAATATTTGCTAGCACAACAGGGTCACTATAGTCAAATTTAATTGTACATTTTGAAGTGACTAAAAGAGTATAACTGGATTGTTTATAACACAAAAGATAAATAATCACATTAGGGTAAATGTGATTATTACACATTGCATGCCTGTATCAAAACATCTGTACTTCAAAAATATATATACCTACTATGTACTCACAAAAATTAAAAATTTTAGAATTGTTTTATGTTTTTTCCACTCTATCAGTTTATATTTTAATTAGTATACTTTGATCATTTACATTTAAGGTAAATATTGCTCTGTTAGGCTGCTATTTGTTTTGTTTTCTGTTTTCCATTCATCTTTTAGATTCCATCTTGGTTTATTTATAGTGTTTCTAAGTGTATCACATTTTATAGTATTCTCAGTAGTTGTTCTAGGTATAAAAATGTACATATGTAACTTATCAGTCTATCAGACATTTTACCACTTGAAGTGAAATGCACCAAGTTTCATTCCACTTAGGCCCCTTTACTCTCCCCACTTTTAAAATATAATTGTCTTAAGTGTTCCCACTACATACAGAGCATTTTGCTCCAACCATCAAAAATGATTCTAGAAACTCATGAGAAAAATATATTTATCCCTATTTTTGCCAACCTCCAATCTTCTTTCTTGCCTGCATTCCAAGCCTTCTTGTGTTATTTCCATTCTATTTAGAGAACTTCTAGCCAATTTTTAAAGGTAGGTTTGCTAGCAACATTTTCTCTTAGCTTCCCTGTCTAATAATGCCTTTAGTTCCCCTTTATTCATGAAGATAGTTTCAAAAGATACAGATTTTTATTTGATAGTGCTTTCCTCTCAGTACTTGAGAAAACATACTACTTCCTTCCTGCTGCCGCAGTTTCAGAAGAGAAACCCACAGTCATTCTCTGTAGGGAATGTGTTGTTTCTCTCTGGCTACTTTGAAAATTTTATTATAAATCATGCTGCTATAAAGACACATGCACACGTATGTTTATAGCGGCACTATTCACAATAGCAAAGACTTGGAACCAACCCAAATGTCCAACAACAATAGACTGGATTAAGAAAATATGGCACATATATACCATGGAATACTATGCAGCCATAAAAAATGATGAGTTCATGTCCTTTGTAGGGACATGGATGAAACTGGAAACCATCATTCTCAGCAAACTATCGCAAAGCCAAAAAACCAAACACTGCATGTTCTCACTCACAGGTGAGAATTGAACAATGAGAACACATGGACACAGGAAGGGGAACATCACACACTGGGGACTGTTACGGGGTGGGGGGAGTGGGGAGGGATAGCATTAGGAGATATACCTAATGCTAAATGACGAGTTAATTGGTGCAGCACACCAACATGGCACATGTATACATATGTAACAAACCTGCACCTTGTACACATGTACCCTAAAACTTAAAGTATAATAATAATAAAATAAAATAAAATAAAATTATCACAAGCTCAAATTAAAAAAAAAAAGAAAATTTTTGTCTTTGGTTTTCAAAAATTTAATTACAGTGTGAGTTTGCCATGGACTTATTTGATGTTACTTCAGACTCGGGAATGTGTAGTTTTATATCTTTTCGCTAAATTTGAGAAGGTCCAGCCATTACTTCTTCAAATACTTTAAACACCTCTTTCCCCTCCTTCTGATGTTACAAATGTTAGTTCTTTTGTTATTGCCCCACTTTCCAAATACTGAGAGAACCAAACTACATCCCATTCCCTCCTGCCTTCCGGCTCTGTCTAAGCTACCACAATCACTCATAAGGAAAACTACCAAGGCCTTTAATGAGCTCTCTATGCCCTATGCCATGCCCAATATTTTCTCTACAGAGGTGAGAAAGATCTTATAGAAATATAAATCAGATGTTGCTCATCTGCTGAAAATCTACCACTAAATTAAAAATAAAATTAACTGAATAAGGCTTATGATGGGCTCACCTTTGGACTCTAGCTGTCTCCCTCACCTCACCTCCTGCCCTTCCTCCAATCAACCCCTCCCTTCAGCCACTGTGACTTTTTGGTTATTCCTGAAACCCACCAACCACATTCCTGCCCAAGGCTAGCAGCTGCTATTACCCCTGCTGAAAAGGGTCAGAATCCTCATGGCTCACACAGTCATTTCATTCAAATCTCTGCTCTAATGTTGACCTCATTAAGGTTTCCCCTGACTGTTCTTTAAAGTACCACATTCAGCCAATCTAACTTGCTTTAATTTCTTTCATAGTCTTTAAAACCACAGAACATTTAATATACATATACATATAGGTATACATAATATACTTAGAGGCATAATTTATTTTTTTATATTTATTTACTTATTTTTGAGACAAAGTCTCACTCTGTTGCTCAGGCTGGAGTGCAGTGGCACAGTCTCAGCTCACTGCAACCTCTGCCTCCTGGGTTCAAGTGATTCTCCTGCCTCAGCCTCCCAGTTAGCTGGGATTACAGGCACCTGCCACCACACCCAGCTAATTTAGTATTTTTAGTACAGACGGGGTTTCACCATGTTGGCCAGGCTGTTGTGGAACTCCTGACCTCAAGTGATCTGCCTGCCTCGACCTGTGCTGGGATTACAGGTGTGAGCTACCACACCCAGCCTAATGTTTTTCATCATTATATCCTCAGCACACAGCAAGTATGCAAACATTATTTGCTGAGTTTAAAAATGAGTGTATAAAAAATTCTGACAACAGAATAAACACAAAACAAGGGAGGCAAGGTAGGACACTGAAAGTGCTTGGAGAAAAATGATAACCAAGAAAAACAACAGTAAAGTTGAGGTGGGCAAAGACTGAACTATTGGCAGGTGTAAGAATAGTAAACATTCAAAAAACGATTCAAAAAGGAGGAATTTTTTGTGAGTAGTATCTGGAAGTTTGATTTAGGAATCAATATTCTCCATCACTTCCAGAGGTTAGGATCCCTATGGAGATGTTCTTGAAAAATCTTCCAAAGTTGCCAAACCCTGAATTAACTACTGGGAAACAACAAATCCCCTGATGTGAATCTGTGCAGTACATATTAACTCACCTGGAAAGCTTTGGCTTGGGAATTCTTCCTCCTGTTTCCATGGCTCTTCTCCTTGTTGCAGCCTGAAGATCACCTCTGGTTTGTGAACACAATACCCTGTTAACAGGAAATAATTTAGGATTTGGACCAAGCAGTCTAGACTTCAGGCCTTTGAAGCAGGAAGAAGCTTCTGGGGCTGCTTCGAGTTGCCAGTGGAACATTTTCACTGGAGAGGTGAACACAAGTATCTTCTGGTACTCAGAGGTGATCAATCAACACTGACTCCTGAAGCCTAACCTTAAATATCATTAAACTATACAGACTGCCCATACGCTTCATAATCAAAAGAATAAACAAATGCTATTTAGAATGATACAGTGAACAGACCTTACCCACTGAGACAAGGTTGCTGTAGTTCTCCAGCATCACATCTCTATACAGAGCCCTCTGACTAGGGTCCAGGTGCTGCCACTCCTCCTGGGTGAAGCCCACAGTCACATCTTTAAATGATACTGACTCCTGGGACTTCTGTTCTACCTGAAACATTCAGAATTAGGTGGCATGAAAAAAGAAGTATGGGCTAATCCTTACCATGATTATTATTCACAGAATATTGTTTTGTTTTATACTTTTAGGGAAAAAGAAATCATAACAGAAATATTCTGCCATTAATGCATTAAGATATTAATTCATGCAAAAGAAATTATCAAGTTCCTACAAAGTACCTGGAACTATCATCACTGCTGGAAATACTAAGATTAATAAAAATCTTCCTGTGTTCAAAGAACACACAGAGTGGTAAGAAAATATGTGTGGTAATATGTTACAAGTACTAAGGTGAAAGTACAAACACAGTAGACTAACATTAGGAGCAAAGTTGGCTCTGTTTTGAGCTTAACTGAGGAAGTACAGCTGTTGGTTGAATTATGAAAAACACTCTATTACGTTCTTCATAAGCATAGGGCCATGATACAAGCAAAGGTGAGGGCCTCCAACACACTGCAGACATCAACAAAATGGCAGACAGCACAGGAGATGGCCTGGTGCTGTCTTGAGAAAAAAAGCCAAGGAAATGGGTTATAGAGTAATTTTAGACCAATGGTCTCCAAAGTATTTGATCATTTACCATTTTCAAGAATATTACTGAGAACTACAGATTTATATTTACAAATCACAGAAATAAATTGTCAGTACATTCATTATGAATTCTAATTTAACTCTCATTTGGATTTAAAAATGTAGAAAAAGAGCCTGACATTTTCTTCATCGCAATACATATTCTGGGTTCTAATCCTTTAATTCAGAGACAATAATAAGGATGTGTAGAAAATGGAAAGATTTTGGAACCATTATATTTGAAACCTCTGTGGAGTACAGCGGAGAAGACATCCAATTGGATTGTTCTGGATATCCTCTAGGGCACATCTTTTAGGGATCACTGCTGTGAAAATGGGAGAGCCAAAGATGAGATATGAGCATATACTGAAATTACAGGACCAGGTTTCGTTTACAGAACCAATTCTACTGAGAACGACAAAGGACAAAACAACATTTACATAAACTACTGTAGAAGAAACCAGGATGCAAATAGGGCACGGATAATAGGAGGCAAGAACAACAAAATGTGGTCACCAATTCATTAAGAAAAAAAATGTTTCCTCTGGCTATCTCCATGCACAGCTGCCCAGATACTAGGGCCACAATGTAAACCAGGAAAGTTAGGGCTATATAGGTTGGACACAGTATTCTAGTAAGAAACATCCTAATTATATTAAATTTGAAGCATAGGCTTGGCATGGTGGCTCACACCTGTAATCTCAGCACTTTGGGAGGCTGAGGTGGGTGGATCACCTGAGCTCAGGAGTTAAGAGACCAGCCTGACAAAAATGGTGAAACCCCATCTCTACTAAAAATACAAAAAATTAGCCAGGCGTGTTGGCGGGTGTCTGTAATCCCAGCTGAGACACCCGCTGAGACACCAGGCTGAGACAGGAGAATCCCTTTAACCTGGGAGGCAGACGTTGCAGTGAGCCAAGGTCAGCACCACTACACTCCAGCCTGGGTAACAAGAGCAAAACTCCAACTCAAAAAAAAATGAAGCATAATATGAAGATCAAGAATGAAACAAGGACTACAAAGACATTTATAATATAGTGGTGTTCAAAGCCATCAAGAGAAAATCAGAAGGTTGTCAGAAAACTGGGGAAAGAAAATAATCAAGAATGGAATTGGAGGCCAGGCACAGTGGCTCACATCTATAATCCTAGTACTTTGGGAGGTCAAGGCAGGTGGCTCACTTGAGGTCAGGAGTTCAAGACCAGCCTGGCCAACATGGCAAAACCGTGTCTCTACTAAAAATACAAAAACATTAGCCAGGTGTGGTGGCAGGTGCCTGTAATTCCAATTCCTCGGGAGGCTGAGGCAGGAGAATCACTTGAACCCGGGAGGTGGAGGTTGCATAAGCTGAGATCGTACCACTGCACTCCAGCCTGGGCGACTCTGTCTCAAAAAAAAAGGTAAGTAATTCTTCCCAAATTTATATATAGGTTCAATTCAACCCCAAAGAAAGTCTCAGCAAGTTATTTTATTAATACTAACAATATTTGTATGGAAATGCAAGGAACTAGGAAGAGCCAGGATCTTGCTGAAGAAAAAATGTGTTAAACCAGCTACTAGACGCTAAGATGTTTCACCAAGTGTGGTACTGGCACAACCAACCAACAGAACATAGCCCAAAAAACACACAGACATATATGTACACATAATTGATGACAAATATCACAATGTAAAACAGTGGGGAAAGGATGGTGTTTTCAAAAATAATTCTACATTAACCACATGAAAAAAGGAATCTGACATCTACCTCATACAGAAGTAGACACTCATTCCAATGAAAGAGATGTAAATGTGAATGCCAAAACAAGAAATATTTTAAAAGGTAACAAGAGTATCTTCATAACCTTGAAGTAGGAAAAGTCATCTAGACTAGTACACACCAGCAACAAATAAACGTAATAAACTAATCTAGGGATTGGTAAACTTCTTCTGTAAAAAATCAGACATTAAATATTTGGCCAGGCACGGTGGCTCACACCTGTAATCCCAGTGCTTTGGGAGGCCAAGGCAGGCGGATCACTTGAGGCCAGGAGTTTGAGACCAGCCTGGCCAAGTAAAACCCTGTCTCTACTAAAATACAAAATTAGCCAGGTGTGATGGCGCGTGCCTGTAATTTCAGCTACTTGGGAGACTTAGCCAGGAGAATCCCTTGGGCCCTGAAGGCAGAGGCTGCAGTGAGCCAAGATCGCACACTGCACCCTAGCCTGGGTGACAGTGAGACTCTCTCCAAAAAAAAAAAAAAAAAAAAAAAAAAAATCAGACATCATTAAATTTGGGGCTTTGCAGGCCAAAATGTTCCTGTCACAACTATTCAACTCTGCCACTGAAGCCAGATACTGTGGCTTATATGTAAATGAATGAATGAGCAGGGAGGTGTCAGGATTGTGAGGGGGACAAGACGGCAGCTTCAGGAGTGCTGGCAATGTTTGTTTTGACCTGTGTATTCATTATTTGTGCCACGGATTTGTAATAATTCATTAAGTTCTATATTTAAAATTTAGGGGGTTGTGTATCTATCTGCTACACATGTAGAAATAAGATTCATTAAAAATTAAAATACACAATCCTAGCACTTTGGGAGGCCAAGGTGGGGGATCACGAGGTCAGGAGACTGAGACCAGCCTGGCCAACATGGTGAAACCCCGTCTCTACTAAAAATACAAAAATTAGCTGGGTATGGTGGTGCGTGCCTATAATCCCAGCTACTCGGGAGGTTGAGGCAGGAGAATCACTTTAACCAAGGAGTCGAGGCAGGAGAATCACTTGAACCAGGGAGTCGGAGGTTGCAGTGAGCCAAGATCACACCACTGTGCTACAGCCTGGTGACAGAGCAAGACTCTGTATCAAAAAAAATAATAATAATAAAATACATTTTAATTTACCGGCTGGGTGCAGTGGCTCACGCCTGTAATCCCAGCACTTTGGGAGGCTGAGGAGAGCAGATCACGAGGTCAAGATATCAAGACCATCCTGGCCAACACGGTAAAACCCCGTCTCTACTAAAAATACAAAAATTAGCCAGGTGTGGTGGCGCATGCCTGTAGTCCCAGCTACTCGGGAGGCTGAGGCAAGAGAATCGCTTGAACCCGGGAGGCAGAAGTTTCAGTGAGCCAAGATCGCGCCACTGTACTCCAGAATGGCAAGAGAGCAAGATTCCGTCTCAAAAAAATAAAAAAATTAAAATTAAAATACATTTTAATTTACTGATCAAACACTACATCCAAAAGAAAACTGGAACCTGTGTGAAATAAAAATTAAAAAAGCAGTTTGACTCAATAGGCTGCACTCATTTCAGGGTTATCACTGGAAGCTTATTCACTATGGGTCCCTATGTTATGACCAAAAAAGGTATCTGCCAGGAAGTCTTTGTGCCTTCAGAGGAGTCAGTCTGTCTGTATCCAGTGTCTTCCTTTCTGCCATGGTTGTTGGAAACGTAAGAAACATACGAAGCTCAACTTATTGACTCTAACTTGGCCCTGCTATTGATCTGTTACTTTATATTTTCTGGGAAGTTCAATTTTTATCTATTACTAACTTCTCATCTTAACATATTGACTCTTGGCCAGACACGGTGCCTCACGCTTGTAATCCCAGCACTTTGGGAGACCAAGGCGGGCGGATTGACTGAGCTCAGGAGTTTGCGACCAGCCTAGGCAACACGGTGAAACCCTGTCTCTATTAAAACGCAAAAAATTAGCCAGGCGTGGCAGCATGCGCCTGCAGTCCCAGCTACTCGGGGGGCTGAGGCAGGAGAATTGCTTGAACCCGGGAGGCAGAGGTTGCAGTGAACCGAGATGGGGACATTGTACTCCAGCCTGGGTGACAGAGTGAGACTCCGTCTCACAAAAAAAAAAAAAAAAAAAAAACAAACACCATATCGACTCTTACAAATCTCACAAAGTCCACTGCAAAATAAAGTAGGGAATTAATAAACAACTTACCTTGTTCATTTTGTTCTGTTCTTGGAAAGACGGAGACAACTCTGAAGATACAGCTGAGTTAGAAAAAGAGGAATGGGGTCATGAAAGATTTGGCCTGCCTGGCAACTCCTGGATTCTTCCGCCCTAAGAAGCCATACACACCCACTAGGTAAAATGCTTCCTCTGGGAGAGTATCAATGTCCTCTGACACTTTGGAATAGGGGGTAGAAATGGTGGAAGAACACTTCGGAATAGGCGGTAGAAATGGTGAAAGAATAACTCCAACATAATTATGTAGCTCTTGGGCACAAGATTTTTTACCGGGTGAAAGTAAATATTTGCTTCCTAAGGATTTCAATCTCCCTCGGTGTTCACAAAAAAAAGTATAATGACAATATTGGCCAAACAAGTTAACAATATATTTAATGAAGGAACATTAACACTAAAACCATTGTAAAAAATAGGACTAAGCTATCTATTTTCCCAGTAATGTTACTTAACCTCTGGTGAGTGACTCCACAGAAAGCCATAAGCGGCAGTGCTTCAAAGAAAAAATCAGTTTTAATTTCTTCATCTAACTTTGTTGCTATTTCTCAAAGGGATATTTTAAACTTGCTTTGATGTGTGTGGAAAAGTAGACAGTACTGGCTTAGGGGTCAGGAGATGTGACTTAGTCTTCCCTACTAACTGTGATCCTGAACAAGTCAGTGACCTTAACAAACAAAAAAACAAAAAAAATCTTTTTCTTCTAACAAATGAGGCAAAATTAGGTAATTCTTTGTTTTTGTTTTTTTTTGAGACGGAGTTTCGCTCTTGTTGCCCAGTCTGGAGTGCAATAGTGCGATCTTGGCTACCTGTAACCTCCGCCTCCCGGGTTCAAGCAATTTTCCGCCTCAGTAGCTGGGATTACAGGCATGCGCCACCACGCCCGGCTACTTTTCGTATTTTTAGTAGAGACGGGGTTTCACCATGTTGGTCAGGCTGGTCTCGAATTTCTGACCTCAGGTGATCCACCCGCCTCGGCCTCCCAAAGTGCTGGGATTACAGGCGAGAGCCACCGCGCCAGGCCAAAATTAGGTAATTCTTGAAGATCTTTCCTGAGTGCAAGATCAAGTCAGGACAGAGGAACAGCAAATACCAAGATGCAGTGATGGACCTGACTGGAGGTCAGTTCGGAACCTAAAGAGGATGAATGCAATACGTGCAACCGAGTCTGCCGGTCTGGCGGGCGACTGCACCCGCCTTTCCCCGCCCACGTACCGCGGCGCCCTAGCACACGCGCACAGGCTAGACAAGAGAACTGCCCCTCCCGCAAGGCTCAGCGCGCGGACTGCGCAAGCGCACATGCCCTCCTCCGCGGCCCCCACAAATGGGGCGACACACGCTGCGTACCCTGCTCCGTACAGAGGCCGCGCCTTTGAGGAACCGGCCTAGCGTCGTGGCCCACACGCTGCAGCCCCGCCGTCCCCGCCTTCCCCTATGAGGTCCCCGGGCCTCCTCCCCACCACTTGGTACCGGCCCCCTGCCGCCCGCCCCAGGAGTCGCGCGGGGCTCCCTCTCTCTCCCTGCCCAACCCACTGGGGCTTACCCCACTCCCTCGTCGGGTTGCATTCGCCATAGAAAAGCGCGTAGACCCTTGAAATCCCGGGACCGCCTCCCACGCAAAACCTGAGAAAAACAAAAGGAAAGGCGGAAACGCAGACGTAGCCGGCGGACGAGGCATGCGCAGAGCCCACGCGCACAGCTTGATGCTGTTGGCGCCCTACCTGGAAACTACCTTTCCCGTGAGGCCGGGCGAGCAGCCCTTCGGATTGGTAGAGAAGTGCCCCGCTAGGCAGTGGGCAGATGCGGTCTGAGTTGGTGCTGGAACTGCCTGCAGCCCTGGCTTTCCCCGGGGCACTCCAAAGGGATATACTGCGGGGGAGGTCTGTGGGCAGTTTAGACGCAGACGCTCAAGGAAAGGACCGCTGCGTGTCATTTTCCGTTTAAATGTTAGGAAATAGATCTCGTCCATACAGTTTAAAAGACTTTCATGCTATCAGCGGTTCTTTGGGAGCGGGGGAAAAAAGGGGAAGGTGCGGCCGGAAAGCTACTTCATCAAAATGGTTAAAGCAATAAACGGAAATTGTAGCTCAGTAAGGAACTAGACATAATCTGAAAGAAGAAAATAAATGTCACGTATGATTTCCTCTGTGACATTAAAATTGCTTGACTAAATGGAAATACTTTTAGTCTATCTGTACCTTTCTTAGGAAGACAAAATTCCTAAAAGAATATCAACAAATTTTTGTTATGTATTTTTTCTCTTTGATCTTTAGTGTATTCTGTACTTCACAAAAGCATTCTCAACTTTATCTAGAATAAGTAAAAACCCAAATGAACAGCCAGTATACATTTTAAAAAGCAGGAAAAAAATGCCTAAGGAATATCTGTATCTATCTACATCTATCTATATAATATTGCTCTATTCAAAGTAGTTTGGCACCTGCTCCATGGAAATAAGACAGCTTAAGAGTATTCTTTAATGTGTAGTAGATACAGCATTTCAAAACAGTGAGGGAAAGAATGGAGTATTCCAAAGAGCATGTCATTCCGAGCAATTTGGAATGTAGAGATATACATAGATCACACATGATAAAATCTCACATGTATACAATACTTAAACATTTAAACCACTAAAAGAGTAAAAATTTTTGAAAATTGACAAGTGGACCAGGCACAGTGGCCCACACCTGTAACCCCAGCACTTTGGGAGGCGGAGGCAGGAGGACCACTTGATCCTTGGAGTTCAAGACCAGCCTGGGCACTATAGTGGGACCCCCATCTCTACAAAAAACTAAAAATAACAATTAGCCTGGCATGTAGGCAGGCACCTGTGATCCCAGCTACTCAGGAGGCTGAGGTTGGAGGATCACTTGAGCCCCGGGCTGCAGTAAGCCATCATGGCACCACTGCACTCCAGCATGGGTGACAAAGTGAGACCTTGTCTCAAAAAAAACAACAAGGGATGTGATGCCAAAGACAGAAACTATAAATTTAATATCAGTCACATTTTATAATAGAGAAAAATAAGCAACTCCATTCCAGCAAAACTTTTTAAGTCCATTATGAGAATTGAAAGTAATGCAAATATGGCCAGGCGTGGTGGCTCACGCCTGTAATCCCAGCATTTTGGGAGGCTGAGGCGGGTAGATCATGAGGTCAAGAGATCGAGACTATCCTGCCCAACATGGTGAAACCCCTTCTGTACTAAAAATACAAAAATTAGGTGGGGCGTTGTGGTGCACACCTGTAGTCTCAGCTACTCAGGAGGCTGAGGCAGGAGAATCGTTTGAACCCAGGATGGGGAGGTTGCAGTGAGCCAAGATTGCGCTACTGCACTCCAACCTGGTGACAGAGCGACACTGCGTCTCAAAAAAAAAAAAAAAGAAAGAAATGCAAATATTTGAGTAAAAATACGTGAAACATTTATTGAAATTTACATTTTTTAATTTATGCTTTATATACTGAAAAGTTCTTTATTTGATGCATAATTTTATGAGTTTTGACAATGCATAGATTTGTGTAACCACCACTACAAGCAAGACACAAAATTGTTTCATCTCTGTCAATAAAATTCCTCCATGCTACCTTTTTAAAGTCAGATTCTCTCACCACTCTTAGCCTCTTGCAACCGCTATCTATTCTTTGGGCCTATATGTTTGCCTTTTTTAGGATATTATATAAATGGAATCACACAGTATGTAGTTGTTGAATCTGGTATCTCTTAACACAATGCAATTGAGATCCTTCTGTGTTGTTTTGTGTACCAATACCTCTGTTTGCTTTTCCTGCTGTTAGAAACAAGTGCCCGGTGCCACAGAGAAAACCAGCGCGTAGGCAGAAAATTCCTCAGCAAGGCAAATTTACTTCTGCAGAAGGGTGCAGCTTGTGCCAGTCACGATCACAAGAGTACACTGAGAGGGGTAGGGCAGGGGATTTTATCCCTGATACAGTTCCTAGCACTTCTGTGTCCCTTCCCCATTGGCTGGGGTTGGACCTCACAGTCTAAGCTAACTCTATTGGCTAAGGTTTAAAATTGAATAGGGTCTATTAGGCGGGAAGGAAGGAGGACTGTCCATTACTAGGTGGGAAGGCATATCTGGACTTGTCTGGGCACGGCAAAGGTGGGAAGTCATATCTGGACTTGTCTGTGCACAGCAAAGGCAGGAAGGTTGTTTACAGAACAGGTAGCTAGGAGACAAGGAAGTACAAGGAAGTTGGTCTTAAGCAACAAAGAACAGGGAACTTAAGCTTTTTGAAGAAGAATTTATCATCTCTGACATTGCTGACTCCTATTTCTTGGTACGGATTTACCAGTTTCCTTATCCATTCCCCAGTCCAGGGATATGCTAGTTGTTTCCAACTGGGGGAAATTATAAATAAATAAAATATTTTTAAATTTAAGATTTGAAAAGATTGAAAAAAACACTAATATACACCTATGGTATGGGCTTGGGGAAATGTTTATTCCCAGTGTATTAGTCATGATTCTCAAGAGAAACAGAACCAATAGGAGGGAGTAAGGCAGAAAGAGACATTGGTGGTGAGAAATTGGTTCACATGATTATGGAGGCTAAGAAGTCCCACAGTCTGTCATTTGCAAGCTAGAGATCCAGGAATGCTGGTGGTGTAATTCTGGTATGAGTCCAGAGGCCTGAGAACCAGGGAAGCCAATGGTGTAAATCCCAGTCTAAGGACAGGAGAGGATGAGATGAAATGTCCCAACTCAACAATGAGGCAGAAAATATGGGTGAATTCCTCCTTCCTCTGCCTTGTGTTCTATCCAGACCCTCAGTGGATTGAATCATGTCCATACACATAAGGAGGGCAATCTGCTTTACTGAGTCCACTGATTCAAATGCTAATCTAATCTGTAAACACCCTCACAGATGCACCCATAAGTAATGTTTAATCTGGACACCCTGTGACCAAGTCAAGTTTACCATCACAGCTATTCTTTTTTTTTTTTTTTTTTTTTTTGAGACAGAGTTTCACTCTTGTTGCCCAGGCTGGAGTGCAATGGCATGATCTTGGCTCACTGCAACCTCCACCTCCCGGGTTCAAGTGAGTCTCCTGCCTCCACCTCCTGAGTAGCTGGGATTACAGGCATGCGCTACCATGCCCGGCTAATTTTTTGTATTTTTACTAGAGATGGGGTTTCTCCATGTTGTTCAGGCTGGTCTTGAACTCCCGACCTCAGGTGACCCACCAGCCTCTGCTTCCCAAAGTGCTGGGATTACAGGCATGAGCCACCACACCTGGCCACGGCTATTCATTTTTATTGTGAATTTGATTAACTCTGTCTGATTTTTTGCCTCTCATTTTTTCTGTTTTTGTACCTTTTTCCCTTTTATATTTAGTTGACACCTAATAATTGTGAATATTTAGGGGATATAGACTGATATTACAGTCAATCATATTTACTCTACAGGGCTGTGGAACACCAGAGCTCATTTCTTCTATCTAGCTGTAATTTTGTGTTCATGTACCAAACTTTCCCCATCCTTCCCTCCCCACTATCCCCTCACTCTCTAATGCCCATAATTCTACTCACTACTTCTATGAGCCCCAATTTTTTTAGCTCCCAAATATAAGTGAAAATGTGCAGTAATTATCTTTCTGTGTCTGACTTATTTCACTTAATGACATCCAGGCCCATCCATGTTGTTGCAAATGACAGGATTTCATTTTTATAGCATAATAATATTCCACTGTGTTTATATACCATATTTTCTTTTTCCGTTCATCTGTTGGTGAACATTTAGGTTGATATTATATCTTGGCTATTGTGAATAGTGCTGCTATAAACACAGGAGTGCAGGTATCCCTTAGAAATATGGATTTCCCTTCCTTTGCATATGTGCCCAAGCAGTGTGATTGTTGGATTGTATGGTAGTTCTATTTCATTTTTTGAGAAACCTCCACATTGTTTTCTATAATGGTTGTACTAATTTACATTCCCACCAATAGTGTCTAAGAGTTCCCTTTTCTGTGCATCCTTACCAGCACTTATTTTTTATATTTTTTATAATAGACATTCTAACGAGGGTGAGATGATGCCTCATTGTGATTTTGATTGGCATTTCCCTGATGATTAGTGATGTTGGACATTTTTCATATACTTATTTGCCATTTGTATGTCTTCTTTTAAGAAATATCTATTCAGATCCTTTGCCCACATTTTAATCAGATTACTTGTTTTTGTTTTTGTTTTTGCTGTCAAGTTTTTTGAGTTATTTGTATATTCTGGATATTAGTCCCTTTTGGATAAATAGTTTGCAAGTATTCTCTACTGTTCTACAGGTTGTCTCTTCACTCTCATAATTGTTTCCTTTGCTGTGCAACTTTTTAGTTTAATACAGTCCCATTTCTTTTTGTTGTTGTTGTCTGTGCTTTTATTTATTTGTTTGTTTATTTATTTTGAGACATGCTGTCACCCTGTTGCACAGGCTGGAATGCAATGGTGTGATTATAGCTCACTAAAGCCTCTACCTCCTGGGCTCAAGTGATCCTCCTGCCTCAGCCTCCCAAGCAGCTGGGATTACAGGTGCCCACCACCATGCCTGGCTAAACTTTGTATTTTTAGTAGAGATGGGGTTTCACCATGTTGCACAGGCTGGTCTCGAACTCCTGTGCTCAGGAATCTGCCCACCTCACCTTCCCAAAGTGCTAGGATTACAGGTGTATGCCACTGTGCCTGGCCTGTCTGTGATTTTTTTTTTTTTTTTGAGATGGAATTTTGCTCTGTTGCCAGGCTGGAGTGCATTGGCATGAACTCGGCTCACTGAAATCTCCACCTCCCAGGTTCAAGCAATTCTCCTGCCTCAGCCTCCCAAGTAGCTGGAATTACAGGTGTGTACCACCACACCCAGCTAATTTGTGTGTGTGTGTGTGTGTGTGTGTGTGTGTGTGTGTGTATTTTTAGTAGAGATAGGGTTTCACCATGTTGGCCTCAATCTCTTGACCTCATGATCCACCCACTTCGGCCTCCCAAAGTGCTGAGAGTGAGTCACCATGCCTGGCCCTGTCTGTGCTTTTGTTTTTTTGTTTTGTTTTGTTTTGTTTTGTTTTGAGATGGAGTCTCGCTCAGTTGCCCAGGCTGAGTGCAGTGGCCCAATCTCAGCTCACTGCAAGCTCCGCCTTCTGGGTTCATGTCATTCTCCTGCATCAGCCTCCCAAGTAGCAGGGACTACAGGCGCCCACCACTATGCCTGGCTAATTTTTTTGTATTTTTAGTAGAGACGGGGTTTCACCATGTTAGCCACGATGGTCTCGATCTCTTGACCTCCCAATCCACCCGTCTCAGCTTCCCAAAGTGCTGGGATTACGGGTATGAGCCACCACGCCTGGCCCCTGTCTGTGCTTTTTAAATCTTAGTCATAAAATTTTTGCCTAGACCAATGCCCTGAAGAGTTTTCTCTAGGTTTTCTTCTAGTATTTTTACAATTTTTGGTCTTATGTTTAAGTCTTTAATCCATTTTGAGTTGATTTTTGTACATGGTGATAGGTAGGGATCAAGTTTTGTTTTTCTGCATATGGATATGCAGTTTTCCCAGCACAATTTATTGAGCAGGGGGCCCTTTACACAATGTACATTCTTGGCAAGAACCTCATTTTAATTAAACTTTAAAGGACTTATAATATTGTAATTCCACTTATATAACTTTATAATAATAAAATAAATTATTGTTGATTTGTGCAAGTATATTTACATCAATCAGGTTTCAAATGGTAAAAGAGAGATCACTCAAGTATTACAACTGAGAGAATTTGATGAAGATTATTTAAAGCAGGTGTTTTAATGGTAAAAATGAACACTGAGCTAACACGGGATGACAACATCAGGTAGCAGCTACCTGTCTAGGGCTGGGAAACAGTGGAAAAGATTAAGGTCCTCAGAACTTAGAAACTCACAAGAGTGGCCCCAGAGAGCTACAATTAGACAGACAGCGGAGGCAGGGGCAGTGCCAGGATCATGCTGGTACCTCCAGTATTCAGAGAAGAGCTTTGCAGAACTGGAATTCAGGTGCTGTGCAGTTCCTATGTGAACTTCCAGAAAGGCATGTTGAGGCATATTGTGTTCACCTCTGAGAGTCATTACTGTCCAGCTAGTGCTGGTAGCCAGAGTGGGATCAATGTGGAGAGTTCTGGGAGAACTAAAAGAAGCTGAAGGGTGATCAAAATGTTCTGGAATTAGATAGTGGTGATGGTTGTACAACTTTGTGACTATAATTATTATTGAATTACACACTTTTAAGGGAGTAATTTTTGTATGTAAATTGTATCCCAAATTTACAAATACTTTTTTTTTTTTTTGAGACGGAGTCTAGCTCTGTCACCAGGCTGGAGCGCAGTGGCATGATCTCAACTCACTGCAACCTCCAATGAAGAAGGAATTCATGAATTTTGCAAGTATAATCAAAGACCACCAAGAAATTTTTACTTTTTCCTTCTAAGCTAAGTGTAGTATAGCCCCCACCCCCATAGTCTAAGTTAGAGAAGAATACTAACTGCCTGGTTTTCCTTCTGTGCTCAGCAAGCCTTATCTGTACTCACCAGTTTCCCATTCCTTGGGGCTCAGTGAATTCCTGCTTCACCTCCCTAGTGCAGCTGCAAAGTTACAAGGTTGATAAGTATATGTTACAGAAACATTGTTTCCCAAGGATGTGGAACAAGTAGTATAGGTAAATGTAAAAGACTGATCAACTGCCTTTGTTCTCACTTCTGTAAGTACACTTCCTGCATCACATAGCTCCTGGCCACTGGAAGCTTAAAAGGAGGCTGCATTCTTTGTCCAGGGTTCAGACTTTCCTGGACACTAGTCCTACTGAGCCAGGTGATCAACTTAATAAAGGCTTTCCTGAATTCTGTTCGGTCTCTCCCATCTCTGATTGTCCCGTAACATATCTGGGGGCCTGTCTGGGATTGGAGATGGCAGGTTTCTGTCTCCTTTGCCTGTGGGCTAGAGCCACAGGATGCAGGAGATTTGGGACCCTTGGTGCCACTGGGTAAGACTTAGCCCAGAAGGAGAATGGCTCTCCTGTTTATTGGAGCCTTCCCCTGACAGTGCAAACGCAACCGACTCGGGAGTTGCGGGACAGTCACAGGAGCAGCACAGAGGCAGACTACTGAACTGCGGTAAGGTTGGGCCCTGGAAAAGTCCGTCCCATAAGGACAGAAGGGGAGCTTGATCACCTTCCTGGGAATGACCACTTATCCACCCCAGAGTGGCTGGGGGTGGCAGGAGTGGCCTACCAATTTGGATGAAGCTTGTGTCCCCACTAACAAGTGAAAGTAGTTCACTGGATCTGGAACTCCTCTCTGGTTTTCACTTACCATCTTCAAACTGGGTCAATCTACTCTACCACCCAGGGTTCTGAAAATAAAATGTAGGAGCCCCTAGCCCAAGGCCTACCTGGAATATTGTAATTCCTCATTAAATGTGCTTTAAGTATTATATCAGGTTCTCCAGAGAAACTAAGTGTGTGTGTGCATGTGTGTGTGTGTGTTTGTATACTTGCATATATACATGTGTATATATTTACATATGTGTATATATATGAGAGAGATTTATCATAAGGAATTGGCTTATGCAATCATGCAATTATGGAGGTTGACAACTCTCAAGATCTGAAGGATGATGAGTCCATGTTTGGGGACCCAGGAGAGCCAGTTGTGTAGTTCCAGGCTGAAGGCCTGCAAGCATGAGGCCCAGGAAGAGCAGATCTTTCAATTCAAGTCCTAAGGCAGGAAAAAGCTAATGTGTCAATAAGAAGGCTTGTTTTATTCAATCCTTCAACTGACCAGATGAGGCCCACTCACATCAGGAAGACAGTCTACTCAGCCTACCAGTTATGTTTTCTCTTGTTTTAGTGGGGGCTTTTGCTGTTTTTCTTTGAGGGGGGGAGTTATTTTTAGCATAACTAAGCTTTTTATGTTTTTAACTTTGTTTGATTTTAGATTCAGGAGTACATGTGCATGTTTGCTACATGGGCATATTGTGAACTGGTGGGGATTGGACTTTTAGTGTACCCATTACCTAAATAGTCAACATTATCCAAATAGTGAGTCCTCACCCCTTTCCACCCTCCCCCCTTTTGGAGTCCACAGTTGTCTATTATTTCCATCTTTGTGTCAATTTGTACCGATTGTTTAGCTCCCACTTATAAGTGTGAATATGCAGTATTTGGTTTTCTGTTTCTGAGTTACTCTGCTTATGATAATGGCCTCCAGCTCCATCCATATTGTGGCAAAGGACATAATTTCATTCTTTTTAAAGGCTGGGTAATATTCTGTGGCACATATGTACCATATTTTATTTATTCAGTCAACTGTTGATGGACACTTAGCTTGGTTCCATAATTTTGATATCGTGAATAGTGCTGCTAGGAATATATAAATGCTGGGTTTTATTTGTTTGTTTTTGAGACAGGGTCTCACTCTGTCACCCAGGCTCGAGTGCAGTGGTGCTTTCCTGGCTCACTGTAACCTCAACCTCCTGGGCTCAAGGGATCCTTCTGCCTCAATCTACCAAGTAGCTGGGACGACAGGCACATGCCATCACACTTGGCTAATTTTTGTATATTTTGTAGAGATAGGATTTTGCTATGTTACCCAGGCTGGTCATGAACTGCTGGGCTCAAGGGATCTGCCCCCCTCAGCCTCCCAAATTGCTAGGATAATAGGCTTGAGCTACACTTTTTTTTTTTTTCTGAGATGGAGTCTTGCTCTCTCGCCCAGGCTGGAGTGCAGTGGCTTGATCTCAGCTCACTGCAACCTCTGCCTCCTGGGTTCAAACACTTCTCCTGCCTCAGCCTCCCAAGTAGCTGGGACTACAGGTGCCTGCCAACATGCGCAGCTAACTTTTTTTTTTTTTTATATACTTTAAGTTTTAGGGTACACGTGCACATTGTGCAGATTAGTTACATATGTATACATGTGCCATGCTGGTGCGCTGCACCCACTAACTCGTCATCTAGCATTAGGTATATCTCCCGATGCTATCCCTCCCCCCTCCCCCGACCCCACAACAATCCCCAGAGTGTGATATTCCCCTCCCTGTGTCCATGTGATCTCATTGTTCAATTCCCACCTATGAGTGAGAATATGCGGAGTTTGGCTTTTTGTTCTTGCGATAGTTTACTGAGAATGATGATTTCCAATTTCATCCATGTCCCTACAAAGGACATGAACTCATCATTTTTTATGGCTGCATAGTATTCCATGGTGTATATGTGCCACATTTTCTTAATCCAGTCTATCATTGTTGGACATTTGGGTTGGTTCCAAGTCTTTGCTGTCGTGAATAATGCCGCAATAAACATACGTGTGCCTGTGTCTTTATAGCAGCATGATTTATAGTCCTTTGGGTATATACCCAGTAATGGGATGGCTGGGTCAAATGGTATTTCTAGTTCTAGATCCCTGAGGAATTGCCACACTGACTTCCACAATGGTTGAACTAGTTTACTGTCCCACCAACAGTGTAAAAGTGTTCCTGTTTCTCCACATCCTCTCCAGCACCTGTTGTTTCCTGACTTTTTAATGATTGCCATTCTAACTGGTGTGAGATGGTATCTCATTGTGGTTTTGATTTGCATTTCTCTGATGGCCAGTGATGATGAGCATTTTTTCATGTGTTTTTTGGCTGCAAAAAATGTCTTCTTTTGAGAAGTGTCTGTTCATGTCCTTCGCCCACTTTTTGATGGGGTTGTTTGTTTTTTTCTTGTAAATTTGTTTGAGTTCATTGTAGATTCTGGATATTAGCCCTTTGTCAGATGAGTAGGTTGTGAAAATTTTCTCCCATTTTGTAGGTTGCCTGTTCACTCTGATGGTAGTTTCTTTTGCTGTGCAGAAGCTCTTTAGTTTAATTAGATCCCATTTGTCAATTTTGTCTTTTGTTGCCATTGCTTTTGGTGTTTTAGACATGAAGTCCTTGCCCATGCCTATGTCCTGAATGGTAATGCCTAGGTTTTCTTCTAGGTTTTTATGGTTTTAGGTCTAACGTTTAAGTCTTTAATCCATCTTGAATTGATTTTTGTATAAGGTGTAAGGAAGGGATCCAGTTTCAGCTTTCTACATATGGCTAGCCAGTTTTCCCAGCACCATTTATTAAATAGGGAATCCTTTCCCCATTGCTTGTTTTTCTCAGGTTTGTCAAAGATCAGATAGTTGTAGATATGTGGCGTTATTTCTGAGGGCTCTCTTCTGTTCCATTGATCTATATCTCTGTTTTGGTACCAGTACCATGCTGTTTTGGTTACTGTAGCCTTGTAGTATAGTTTGAAGTCAGGTAGTGTGATGCCTCCAGCTTTGTTCTTTTGGCTTAGGATTGACTTGGCGATGCGGGCTCTTTTTCAGTTCCATATGAACTTTAAAGTAGTTTTTTCCAATTCTGTGAAGAAAGGCATTGGTAGCTTGATGGGGATGGCATTGAATCTGTAAATTACCTTGGGCAGTATGGCCATTTTCACGATATTGATTCTTCCTACCCATGAGCATGGAATGTTCTTCCATTTGTTTGTATCCTCTTTTATTTCCTTGAGCAGTGGTTTGTAGTTCTCCTTGAAGAGGTCCTTCACATCCCTTGTAAGGTGGATTCCTAGGTATTTTATTCTCTTTGAAGCAATTGTGAATGGGAGTTCACTCATGATTTGGCTGTCTGTCTGTTGTTGGTGTATAAGAATGCTTGTGATTTTTGTACATTAATTTTTTTTATCCTGAGACTTTGCTGAAGTTCCTTATCAGCTTAAGGAGATTTGGGGCTGAGACAATGGGGTTTTCTAGATATACAATCATGTCATCTGCAAACAGGGACAATTTGACTTCCTCTTTTCCTAATGGAATACCCCTTTATTTCCTTCTCCTGCCTAATTGCCCTGGCCAGAAATTCCAACACTATGTTGAATACGAGTGGTGATAGAGGGCATCCCTGTCTTGTGCCAGTTTTCAAAAGGAATGCTTCCAGTTTTTGCCCATTCAGTATGATATTGGCTGTGGGTTTGTCATAGATAGCTCTTATTATTTTGAGATACGTCCCATCAATACCTAATTTATTGAGAGTTTTTAGCATGAAGGGTTGTTGAATTTTGTCAAAGGCTTTTTCTGCATCTATTGAGATAATCATATGGTTTTTGTCTTTGGCTCTGTTTATATGCTGGATTACATTTATTGATTTGCGTATATTGAACCAGCCTTGCATTCCAGGGATGAAGCCCACTTGATCATGGTGGATAAGCTTTTTGATGTGTTGCTGGATTCGTTTTGCCAGTTTTTTATTGAGGATTTTTGCATCAATGTTCATCAAGGATATTGGTCTAAAATTCTCTTTTTTTGTTGTGTCTCTTCCTGGCTTTGGTATCAGAATGATGCTGGCCTCATAAAATGAGTTAGGGAGGATTCCCTCTTTTTCTATTGATTGGAATAGTTTCAGAAGGAATGGTACCAGTTCCTCCTTGTACCTCTGGTAGAATTTGGCTGTGAATCCATCTGGTCCTGGACTCTTTTTGGTTGGTAAGCTATTGATTATTGCCACAATTTCAGCTCCTGTTATTGGTCTATTCAGAGATTCAACTTCTTCCTGGTTTAGTCTTGGGAGAGTGTATGTGTCCAGGAATTTATCCATTTCTTCTAGATTTTCTAGTTTATTTGCATAGAGGTGTTTGCAGTATTCTCTGATGGTAGTTTGTATTTCTGTGGGATCGGTGGTGATATCTCCTTTATCATTTTTTATTGCATCTATTTGATTCTTCTCTCTTTTTTTCTTTATTAGTCTTGCTAGCAGTCTATCAATTTTGTTGATCCTTTCAAAAAACCAGCTCCTGGATTCATTAATTTTTTGAAGGGTTTTTTGTGTCTCTATTTCCTTCAGTTCTGCTCTGATTTTAGTTATTTCTTGCCTTCTGCTAGCTTTTGAATGTGTTTGCTCTTGCTTTTCTAGTTCTTTTAATTGTGATGTTAGGGTGTCAATTTTGGATCTTTCCTGCTTTCTCTTGTGGGCATTTAGTGGTATAAATTTCCCTCTACACACTGCTTTGAATGTGTCCCAGAGATTATGGTATGTTGTGTCTTTGTTCTCATTGGTTTCAAAGAACATCTTTATTTCTGCCTTCATTTCGTTATGTACCCAGTAGTCATTCAGGAGCAGGTTGTTCAGTTCCCATGTAGTTGAGTGGTTTTGAGTGAGATTCTTAATCCAGAGTTCTAGTTTGATTGCACTGTGGTCTGAGAGATAGTTTGTTATAATTTCTGTTCTTTTACATTTGCTGAGGAGAGCTTTACTTCCCAGTATGTGGTCAATTTTGGAATAGATGTGGTGTGGTGCTGAAAAAAATGTATATTCTGTTGATTTGTGGTGGAGAGTTCTGTAGATGTCTGTTAGGTCCGCTTGGTGCAGAGCTGACTTCAATTCCTGGGTATCCTTGTTAACTTTCTGTCTCGTTGATCTGTCTAATGTTGACAGTGGGGTGTTAAAGTCTCCCATTATTATTGTGTGGGAGTCTAAGTCTCTTTGTAGGTCACTCAGGACTTGCTTTATGAGTCTTGGTGCTCCTGTATGGGCTGCATATGTATTTAGGATAGTTAGCTCTTCTTGTTGAATTGATCCCTTTACCATTATGTAATGGCCTTCTTTGTCTCTTTTGATCTTTGTTGGTTTAAGGTCTGTTTTATCAGAGACTAGAATTGCAACCCCTGCCTTTTTTTTGTTTTCCATTGGCTTGGTAGATCTTCCTCCATCCTTTTATTTTGAGCCTATGTGTGTCTCTGCACGTGAGATGGGTTTCCTGAATACAGCACACTGATGGTTCTTGACTTTTTATCCAATTTGCCAGTCTGTGTCTTTTAATTGGAGCATTTAGTCCATTTACATTTAAAGTTAATATTGTTATGTGTGAATTTGATCCTGTCATTATGATGTTAGCTGGTGATTTTGCTCGTTAGTTGATGCAGTTTCTTCCTCGTCTCAATGGTCTTTACATTTTGGCATGATTTTGCAGTGGCTGGTACCGGTTGTTCCTTTCCATGTTTAGTGCTTCCTTCAGGAGCTCTTGTAAGGCAGGCCTGGTAGTGACAAAATCTCTCAGCATTTGCTTGTCTGTAAAGGATTTTATTTCTCCTTCACTTATGAAGCTTAGTTTGGCTGGATATGAAATTCTGGGTTGAAAATTCTTTTCTTTAAGAATGTTGAATATCGGCCCCCACTCTCTTCTGGCTTGTAGGGTTTCTGCCAAGAGATCTGCTGTTAGTCTGATGGGCTTCCCTTTGAGGGTAACCTGACCTTTCTCTCTGGCTGCCCTTAACATTTTTTCCTTCATTTCAACTTTGGTGAATCTGACAATTATGTGTCTTGGAGTTGCTCTTCTCGAGTAGTATCTTTGTGGAGTTCTCTGTATTTCCTGAATCTGAATGTTGGCCTGCCTTGCTAGATTGGGGAAGTTCTCCTGGATAATATCCTGCAGCGTGTTTTCCAACTTGGCTCCCTTCTCCCCGTCACTTTCAGGTACACCAGTCAGACGTAGATTTGGTCTTTTCACATAGTCCCATATTTCTTGGAGGCTTTGCTCATTTCTTTTTATTCTTTTTTCTCTAAACTTCCCTTCTCGCTTCATTTCATTCATTTCATCTTCCATTGCTGATACCTTTTCTTCCAGCTGATCGCATCGGCTCCTGAGGCTTCTGCATTCTTCCCATAGTTCTCGAGCCTTGGTTTTCAGCTCCATTAGCTCCTTTAAGCACTTCTCTGTATTGGTTATTCTAGTTATACATTCTTCTAAATTTTTTTCAAAGTTTTCAACTTCTTTGCCTTTGGTTTGAATGTCCTGCCATAGCTCAGAGTAATTTGATCGTCTGAAGCCTTCTTCTCTCAGCTCGTCAAAGTCATTCTCCATCCAGCTTTGTTCCGTTGCTGGTGAGGAACTGCATTCCTTTGGAGGAGGAGAGGCGCTCTGCTTTGTAGAGTTTCCAGTTTTTCTGTTCTGTTTTTTCCCCATCTTTGTGGTTTTATCTACTTTTGGTCTTTGATGATGGTGATGTACAGATGGGTTTTTGGTGTGGATGTCCTTTGTGTTTGTTAGTTTTCCTTCTAACAGACAGGACCCTCAGCTGCAGTTCTGTTGGAATACCCTGCCGTGTGAGGTGTCAGTGTGCCCCTGGTTGGGGGTGCCTCCCAGTTAGGCTGCCTGGGGGTCAGGGGTCAGGGACCCACTTGAGGAGGCAGTCTGCCCGTTCTCAGATCTCCAGTTGCGTGCTGGGAGAACCACTGCTCTCTTCAAAGCTGTCAGGGACATTTAAGTCTGCAGAGGTTACTGCTGTCTTTTTGTTTGTGTGTGCCCTGCCCCCAGAGGTGGAGCCTACAGAGGCAGGCAGGCCTCCTTGAGCTGTGGTGGGCTCCACCCACTTTGAGCTTCCCGAACTTCCCGGCTTCTTTGTTTACCTAATCAAGCCTGGGCAATGGCGGGCGCCCCTCCCCCAGCCTCGCTGCCGTCTTGCAGTTTGATCTCAGACTGCTGTGCTAGCAATCAGCGAGACTCCGTGGGCGTAGGACCCTCCGAGCCAGGTGCAGGATATAATCTCATGGTGTGCCATTTTTTAAGCCTGTTGGAAAAGCGCAGTATTCGGGTGGGAGTGACCCGATTTTCCAGGTGCTGTCCGTCACCCCTTTCTTTGACTTGGAAAGCAAACTCCCTGACCCCTTGCGCTTCCCAAATGAGGCAATGCCTTGCCCTGCTTCGGCTCGCACCCACTGACCTGCGCCCACTGTCTGGCACTCCCTAGTGAGATGAACCCGGTACCTCAGATGGAAATGCAGAAATCACCCGTCTTCTGCGTCGCTCACGCTGGGAGCTGTAGACCGGAGCTGTTCCTATTCAGCCATCTTGGCTCCTCCCAGGCCATTTCTTTTTTTTTTTTTTTTTTTTAGTAGAGACGTGTTAGTCATGATGGTCTCAATCTCCTGACCTCGTGATCCATCCACCTCAGCCTCCCAAAGTGCTAGGATTACAGGAGTGAAAAACAGTGCCCAGACTAATTTTTGTCTTTTTTTGGTAGAGACAGGGTTTCACTATGTTGGCCAGGCTAGTCTCAAACTCCTGACCTTGTGATCCACCCGCCTTGGCCTCCCAAAGTGCTGGGATTACAGGCATGAGTCACGGCGCCCAGCCGCTTTTTTATGTAATGTCTTCTTTTCCTTTAGGTAGATACCCAGTACTGGGATTGCTGGTTCTATTTTCAGTTCTTTGAGAAACCTCCACACTGAGTTCTTTAGAGGTTTATACTCCCACCAACAGTATATAAGTGTTACCTTTTCTCTGCAACCATGCCAACATCCATTCTTTTTTACTTTTTTTTTTTTTTTTTTAAGACTAGTCAAGTGCAGTAGTGAGAAGGGGAGAAAAAATAGAACCAGGAGTTCAGTCTATAACTGACTGGGAACAATCAGTTGAGATAACTCAGTACCTTCAGACCAGCCTTGACTTTTTAGTAATAGCCATTCTGCCAGTCAGCTGGTTTAAATGTTAATCTCATTCAGAAACTCCCTTACAGACACATCCAGAATATCTGGGCACCCTGTGACCAAGTTAACACATAAAATTAATCATCACAAATATTAACCCTCATTGTTGTGCATAGGAGGCATCTGAGCCCAGAAAAGCAAAGTGAGATCACAGAGCACTCACTTACAAACTGGAACTAGCACCCCAGTTCCCTAATGAGGCCCCATTCATTGCTGCACAGGGACAACCTCCCAAGATGTGAAGGCTAATCCAAGTAGGCATGCAGAGACCTGGAATCCAATTCCCACAAACCCTGGCCCCACTCCCATCTGTGACTCCATTTGGGATCCTTAATTCGTTGACCATCTTTTCTGTTACCTGGAGTATGTCCTAGAGCCACGTTGGTGCCAGCCATGTCTACATCAGTGTTTTGAGCTGCAACAACTTGAATATGTATTCTGAACCCCCTCCCTGCTGCTTGGAGATCTTGAATTCCTTGTAGGAGGAAAAAGGGATGACTTGGTGATGAAATTCTTAGAATATGCTTGAGGTTATAACCCCTCATCCAGCTGGGGGATGACTTTGAAAGGTGGGACGCTAAGAACGAAGTTGTTAATGACAGGTCCAGAGTCTGAAAGGTGGGTAGCAACCATTGCCTCCCAACTCCCTTAAATAAAAGGACTGCAGGCCTCATTCCCAGAGAGGCCTTTTACTTCCAGGAAAAGCAGCCCCTCTTACCAGGATCTCATTCACACCTATTCCCCCTGAGCAAAAGGGGCTTGCTGGCTGCTGCAATCTGCCTTGCTCCCACAAACACAGTGGTAGAGCCCCAGAGGACTTGCAGCCTCAGAAGAGAGACTGGAAAGATGAGGGGACTATGGCAGCCTCAGAACAGCCACAAAGACTAACTCCTGAACATGTCGGTGGTGGGAACAACAGGTTCAATGTGGACAGTGGTACAATACAGTAACATACAATGATCATGCCTTCACTTCTCTTATTTTCTGGAATATATAAATGGCTATGGGACTTATGCTTTTAGCCAAGATGGAGTAACAGGAACCAAATTTATCCTCCCGTCTGAAAGGACTCGAATAGCAGACAAAATGTTGGAAATGATGGCGCACCAGACCATGGACATCAGGCAGTTGAAGGACAGTGTTCCTGAGAGACAGGAATCAAGTGAGGTGTGCCTCCGACTGCCCCAGCTTACACAGACTGCCCCAGCTTATAGCGTGAGACATTCCAGGCAGTGGCATGGGGATGGGAGCCCCAGGCAGAGCCCAGAGCTCTTCCTCGTTAAAGGAAATGAAGCTGGGGCCAGGTGCAGTGGCTCACACCTGTAATCCCAACATTTTGGCAGGCTGAGGGGGGTGGATCGCTTGAGGTCAGGCATTCAAGACCAGCCTGGCCAACATGGCAAAACCCTATCTCTACTACAAATACAAAAATTAGCCAGGTGGTAGCAGCATGTGCCTGTTATGCCAGCTACTAGGGAGGCTGAGCAAGAGAATTACTTGAGCCTGGGAGGCAGAGGTTGCAGTGAGCCAAGATTGTGCCACTGCACTCCAGCCTGGGTGACAGAGCAGGACTCTGTCGCAAAATATAAAATAAAAATAAAGGAAATGGAGCTGGCATTTGCAGGACTGAGTCTGCAGGGGAGGGAGCTGCACCAAGAGGAAGCTCCAGAGATGATAAGCAGAGGAAAAAACCAACCAGAAGAGCTTAAGAGAACAGTGTCAAGCTTTAAACTCTAGCTTTCTAAATATACTCCCCCCGCCCCATCATTCTTTCCTTTCCAGTTGGGCTCACTTAGCACTTCCAAGTTCCCAGGAAATTTCTTGAGTGGGTGTGGCACTGGAACTTGCCAAATACAAGTTATCTTTCTGTGATTTGCTCCCTTCAGAACCCTGGCACTTACACCTTAGTCCAGTGCCCCTCTCTGTGCTGGGAGAGAAGGGTCCATCACTCTGTGCCAAGGAAGTCCCCAGGCAATCAGGCAGATTCCCTTGGACTTCTTTCTGGAAGCCACCACACAGTCATGGCCCTGATGACACCCAAGGGTGCATAGAGCACAGGACTCCAGATGGAGCTCTGAGAGGAAATCTACCCTCTTACTTTCAAAATCATGGAAGTGAGGTTTGTGGATAGGTCAGAATTTGAATCTCCTTTGGAAAGTGACTCTTTTGGGGAAAGTGGGGCACAGGTTAAGGATCTGATGTGTGCTATGAGCTGTCTCTTCAGAAACATGAACTTACTCAAGCAGCGACACAATTTTGCTCATTCAGTGAATTTCATTATCTTCCTGCATCTCCTTAGCAGGCACCAGCTCAACAACTGCTAGAGACAAAGATGTCAGTTTCCTGCTTACCTGTATATGGAATCTGTGACTGTTCTTCCAAGCGGGGACTTGAGGAGTCTGAGCTTGATAAAGAGAGCCAGCTGGTCACCCCGGGCCATTTTCTTCCATCTGGTTTAGGTGCATATGGCCTCCTGCTGGCCATTCTGATCCTAAGGCCAGAGAAAGGGTCGATGGTAGTCATTTAGCCACTTAGTTATGCAGGTGCTCAGTGAAGCCTGTATGTGGTCTAGATTTTGAGGCTTTGTTGGTTAGAGCCAGGCAAGCAAGAGGGGTTTGGCAAGGATGAAATCATCAAGCCAAAGTTTCCCACATGCAGCAGTGTGATAAACTCTGTGCACAGATCCCCTCCCTCTGTGATGGGCTGAACTGCATCCCCTTTAAAATTCCCATGTTGAAGTCCTAATGCCCAGTACCTCAGAATCTGACATTTTGAGACAAGACCTTAGAAGATGTAATTAAGTTAAAAGGGGATCATAATCCAATATGACTGGTGTCTTTATAAAAAAAAAGAGATTACAGCACAGACACACACACTGGGACGACCATGAGACAGACACGGGGAAAAGATGGCTATCTACAAACCAAGAAGAGGCCTCAGGAGAAACCAACCTGCTCTTTGATCTTGGCCTTCCAGCCTCCACACAGTAAGACCATAGATTTCCATTGTCTTTGCTGCCCAGGCTGCAGTGCTTTGTTATGGCAGCTGCAGCCACCCTACCACCCTGCCACCCTGACACAGCACACTGAAGATGCTTTAGCATGGGTGTCCAAGGGAGTGAATACAGTCATGGGTTCTTAGTTTCTGTTTCTGGTTGGGCCAGCAAAGCCCATTCCTCATCCTTCTTTTCCACTTATCACTAGAGACAGAAACTAAAAACCATGGAATCAGGCTGCTAAAATCCTGAAACAAAACAAAACAGGACAACAACAACAAATAGGGTGGGTTAGACAAGTTCGGGAGAGTAGACAGAAAGTCTGACTCCTCCTGGAAGTCCAAATGAGACTTCTGTTTGTTGAATGAAAGACAGAGACTTGGCTAGGTACAGTGGCTCATGCCTGTAATCCCAGCCCTTTGGGAGGCTGAGGAAGGAGGATCACTTGAGTCCAGGACTTCAAGACCAGCCTGGGCAACATAGTGAGACCCAGTCTCCACTAAATATTAAAAAAAAAAAATTGGCCAGGCACGGTGGCTCACACCTGTAATCCCAGCACTTTGGGAGGCTGAGGCAGGAGGATCACTTGAGGTCAGGAGCTCAAGACCAGCCTGGCCAACATGCTAAACCCCGGTCTCTACCAAATAATACAAAAATTAGCCAGGCATAATGGCACATGCCTGTAGCTACTCGGGAGGCTGAGCTGGGAGAATCACTTGAACCTGGGAGGGGGAGCTTGCAGTGAGCTGAGATCACATCACTGCACTCCAGCCTGGGTGACAGAGAGAGACCCTGTCTCAAAAAAAAAAAAAATTATGCATGATGGTGCATGCCTGTAGTCCCAGCTGCTCAGGAGGCTGAGGTGGGCAGATCACTTGAGGCCCAGAGGCAAAGGCTGCAGTGAGCCAAGATTGTGCCACAGCCTGAGTGACAGAGCAAGACACTTGTCTCAAAAAAAAAAAAAAAAAAAAAAAAGACAGCGACTTGATAAGGAGGAGGAAGGAGACCCAGGTAGGGAAAGATGGCACTCATGACCATGGCCCAGAGAGCCCTCTTCAGAAGACAGTGTGGGGTGGGGCCTGAACAGTGGGAGAGAGGAAATGGGGAAAGGCAATTGCAGCTCAAGGCCCTAGCCACTGGCTCTGTCTCCTTCATGGAATGGCTCTAGCAAGCTGGTTCTATCCAGTTGAATGAAAATTGAATCCAAATCTTAAAAATTCCATCCCTGAAAGAAGAGGTGGGTGTCAAATAGATTCTAAGAATTCTAATACATTCTACAATATATTAAAAAATATTAAAGTCAGCCAGGTTCAGTGGCTCACACCTGTAATCCCAGCACTTTGGGAGGCTGAGGAGGGCGGATCACCTGAGGTCGGGAGTTGGAGACCAGCCTGACCAACATGGTGAAATTCCATCTCTACTAAAGATACAAAATTAGCTGGGCGTGGTGGTGCATGCCTGTAATCCCAGCTACTCGGGAGGCTGAGGCAGATTAATCGCTTGAACCCGGGAAGCGGAGGTTGCAGTGAGCCAAGATCGCACCATTGCACTCCAGGTTGGAAAACAAGACTGAAACTCCATCTCAAAAAATATAAATAAATAAATAAATAAAGGCATAATAATTAAAATATGTTTAGCACAGTATCAATGAATAATTGATTGCAGCAGAACTCAGAACAGATGATGGTACACGGAAAATAGTGAAATGTATGTATGTATTAAGTATTTAGAGACAGGGTCCTGCTCTGTCACACAGGCTGGAGTGCGGTGGTGTGATCACAGCTCACTATAATCTTGAACACGTGGACTCAAGCAACCTGCCACCTCAATCTCACAAACAGCTAGGATGACAGATGCACATCACCCCACACAGCTAATTTTCTTTTATTTTTTTCAGAGACAGGGTCTCATTATGTTGCCCAGGTTGGTCTCCAACTCCTGGCTTCAAGCAATCCTCCCAAAGCACTGGGATTTGAGGTGTGAGCCACACATGCACAGCCAGACATTGGTATTTATTGGCTTCATGAAGAAGCCACAGCAGAGGTATGGTGCGGGTCTTTGAGCTGTAGAATCAGCAGCTCAAACAATGCTTGAGCCTGTTCACCATCATGCTTCTCTTTGCTTTCCTACATTTCCACACATTTTTTCTCTTACTGAAAATGCATTCCAGTCACCAAGTAATTGGAACATAAACACCTCCAGTTATGAAAATCTTAGGATAAGCTCTCAGTGGTTCAACTTAATCAAAAACTCATCAATGAAATCTTCAATGTGAGACTAGGAGGGTGAGGTCCTGTGACTGGCCCATCTGGGTTAAGCACCAGCAGTAGAAAACTGTGAAAAATAATGCAGAGCCTACAAATGCAATAGCCACTCCGAAGGATAATTTTGTACACAATAAAAAAGAAATTTCAAATCCATGAAATAATAGCGAATGAATTTAACAGTGAAAGATCAATTGGCTATTCATTTAGAAGAAAACAAAGTCAGCTTCTTAGTTCACACCATATTCAATAAAGTAATAACACAGGGCTCAAGAGAGTATTCTATTTTTTAAAAAAGAGAGAGTATTCTATTTAAATTAAACACAGTTGTTTCATATGTTTTAAACAGAAGGAAAACCTGAAAAAAAAAATGCAAATTCTAACAAGAATCTCGGCCAGGCACAGTGGCTCATGCCTGTAATCCCAGCACTTTGGGAGGCCGAGGTGGGTGGATCACCTGAGGTCAGGAGCTCAAGACCAGCCTGACCAACATGGAGAAACCGCATCTCTACTAAAAATACAAAACTAGCCAAGCGTGGTGGCTTGTGCCTGTAATCCCAGCTACTTGGGAGGCTGAGGCAGGAGAATCACTTGAATCCGGGAGGTGGACATTGCGGTGAGCCGAGATCATGCCACTGCATTCCAGCCTGGGCAACAAGAGCAAAACTCCATCTCAAACAAACAACAAGAACAACAGCAACAAACAACTTCCAAAAATATTAAGTGGTCATTTAAAAAAAAATTCACCAAGAAAGATTGTTTCACTAGAGAGAAGTTTCACAGAAATCATTTTGCCATTCCAGAAGTCAACTACTTTATTTTTATTTTTATTTTTGACACAGTCTCCCTCTGTTGGCCAGGCTGGAGTGCAGTTGCGTGATCTTGGTGATCTTGGCTCACTGCAACTTCTGCCTCCCAGGTTCAAGCAATTCTCCTGCCTCAGCCTCCCAAGTAACTGGGATTACAGGCAGGCACCACCACACCTGACAATTAGTAGAGACAGAGTTTTGCCATGTTGGCCAGGCTGGTCTCAAATTCCGGAAATCAGGTGGTCTGCCCTCCTTGGCCTCCTAAAGTGCTGGGATTACAAGCGTGAGCCACTGCGCCTGGCCAACTACTTTCTTTCTTTTCTTTTTTTTTTTCTTTTTTTTTTTTTTTGAGACAGAATCTCTGTCACCCAGGTTGGAGCGCAATGGTGCGATCTTGGCTCACTGCAACCTCTGCCTCCCGGGTTCAAGTGATTCTCCTGCCTCAGCCTCTTGAGTAGCTGGGACCACAGGTGTGTGCCAACACGCCCAGCTAATTTTTGTATTTTTAGAAGAGACGGGGTTTCACCGTGTTGGTCAGGCTGGTCTCAAACTCCTGACCTTGTGATCAGCCTGCCTCAGCCACCCAAAGTGCTGGGATTACAGGCATGAGCCACTGCACCCGGCCTACTTTATTTCTTTATCTTGCCTGAATATACTAGCAGATCCTCCAGAACAATGTAGTACAGATGTGGTGTGAGTGGAAATCCTTGTCTTGTTCCCAATCTTGGAGAGATTTTTGTATTTTTAGTAGAGACAGGGTTTCATCATGTTGGCCAGACTAGTCTCAAACTCCTGACCTCAGGTGATCCACCCACCTCAGCCTCCCAAAGTGCTGGGATTATAGGCGTGAGCCACGGCACCCAGCCCCTTGCTTAATTTTAAGGTCTGAAGAATCTGTACTTTTTTTTTTTTTTTTTTTTTTTTTTTCTTTTTGAGACAGAGTCTGGCTCTATCACTCAGGCTGGAGTGCAATGGCATGATCTTGGTTCACTGAAACCTCCACCTCCTGGGTTCAAGCAATTCTCCTGCCTCAGCTTCCTGAGTAGCTGGGATTACAGGTGTGAGCCACCACCCCCAGCTAATTTGTGTATTTTTAGTAGAGACGGGGTTTCACCATGTTTGTCAGGCTGGTCTTGAACCCCTGACCTCGTGATCCGCCTGCCTTGGCCTTCCAAAGTGTTGGGATTACAGGCGTGAGCCATCGTGCCACTCTTATTCCTGATATTAGTCATTTGTTTGTTCCCTCTTTTCCTAATCGCTCTGGCTGGAGGCTTGTCAATTTTATTTCTCTTCTCAAATGACCAGCTTTTCAGTTCATTAATTTTCTCTATTTTCTTCTATTTCATTGATTTCCACTCTGATGCTTATTTATTTCCTTTCTCCTGCTTACTTTTAGCTATTTTTGCTCTTAAATGTTTCTGGTTCCTTAAGGTGGGAAGCTGAGGTCATTCATTAGAGACTTCTTTTTTTGAATGTTTAGTGCTAAAAATTTTCTTCCAAGTGCAGGTTTAATTGTATCCCACAAATTTTGATGTGTTTTTATTTTCATGCAGTTCAAATTACCTTCTAATTTCCCCCTTTTAATTTTCAATTTGACCCATGTGTTATTTTTTATTTTTTGAGATGGAGTGTTGCTCTGTCACCCAGGCTGGAGTGCTGTGGCACAATCTCAGCTCACCGCAACCTCTGTCCCCTGGGTTCAAGAAATTCTCCTGTCTCAGCCTCCTGATAGCTGAGACTACAGGCGCAGTCCACCACGTCTGGCTAATTTTTTGTATTTTGGTAGAGACAGGTTTTCACCATGTTGGCCAGACTGGTCTCAAGCTCCTGACCTCCTGATCCACCCACCTCAGCCTCCTAAAGTGCTGGGATTACAGGTGTGAACCACCGTGCCTGGTCTGACCCATGGGTTATTTAGAAGTATATTATTTAAGTAGGGTGCAATGGGTCATGCCTCTAATCCCAGCATTTTAGAGGCCAAAGCAGGAGAATTGCTTAAGTCCAGGAGTTTGAGACCAGCCTGGGCAACACAGTGAGACCTGCTCTCTACAAAAAATAAGAAAAACAGCTGGAGGCATGGTGGCACATGCCTGTAGTCCTAGCTACTAGGGAGGCTGAGGCCAGAAGATCACCTCATCCCAGGGTGGAGGCTGCAGTGAGCTATGATCACACCACTGCACTCCTATCTAGGCAACAAACAAGAAAAGAAAGAAGAATAAAGAGAAGGAAAACAAGGAAGAAGGAGAAGGAGAAAGAAAAAGAAGAAAGAGGAGAAGGAGGCAAAGGGGGAGGGGGAGAAGTAGGAGGAGAGAAGAGGAAAAAGAAGAAGAGGAGGAGAAAGAAGAAGAAATGAGTTTGGTATTTAGTTTCCAAATATTTGATTATTATCCAAATATAATTAGGTATTAATTTATAATTTAACTCCATTATGGCCAAAGAATGTATTTTGAATGACTTGAATTCTTTTAAATTTATGAGACATCTTTTATGGCCCAAATTATAGTCATTTTTGGTAAATATTCCATGTGTACTTGAACAGAATGTGTATTTTATTGTTGGAAAATGGAATTTTTTTCTTTTTTTTTTTTTTTGAGACCAAGTTTCACTCTTGTTGCCCAGGCTGGAGTGCAATGGCATGATCTTGGCTCACCACAACCTCTGCCTCCTGGGTGCAAGCAGTTCTCTTGCCTCAGCCTCCTGAGTAGCTGGGATTACTGGCGTGCACCACTATGTGCGGCTAATTTTGTATTTTTGGTAGAGATGGGGTTTCTTCATATTGGACAGGCTTGTCTCGAAGTCCCAACCTCAGGTGATCCACCCACCTCAGCCTCCCAAGGTTGCTGGGATTACAGGCGTGAGCCACCATGCTCAGCCAGGAAAATGGAATTTTTTATAAATGTCAGGTCAATAACCTAACATGGTTGATAGTGTTGTTTAGGTTTTTGATATCCTTGTTGATTTTCTATTCCACCAAATATTGAGAAGGAGTATGAGATTTCAAACTATAATTGCAGATTGTAGTTTATCAAGCTTCCTGGTTCTCCCAACTATGGTTTTCATAAAATGTATAAAATGTCTGGCCATTAATGTTTCAAATAAAAATTTTACTGTCCCCTTCTCCACCCTCTTCTTGTGGATTTCAATTACATATATGTCAGACAGCTTAAAGTTGTCCCACAGCTCACTGATGCTTCTTATTTTTTATATTTTCTTATTGTTTCATTTTGAAGTTTCTACTGCTATCTTAAAATGTACCAATCTTCCCTTCAGTTTCTAATCTGCTGTTAATCCCATTCAGTGTATTTTCATCACAGACATTGTAAGTTCCATCTCTACATGTTTGGTTTGATCTTTTAATATCTTCCATGTCGGCTGTGTGCGGTGGCTCACACTTGTAATCCCAGCACTTTTGGAGGCCAAGGAGGGTGGATCACTAGGTCAGGAGTTCAAGACCAGCCTGGCTAGCATGGTGAAACCCTGTCTCTACTAAAAATACAAAAATTAGCTGTGCGTGGTGGCATGTGCCTGTAACCCCAGCTACTCAGGAGGCTGAGGCAAGAGAATTGCTTGAACCCAGGAGGCGGAGACTGCAGTGAGCTGAGATTGTGCCACTGCACTGCAGCCTGTGTGACAGAGCAAGACTCTGTCTCAAAAAAAAGAAAAAATATCTTCCATAAATATCTTCCATGTCTCTGCTTGTCTCTGAACATCTAGAACACAGTTATGGAAACTTGTTTAATGTCCTTGTCTGCTAAATCTGACATGTGCATCAGTTCTGGGTCAGTTTTGCATAGTTGATTTTTCTCCTCATAGTGAGTTATTATTTTTCTGTTTCTTTGCAAACCTGCTGATCTTTTTTTTTTTTTTTGAGACGGAGTCTCACTCTGTTGCCCAGGCTGGAGTGCGATGGCGTGATCTCAACTCACTGCAACCTCCAACTCCCTGGTTCAAGCAGTTCTCCTGCCTCAGCCTCCTGAGTAGCTGAGACTACAGGTGCCTGCCACCACGCCCAGCTAATTTTTGTCTTTTTAGTAGAGAGAGGGTTTCACCATGCTTGCCAGGCTGCTCTCCACCTCCTGACCTCAGGTGATCCACCCACCTTGGCCTCCCAAAGTGCTGGGATTACAGGCATGAGCCACTCCTGGCCAAGCCTGCTAATCTTTGAATGAGATTAGCAGATATTACAAATTTTATGGTGCTTTTAGCCCCATAAAATGTTTTTGTATTTCTCTAAATATTCTTGAGGCTTCTTCTGGGGTGCAGTTAATTGATAGTGTTGGGTCTTGCTTTTAACATTTGTAGTGTTTATTCTAGGGCTAATTATTCTTTGTTGCTGAGACAAGATCATTCTGAGTACTCTACCCCAGTGCTCATGAATTATGATTTTCTCATCCTGGCTGGTGACAGCAGGTACTTTTTCCAGCATCACTGGGCTCTATTCTCTTCAATCTTTTTGGATGATTCCCCAGTCTCAGGTGATATCCTCATACGCATGTTCCAGACAGCACTCTGCTGAGTTTTCAAGGGGACCTTCTGAAGATCACCAGAGCTGTCTCTCTCTGTGCAGCTCTCTTCCTTGGTAATTTGTCCTACAAACTCTAGCTGCCTTGGTGTCTCTGGACTCTCAGCTGCGTCTCCTCAATTCAAGGAGTCTATGACGCTCAGCCTGGGATCCCCCTCCTTGTGCCACAGCCTGGAAACTCTTTTAAGGCAGTAAGCTGTGGCAAATGTAGAGCTTACTTATTTCATGTTTCATGGGTCACTGTGCTCATTGCCTGATATCCAGTGACTTGAAAACATTGTTTCATATATTTTATCTGGTTTCTTCAGTTGTTTTAGGCAGGAGGGTAAATCCAGTCCTTGTTACTCCACCTTGGCCAGAAACGGTTTTTGTTTTGGTTTGTTTGTTTGTTTAGACAGAGTCTCCCTCTATTGCCCAGACTGGCGTGAAGTGGCGTGATCTCGGCTCATTGCAACCTCTGCCTCCTGGGTTCAAGTGATTCTTCCAACTCAGGAGACACGGGCCACCACACCTGTGTTGTGGGAAGTCAGGGACCCTGAACAGAGGGACCGGCTGGAGCCGTGGCAGAGGAACATAAATTGTGAAGATTTCATAGACATTTACCAGTTCCCAAATAATACTTTCATAATTTCTTTCTCCTGTCTTACTTTAATCTCTTAATCCTATTATCTTCGTAAACTGAGGATGTATGTCACCTCAGGACCACTATTGTGTTAACTGTACAAATTGAATGTAAAACATGTGTGTTTGAACAATATGAAATCATTGCACCTTGAAAAAGAATAGAATAACAGCGATTTTCAGGGAACAAGGGAAGACAACTATAAGGTCTGACTGCCTGCGGGGTTGGGCAAAATAGAGCCATATTTTTCTTCTTGCAGAGAGCCTATAAATGGAGGTGCAAGTAGGGAAGATATCGCTAAATTCTTTTCCTAGCAAGGATTAATACTCTGGGAAAGGAATGCATTCCTGTGGGGAGGTCTATAAACGGCTTCTTTGGGAGTGTCTGTCTTTTTTTTTTTTTTTTTTTTTTTTTTTGAGACGGAGTCTCACTCTGTCGCCCAGGTCGGACTGCGGACTGCAGTGGCGCAATCTCGGCTCACTGCAAGCTCCGCTTCCCGGGTTCACGCCATTCTCCTGCCTCAGCCTCCCGAGGGGAGTGTCTGTCTTACATGGTTGAGATAAGGACTGAAATATGCCCTGGTCTCCTGCAGTACCCTCAGGCTTACTAGGGTGGGGAAAAACCCTGCCCCACTAAATTTGAGGTCAGCCTGGTTCTCTGCTCTCAAACCCTGTTTTCTGTTGTTTAAGATGTTTATAAAGACAATACGTGCACCACTGAACATAGACCCTTATCAGTAATTCTGCTTTTGCCCTTTGCCTTGTGATCTTGTTTTTGCCCTTTGCTTTGTGATCTTTGCCTTTGCCCTTTGTCTTGTGATCTTTGTTAGACCCTTATTAGGAGTTTCTGATTTTTCCCTTAGAAGCATGTGATCTTTGTGACCTACTCCCTGTTCTTGCACCCCCTCCCCTTTTGAAATCCTTAATAAAACTTGCTGGCTTTAAGGCTCAGGTGGGCATCACGGTCCTACCGATGTGATGTCACCCCCAGAGGCCCAGCTGTAAAATTCCTCTCTTTGTACTCTTTCTCTTTATTTTTCTCAGCCGGCTGACACTTATGGAAAATAGAAAGAACCTATGTTGAAATATTGGGGGCAGGTTCCCCTGATATGCCCAGATAGTTTTTGTATCTATTGTAGAGATGGGGTTTCACTATGTTGGCCAGGCTGGTCTCAAACTCCTGACCTCAAGTGATCCACCCGCCTCGGCCTCCCAAAGTACTGGGATTACAGGCATGAGTCATCACACCCAGCCCAGAAACAGTTTTTGAATTGGATCTTGAATCAGAAAAACAATTATCTATAAAAGTCTTAATTGAAGGCTGGGCGTAGTGGCTCATGCCTGTAATCTCAGCACTTTAGGAGGATGAGATGGGGAGATCACGAGGTAAAGAGATCGAGATCATCCTGGATAACATGGTGAAAATCCATCTCTACTTAAAAAAAAAAATACAAAATTTACCCGGGCATGGTGGTGCATGCCTGTAGTCCCAGCTACTCAGGAGGCTGATGCAGGACAATCACTTGAACCTGAGAAGGGGAGATTGTAGTGAGCCGAGATTGTGCCACAGCACTGCAGCCTGGGTGACAGAGTAAGACTCCATCTCAAGAAAAAAAAAAAAAAGACTTAATTGAGACAATCAGTGAAATTTGAACATGGACTGTACATTATAGATTAGATATTATATCTTTGTTAAATTTTTCTGATTTTGAGCACTGTACCATGGTTATCTGAGAATTTTATCCTTGCTGATAGAAAATATACAGCTAAGAACTTAGGAGTAAAGTGGAATGATTCCTACAACTGACTCTCAAATGATTAAGAAAAATAAATACATAATATACACAAATAGCAAAAATTATGAAGCAAATGTGCCAAAATATTAATGATGGAATTATCTTGGTGAAGGATATATGATAATTCAATTTTTTTTTTTCTGAGATGGAGTTTCAGTCTGTCACCCAGGCTGGGGTACAATGGCATGATCTTGGCTCACTGTAACCTCCGCCTCCCAGGTTCAAGCAATTCTCCTGCCTCAGCCTCCTGAGTAGCTGAGCTTACAGGTGTGCACCACTACACCCAGCTAATTTTTATATTTTTAGTAGAGATGGGGTTTCACTATGTTCTCAAACTCCTGACATCGTGATCCATCTGCCTCAGCCTCTCAAAATGCTGGGATTACAGGCAGGAGCAACCATGCCTGGCCTATAGGAGAATTCTTTATCCTACTTTTGCAATTTATTTATAAGTTAAAGATTACTTCAGGCCAGGTGCAGTGGCTCACGTCTGTAATCCCAGCACTTTGGGAGGTGGAGGTGGACAGATCACCTGAAGTCAGGATTTCAAGACCAGCCTGCCAACATGGTGAAACCCCAACTCTACTAAAAATAGAAAAAAATAGCCGGGTATGGTGGCAAACACCTGTAATCCCAGCTACTTGGGAGGCTGATGCACAAGAATAGCTTGAACCTGGGAGATGGAAGTTGCAGTAAGCCGAGATTGCACCACTGCACTCCGGCCTGGGTGATAGAGTGAGACTCTATCTAAAAAAAAAATTAAAAATAAGATTACCTCAAAATAAATGAGTAAAAGAAATTGCAATAATAAATTGCAAAACTGGTCTTTATTGTTAGAAGTGAGGATGGGGGCTGGGTGCAGTGGCTCACGCCTGTAATCTCAGCATTTTCCAAGGCCGAGGTGGGTGGATCATCTGAGGTCAGGAGTTCCAGACCAGCCTGGCCAACATGGTGAAACCCTGTCTCTACTAAAAATGCAGAAAATTAGCCAAGCATGGTGGCACATGCCTGTAATCCCAGCTACTCAGGAGGCTGAAGCAGGAGAATCACTTGAACCAAGGAGGCAGAGGTTGCAGTGAGCTGAGATCGTGCCATTGCACTCCAGTCTGGGCAACAAGAGAGAAACTCCATCTCAAAAAAAAAAAAAAAAAACCAGAAATCAAGATGGGGCTACTTTTGAGAGGGAGAGAAATGACCAATAAAGAATGGGTCATTCAAGGAGACTTCAGGCACTGGTAATATTGTCTTTGAACTCCTTGGTGTTTACATGTTTGTGTTTACCTCTCTTCATCATTCACTTATCAATTATACAGTGATACACATGCCATTGCATACTTTTATATTTTTTATACTTCAATAAAAACATTTTTAAGTAAAATTAAACTATTCAGATATAACACCTTGAGGATTGCTTTCTTTCTGTGTCTTCTTTCCTGAATCCCTAGTGAAGTCCTCAGGTCAGGGTGATAGTCTCCTAGGTGGTTCTCTTCTTCATTTCAAAAGAACAGTTTTATTCCTTATGCTGTGGAGAAACCAAATGTAAAAATTCACCTTGTGTGAACCCTTCACCAGTGACTTCAAATTGCTACTTCTCTTGGAACTTACTAACTTCTAAAAATTAAGAGTGGACTTTCAGTAAATTTGAAATGAAACTTTTAACATATGGCACACCAAATATCCATGACACCAAATTCCAGGAGCCCCACAGGGATAGTTTATAGCCACCCTTAGGAGAGAGAGACCTCAAGACCAAATTAGAAAGAAAAGAAAAAAAGGTATATATATATGTCCACACTGTTTTGTTTTCAATGAAAATTTTAACATATACTAAATTCTCATGTATATTTGGATCTTCTGTGCTTTTTCGAAACTAGCATCAAACTTAAATTACTTTTTATTTCATTGATTTATTTTTTGAGACACAGACTCACTGTGTTGCCAGGCTGGATTTCAGTGGCACGATCTTGGCCCACTGTAACCTCTGCCTCCCAGGTTCAAGTGATTCTCCTGCCTCAGCCTCCCGAGTAGCTGGGACTGCAGGCATGCACCACCATGCCCAGCTAATTTTTGTATTTTTAGTAGAGACAGGGTTTCACCATGTTGGCCAGGATATTCTCGATCTCTTGACCTCGTGATCCTCCCACCTCAGCCTCCCAAAGTGCTGGGATTACAGGGGTGAGCTACCACGCCCAGCCTTAAATTACTTTTTAAATTTGCATTTTCAAAAAAAGTTCTGTCAATGAAAAAAGTCAACTCTGTAAAATATTTAAAGAGATTTATTCTGAGCCAAATGTGAGTGATCATGGACCTTGACACAGCCCTCTGGATGTCATGAGAACATGCGCCCAAGGTGGTTGGGGGTGCAGGTTGATTTTATACATTGTAGGAGGGCATGAGACATCAATCAAATACATTTAAGGAATACATTGGTTTGTTCCAGGAAGGCAGGACAACTTGAAGGGTGGGGGTGCTTCCAGGCTACAGGTAAATTTAACCATTTTCTAGTTGACAATTGGTTGAATTTTTGTCTAAGGAGCTGGGATCAATAGAAAGGAAATGTTCAGGTTAAGATAAAAGGTTGTGGAGACCAAAGTTCTTTTGAAGTCTCATAGTGGCTATCCTTGAAAACAAGAGATGACAGATGTTTCCTATTCAGACCCTTTAAAAGGTGCTAGACTCTCAGTCAATCTATTCAGAATTAGAAGGGCCTGGAAGGAAAAGGCCTAGCTATGTTAGTTAATAGAGATTATTTAGAGATGCAAATTTTCCCACAAAGGACGGCTTGCAGGGCCATTTCAAAATGTGACAAACATGTTTTTGGGGTAAAATGTTTTTATTTTCTTCCTTGTCTCATAATGTTATGCCAGAGTCTGGTTGGAAAGTAAGTCACATTTTATGGGGTTAAATAAAACCCATCTGATATGAATTTATGGTTTGTAGGGCATAACTCCTCAGACCCCTTAGATAGAAATTTGGATAAGATAAAAAAAATCAGAGTTTAGTCTTCAGTTCCTTGCTATTCCCTGAGGTTGTTTCCTGAGGAAGTTAAAAATTATTTTATCAAGTAAAACAAAACTAAGCTCCCCGTTAAGATTTTTTAATTTAAATTTTGATTGAAATTGTGTTAAATTTTATAGTTTCTCTAAGGGTAAATATAAATATAAAAATTTGGGCTGGGCGCAGTGGCTCACGCCTGTAATCCCAGCACTTTGGGAGGCTGAGGCAGGTGGATCACGAAGTCAGGAGCTCAAGACCACCTTGGCCAAGATGGTGAAATCCCGTCTCTACTAAAAATACAAAAAAAATTAGCCAGGCGTGGTGGTGGGCGACTGTAATCCCAGCTACTCAGGAGGCTGAAGCAGAGAATTCCTTGAACCTGGGAGGCAGAGGTTGCAGTGAGCCGGGATCATGCCACTGCATCCCAGTCTGGGTGACAAAGCCAGACTCTGTCTCAAAGAAAAAAATAAAACAACTGAATTTTCCTTCTTGCAAAAAGGGAAAAAGACCTTTACTCCTCTCTTTTCTTACAGCATTTCCTTAAGAAAACTTGTAATTGTAAATCCCTTCTCTGTCCCTGTGAGATATAGCAAAACTTTTTAAAAAGTAAATAAGCTTCTTGCTAGTTTAACAACCCAGGAAGGTCTTTCTTAATGGCCTTGGGTCATGTCTTTGAAATGTAAGCATCAAGGAAGATTGCACCCCATCTCCCTGCCTCTGTGGTAAACTCCTAGGCTCCTGGCTACCCGCGGTTAACTACCTGCGTGTCATAGAGATACCAGAAACTTTACTTTTCATTTGCATAATGGCAATTAACTAACACTGATGGCTACCCTAATTATCAGGTGAATTTCAGATGAATTATGCATAGCAAATGTTGCTGTACAGTCATCTTACTTGAGGACAAGTTATTTTTACCTTGAGGAAATAGAATGCGTTGTACCAGACCGGCTAATACAAAAAATGATAGTTCTTCCTGTCTTCATAAACTCATTAGTGGGTTGCCTGTGACGCACATCGCAGTCTGGTTTAATGTTTATTCAATAATGTAACTGTTTTGTTCTTTTCTCCATCTGTGGAGAGAATTTTCTGGGTTGGCAAGAGGCTTTATTTTAAATTATTTCCTCAATACTTCCCATCCAGAAAGGTGGTGTGTGTGTGTGTATTATGTGCGCATATTTTTATATGTATATATATGTGTGTTTATACACATGACAATATATACGTTTTTTTCTAGATGATTCTACATGTTTTAATGTAATAAAGTTATTGACCAGGAAATATATAATTTGTTTTACATATACAGCCAAGTCCTCTCTCTGTATCCGCGGGGGATTAGTACCAGGACCTCCCTGGATTACTCAAATCCAGGGATGTTCAAGTCTCTGGTAGAAAATAACCTGATATTTGCATAACCTACACACCTCCTCCTGTATATTTTAAATTATGTCTAGATTAATTGTACACCTAACACAATGTAAATACTATGTAAATAGTTTTATTGTATTGTTTAGGGTATAATGACAAGGGGGAAACTTTGTACATGTTCAGTAAGATAGAATTTTTAAGTATTTTCATTCTGAGCTTAGTTGAATCCATAGATATGCACCCCCAGGATAAGGAGGGATGACTATATATATTCCTTAGTGAAATGATAGTCATGATACTCTATACCATTAGGTTAAAATTTGTGTAAATTCATGAGAAGGATGTTCACCTAACATTAAGCGCTTTTGCTTTTGGGAAGTGGTATACTCGTTTTCTGTTTTAGCTTATACATATTTTGTAGTTTATTACGTTTCGCGTACCGTTTGCACAATTGTGAAAGCTAGCATTCCTAAGAGGAAGCGGTTACAGGGCATTATCCTTCATTACTCCACGTACTCCTGTACCCACGGAGTTCAATCACTTTAACAAAACTGCCCATCAGTGTTCCTTGGAGCACCTCACGGTGGATTTCTGTCTTCAAGCCCAGACGTGCAGGGTGCAGCTCTCCGGCCATCACTGAGCAAGGACAGCGCCCTCTCCCGGAAACCCGACAGCAATCACTCAGGCCGCTGGAGGCGGCCGCGCCTCACGACGTCATCCAAGATGGAGTCGCAGCCGGGCCTTCTGGGAAGCGTAGTTCTGGAGTAGGGCTAGGGAAACGTTCTGCGCATGTGCAGTGTCTTCTTTCTGGCATTGGCGTTTTTTTGGTCTTACGCCCTAGGGTGGGGAGAGGACTCCGGTGCCTCCGGGTCTGGGCTGGGCCGCAAAGGGCGGGGCCTGGGCCCGGCGCGGGCCGGGAGCAGAGGCCGAGACCCTGCAGGTGTGTCGAAGGCTTTTGCGGGCGGGCAGGGCCTGGGAGGCGGGGTCTCGAGCCTGGAAGCCGCCTCCTGGCCCCGGAGCGGCCTCCGCGGAGGGCCCTGGGTGGGAGCCGCCTGGTGGGGAGGTTGGCTGGCTGCGCTGGCGCCCCTGCCCGGAATGGCGTTTGCGCGACCTGCTTGAGGGGCGGCCAGAGGAGGCCTGCGGTGCTGGGCAGTGGGCGCCCGGAGCAGCCGCATTGTGTGACGTGACCGGAGCCGCCATGTGAGGCGCGCTGGCCGCTGCAGACGCGGCGCTCCAAAGCCGCAGGGACGTGGGCTCTGGTCCAGCGTCTGTAGGTGGTCCCAGTGCGGCTCGACGCGCATCTGGCAAATGATGGGGGCCTTTGGGTACTGAATAGGGTAATAGATGTAAAGTATGATACAGGACTCAATAAAGGTGAGCTGCTTCTATTATTACAAAACATGCTGTTTTCATTATTGGCTCATTTAATCATCGTAACCATCCTTTCGACTTAACCATCTCTATTAAAATAAATGTGACTATTAAAGATTCAGAGAGAGAAATCCGTTTACCCACAGTATTAGCAGGTGGGATGTAAATCCTCACTTTTTCCTCTGAGTTAATGCGCCTTGCCACACTAAAATCCAGTCTTGACTTGTATTTAGCACAGCATTTGCCCCTTGAGCACCACCAGAACGTAGCTGTGTGGTGTACTTGAACCCAGTCTCAACCAGGTAGTGTTCTGTTTCCAAAAATGCTTGGGGAATCTTCAGAGCACTTGAGTCAAAAGGTGAATTATTTAAGGCCTTCCTGCATCCTCCAACCTTAGTCTCTTCTCAGAGGACTGTGAAACGTGTAAATTGAAACCACAATTTGAGCCCTCAATTTTGCATTTTACAGGAGAAGCTGGGAATCCCATCCAGCCCAGAGGCTAGTTTCTAAAGACAGGAAATGGGACAAAAAATTTTTTTAAAGATGAAAACTGCAGTTCATCAGTTCCTCCATTTTATGGTGGTGATCTTATAATGCCTCTCATTGGCTGATAACTGAGCTTAGGCATTTCGTAAGCACCATGCTAGCTGGAAGTGGTTTTTGCTGCTTATTTTAGTTTTTTTTTTTGGTACATAATGTACATATTTGTGGGGTACATGTGATATTTTGATATATGCATACAATGTGTCATGATCAAATCGGGGTAATTACAATATCCACCGCCTCATTTATCATTTCTTTGTGTTGCAAATATTCGAAATCTTCTAGCTATTCTGATAGCTAATAAATTATTGCTAACACTTGTAACCATACTGTGCTATTGAACACTAGGACTTAATCCTTCTACCTAACTGTATTTTTGTACCCATTAACCAACCTCTCTTCATTCCTCACTCCCTACTTCCCTTCGCAGCCTCTGGTAACCATCATTCTACATCGTATCTTCATGAGATCAACTATCTTAGCTCCTGCGTATGAGTGAGAACATGATATTTGTCTTTCTGTGCCTGGCTTATTTCATGTAACATAATGCCCTCCAGTTCCATCTTTGTTGCTGCAATGACAAAATTTCCTTCTTTTTATGTCTGAATAATATTCCATTGTGTATATATACCACAATTTTCATTATCTATTCATGCATTGATGGGTACTTAGGTGGATTCTGTATCTAGACTATTGTGAATAGTGCTGCGATAAAAATGGGAGTGCAGAGATATCTTCAATATACGGATTTCCCTTCTTTTGGATATATATATAGCAGTGAGATTGCTAGATCATATGGTAATTCTGTTTTCAATTTTTTGAGGAACCTCCATACTGTTTTCCACAGTGGCTGTACTAGTTTACATTGCCACCAAGGTTGTATGAGGGTTCTCCTTTCTCTATATCCCAGCATTTGTTATTTTTTTGCCTTTTTTATAATAGCTGTTTTAAGGGGTAAAATGATATCCCATTATGGTTTTGATTTGCATTTGTCTGATGATTAATGATGTTGAAGATTTTATCGTATACCTATTGGCCATTTGTATGTCTTCTATTGTGGAATGTCTGTTCAGATCATTTGCTCAATTTTTTTAAATCAAATTTTTTGTTTTCTGACTGTTGAGTTCCTTGTATATTCTGGTTATTAATTCCTTGTCAGATGGGTAGTTTGCAAATATTTTCTCCTATTCTTTGGGTGTCTTTTCACTGTTATTGCTTACTTTGCTGTGCTGAAACTTTTTCGTTTGATGTAATCCCATTCATCTATTTTTGCCTTTGTTGCTTGTGCTTTTGAGGTCTTACCAAAAAATTTTTGCCGAGAACAATGTTCTGAAGCATTTCCAAATGTTTTCTTCAAGTAGTTTCATAGTTTCAGGTCATACATTTAACTCTTTAATCCACTATCATTTGATTTTTGCATATGATGAGAGACAGGGGTTTAGTTTCATTCTTCTGCGTATGGATATCCAGTTTTCTCAGCACCATTTATTGAAGAAACTGTCATTTCTCCAATGTATGTTCTTAGTGCCTTTGTCAAAAATGAAATTGGCTATAAATGCATGTATTTATTTCTCAATTCTCTTTTTCATTGATCTATGTGTCTCTTTTTATGCCAGTAACCTACTGTTTTGTTTACTATAGCTTTATAGTATATTTTGAAGTCTGGTAGTACAATGCCTCCACCTTTGTTCTTTTTGCACAAAATTGCTTTGGCTACTCGGGGTCTTTGGTGGTTCCATATAAATTTTAGGATTTTTTTTCCTATTTCTGTGAAGAATGTCATTGGTATTTGGATATGGATTGCATTTAATCTGTAGACTGCTTTTAGTACTATGGACATTTTAACAATATTAATTCTGCCAGTCCATGAGCATGGGATATCTTTCCATTTTAATATCATTCATCAGTGTTTTATACTCTTTTTTTTTTTTTTTTGAGACAAGGGCTCAGTTTGGTGCAATCTTGGCTCACTGCAACCTCTGTCTCCCAGGGTCAAGCGATTCTCCTGCCTCAACCTCCCGAGTAGCTGGGATTATAGGAGTGCACCACCATACCTGTGTAATTTTTTTTGTATTTTTAGTGGAGACAGGGTTTTGCCACATTGGCCAGTCTGATTTTGAACTCCTGACCTCAGGTGATCCACCTGCCTACACCTCCCAAAGTGTTGGGATTACAGGTGTGAGCCACAGTGCCCAGCCTGTTTTATACTTTTAATCATAGGATCTTTTACATTTTTGGTTAAATTTATTCCTAGGTGTTGGGGTTTTTTTGGTAGCTGTTGTAAATGGGATTGCTTTCTTGATTTGTTTTTCAGATTGTTCACTGTTGGTGTATGGAAATGCTACTGATTTTTTTTTTTTTTTGAGATAGAGTTTTGCTCTTGTTGCCTAGGCTGGAGTGCAGTGGCATGATCTTGGCTCACTGCAACCTCCGCCTCCTGGATTCAAGCAATTCTCCTGCCTCAGCCTCCCGAGTAGCTGGGATTACAGGCATGCGCCACCACACCTGGCTAATTTTGTACTTTTAGTAGTGACTGGTTTTTCTCCCTGTTGGTCAGGCTGGTCTTGAACTCCCAACCTCAGGTGATTCACCCACCTTGGCCTCCCAAAATGCTGGGATTACAGGCGTGAGCCACCGTGCCTGGCCTGCTACTGGTTTTCTAATGTTGATTTTGTATCCTGCAGCTTTACTGAGTTCATGTATCAGTTCTACCAGTTTTTTCGGTGGAGTCTTTATGTTTTTCTAAATATAGGGTCATGTCATCTGTGAACAAAGATAATTTGATTTTTTCTTTCCAATTTGGATGCCCTGCATGGTTTCTGCTGCTTATGAAAAGGACCTTAGGATTATGACGTAGTTGCCTTTTGCTACCTATATGAAGTGCTTGTTTGAGAATTATGATGATTAACTGTTATTTTAGAAGGTAGATTTGTGTCACTGTCAGCAGATTAGATTCTCAAGTCAGAGTTCATCAGGGCCTAATTAAATTTTACCTTAGGCCCAGCCCAAGTTTTGAGGGCACAGTGCATTGCAGGTACTGTCTGTATTGGTGATCCTGGGTGAAGATATATAGAAGTAGAATGGTACATGAAGGGTTGTGCAAGATTATCTAATTCCTACTCATTTTGAAGACAAAAGCATTGAAACTAAGACAATCACTAAGTTTATTAATAGCAGAGCCTAGAGTAGAACTGAGTCTTTAAGTTCATTATATCATATTTATATCAAAAGAAGGTTCTTGGAGAAATGGTTTCTGAGAAACTGCAATTTAGGGAGAAGAAATGTCTTATGTTTGAGAACTTTGAAAATTCAGACTTTCTAACCTTGGGTTTATAATAGAAAAAAATGGTTATGATATGTAACTTAATTACCTTTTATGTGCCAATAAATATATCTCTTCAACATCATTTCTAGTGTCAGCAAAGGGCTCCATACTTTGGATATATTATACATGTTATTTAATCAGTCATTATTGGATATTTAAGTTTTCGATTCTTTTGTGTTATTCAGAAAACAGAAACATAATTTTCAAAGCAACCAATAGGAAAGAAATGTGTAGATTCACTAAAAAATGTCCCAGGCTCATCAACATTAATATCAGAGTCAGAAGTGGACAGGTGGGTGCTACTTCATCATGGTCCTTACTATGCTTTCTAATGGGTCAAAGGGACATTTTCTCAAAGGTATATATTTTACTAAAATGTTGTATGGAAATTTCTCACAGGTGATTCCTGGGGCTGCCAGCTAAGGTCCCTTATGATTTCTGCTCTGGCTTTGCAGTTTTCAGCCTTTCCCAAGAGCAGCAGAAAATGAACAAGTTCCAGGTGAGTCATTTACTTAGCCCTAACTTTGTTTCACTGTGTGTGTGTGTGTGTGTGTGTGTGTGTGTGTGTGTGTGTGTTTAATGAGTTTTATGAACGAGAGCCCATATACTAAATTAGAAACGTAGAAATAGTTAAAAATCACCTACAGGCAAAATACCGTTTGAATAAAACAGCAATTCTCAAAATGTGGTCTGCAGATCCCTGGGAGCTCCAAGACCCTCTCAAGGGATCTATGAGGTTGAGACTCAGAGTGCTAAGATGTAGATTGCCTTTTACACTGTTGATACTTGCACTGGTGGCATGAAAACCATGCTAAATAGGTTACTGCCTTTTTGGCATAAAGTAGACAATGACATTGATACTAACAAATGTGAATTTTTTTTTTTTTTTTTGAGATGGAGTCTCGCTCTGTTGCCCAAGCTGGAGTGCAATGGTATAATCTTGGCTCACTGCAGCCTCTGTCTCCCAGGTTCAAGTGATTCTCCTGCCTCAGCCTCATGAGTAGCTGGGATTACAGGCACCTGCCACCATGCCCAGCTAATTTTTTGTATTTTTAGTAGAGAAGGGGTTTCCCCATGTTGGCCAGGCTGGTCTCAAATTCCTGACCTCAAATGATCCTCCCGCCTTAGCCTCCCAAATGCTGGGATTACAGGCGTGAGCTACTGCGCCAGGCCACAAATGTGATTTTAAAAATATATTTTATAACAATATGTCAACATTTGAGTAGTATTTCTGAGGTATATGTTTGGAGACAAACTCAAGCAATTTAGGAGGACAAAGTGATACAGAGAAGTGAGGAATGAGTTATAGGTTGATTAGGACAATGCTACCCTAAAATATAATGTTTGAGGAAAGTCCTGAATTAGAGAGAGAGCCAAGTAGAAATCTGAGGGAGCAGCATTGTGGGTAGGAAAAACAGCAATACAGACACCCCAAATCATGTTCCAGAAACAGTATGTAGGATATTGAAGCTAGAGAGATATGACTTAGGGAAAGAATGGTAAGAGGTAACATCAAAAAGGTAGAGGAAGCTAGAATATGTATGGCCCTGGTAGACTGTAGAAAACATTGAATTTTGTTTTGTTTTGTTTTGTTTGCTCATTTAAAAATCATCCTTTACATAATCAAAGGAATGTACATAATGAAACCTGACCTTAGGGGGGAAAGAATTTAGCCATTCAATAATAAGGATGGTATAAACTATGGATTTTATATAAATGCCTTTTATCAGATGAAGGAAGTTCCCTTCTTTTCCTAGTTTGTTCAGAGTTTTTATCATGAATGGATCTTGAATTTTGTCAAATGTTCTTCTGCTTTTTTTGGGATAATCATGTTGTTTTTCTTTTTTAGTTTGTTAGCATAGTGAACTGCACTGATTGATGTTCAAATGTGGAATCAACCTTGCATTGCCAGGGTAAATTGGTCACAATGTGTTTATATTTTTATATATTGCTGAATTAGATTTGCTAACATTTTGTTGAGGATTTTTGCATCTATCACCATGAGGAATATTGATCAGTGATCAATATACTAGTAAATGTTTAATAATCAGATTTTAGGGGTTGGGATAGAAATCTGGTTTATACTGTTTACCAATTTCTGTGGTATAAATACTCCCACCATGGCAAATTTCAAGCTACAACATGCCAGCCAGATTCTGAAAACTTAACCATCAGCTCTTCTGAGCTGATACAAACTGGTGCCAGCAACCACTGTAGTTGTCATTTCTGGTGATGTTTTTGTTAGATTTGGGTCTCAGGGTCATGTGAGCCTTATAAAGTGAGTCGAGAATGGTTATTTTTTCTTGGTTTTATGGAAGAAATTACATATAATTGGTATTGTTTCTGGCTTATTGTTTGATTGAATTCACCAATGAAACCATTTAGGCCTGAAGTTGTCTTTGTTCAAAGGTTTTGTTTACTTGTTTTAATTGAAGTGAAATTCACATTCATCATTTAAAAGTATACAATTGTAAGGTATTAATATTTAGTACATTCACAGTATTGTGTAACACCACCTCTACCTAGTTACAAAACATTTTCACCATCCCAAAAGAAAACCCCATTCCCATTAAGCAGTCATTCCCTGTTCTCTCTCCCTCTTTCCCCTGGCAACCACTAATATGTTATCTATCTCTATGGATCTACCTAGTCTAGATATTTCGTGTAAGTGAGATCATACATTAGGTGACCTTTTGTATCTGCCTTCTTTTACTTAGCATGTTTTCCAGGTTCATCCACCTTGAAGCATGTATCAGTACATCATTCCTTTTTATGGCTAAAATGCCATTGTGTATATACACCACAATTTGTTTATCCATTCATCCATTGACAGACATTTGGGTGGTTTCCACTTTTTGGTTATTATGAATAATGCTGTTATGCAAATTCATCTGTAAGTATTTGATACCTATTTTCAATTATTTCGGGTATATACCTAAAAATGGAATTGCTGGGATGTATGGCAATTCTATGTTTAACTTTTTGAGGAACTGCCAAACTTCCACAGCAGCTGCACCGTTTTACATTCCCATTAGCAATGTACAAGGGTTTCAGTTTCTCCATATACCCCCAACACCTGCCATTTTTAAAATTATGCCCATTATAATTGGGGTGGGGGGGTGAAGTGGTATTGTTGCGGTTTTGCATTGCATTTCTTTAGAGATGAGTGATGCTGAACATCTTCTATTGTGCTTTTTTCTGCTATTTTTTTTCTAGTGTGCTTTTTGGCCATTTGTATATACTGTCATCAATTGGTATATGCAGGTGATTGGTTCCAGGACCCCTGCATGTACTTAAATCCACACATACTCAAGTCCTACAGTCAGCCCTTCAGAACCCACGTGTGCAAAAAATTGGCCCTCCATATGTGTGGGTTTCCAATCTTGCAAATACTACATTTTCAATCTATGTTAGGTTGAAAATAATCTGCATCCAAGCCTGTGTTGTTCAAGGGTGAGTTGTGTTATTTGGAGAAATGTACACTCAAGTTCTTTGCCCATTTCCTACCTGGGCTGTTTATCTTTTTGTTGTTGAATTATAAGAACATTTTATGGCCAGGCATAGTGGCTCATGCCTGTAATCCCAGCATTTTGGGAGGCCAGGGTGGGTGGATCACTTGAGGTCAGGAGTTCAGACCAGCCTGGTCAACATGGTGAAACCCTGTCTCTACTAAAAATACAAAAATTAGCTGGGCTTGGTGGTGCACACAGGTAGTCCCAGCTACTTGGGAGGCTGAGGCAGGAGAATCACTTGAACCGAGGAGGTGGAGGTTGCAGTGAGTCGAGATGGCGCCACTGCATTCCAGCCTGGGTGACAGAGCAAGACTCTGTCTTAAAAAAAAAAAAAAAATTGGCCGGGTGCAGTGGCTCATGCCTGTAATCTCAACACTTTGGGAGGCTGAGGCAGGCGGATCACGAGGTCAGGAGTTTGAGACAGGCCTGGCCAATACGGTGAAACTCCATGTCTGTTAAAAATACAAAAATCAGTTAGGCATGATGGCATGTGCCTGTAGTCACAGCTACTTGGGAGGCTGAGGCAGGAGAATTGCTCGAACCCGGGAGGCAGAGGTTGTGGTGAGCTGAGATGGCGCCACTGCACTCCAGCCTGGGCAACAGAGGGAGACTCTGTCTCAGATGATTTGCAAATATTTTCCAGACTGTGTGTTGTCTTTTCTCCATTGTGACAATGTTCTATAATGCACAAACATTTCAAATTATGATGAAGTAAAATTTATTTTTCTTTTGTTTGTGCTTTTGGTGTCATATAGAAGAATCCATTGCCAAATTCAAGGTAGGCTATGTTTTCTTCTAAGAGTTCTACATGTTTAACTCATATATTTAGGTCATTGATCCATTTTGAATTGATTTTTGCATATGATGTGAGGTAGAGTTCCCATTTAACTCACGCATGTGGGTATTGAGTTTTCCCAGTATTATTTGATGAAGAGACTATTCTTTTCCCACTGAATGGTCTTGACAGCCTCGTTGAAAATCAGTTGGGGCTGAACGTGGTGGCTCATGCCTGTAATCCTAACACTTTAGGTGACCGAAGTGGGCAGATCTCTTGAGCCCAGGAATTTGAAACCATCCTGGGCAACATGACAAGACCCTGTCTCTGCAAAATACAAAAATTAGCCAGGTGGGTGGTGTGCACTTTTAGTCCCAGATACTTGGGAGGCTGAGGTGGGGGCATCACCTGAGCCTGGGGAGGTCCAGGCTGCAGTAAGCCATGACTGGACCATTGCACTCCAGCCAGTGAGACCCTGTCTCAGAAAAAAAAAAAAAAGAAGAAAATCATGTGGTCGTAGATACATGGGTTTATTTCTGAACTCAGTTCTATCCCATTAGATTGTATGTCTGTCCTTATGCCAGTACCTCACTGTTTTGATAACTGCAGCTTTGCAGTAAGTTTTGAAATTGTGAAGTGTGAGTCCTCTGACTTTATTCTTCTTTCCCAATGTTGTTTTGGCTACTGGGGACCCCTTGCAATTCCGTATGAATTGGAGGATAATCTTTTCCATTTCTGTGCAAAAGCCATTGGGAGTTTGATAGGGACTGGTTTGAATCTGTAGATTTCTTTGGGTAGTATTGTCATTTGAACCATATTAAGTCTCCCAGTCCATGAATACAGGATGCCATCTCATTTCTTTAGGTCTCATCTTAGTATAGCCAGCCAGCTCTCTTTTGGTTACTACTATTTTCGTGAAATGCCTTTTTCCATCCTTTCTTTTCAGCCTACTTGTGTCTTTGGATCTAAATTTAATTTTAGAAGGCATATATTTGAATCATGTTTTTAATATCCATTCAGTCAATCTCCACCTTTAACTCGTGAGTCTAATCTATTTAAAGTGATGTTTGATAAAGACTTACTTCTGCAACTTGGCATTTTTCTTCAACATACTTTATATATTTTCCTTTAATTCCTCCGTGATATGGTTTGGCTCTGTGTCCCCACCCAAATCTCATGTGAAATTGTAACCCTCAATGTTGGAGGAGGGGCCTGGTGGGAGGTGATTAGATCATGGGGGCAGACTTCCCCCTTGCTGTTCTTGAGATAGTGAGTGAGTTCTGACAAGATCTGGGTAAAAGTGTGTAGCACTTCCCCCTTTGCCCTCTATCTCCTGCTCTGCCATGTGAAGATGTGCCAACTTCTCCTTCACCTTCTGCTATGACTGTAAGCTTCCTGAGGCCTACACAGCCATGCTTCCTGCGCAGCCTGTGGAACCATGAGTCAATTAAACCTCTTTTCTTTGTAAATTACCCAGTCTCAGGTAGTTTTTTTTTTTTTTTAATTGAGATGGAGTCCTGCTCTGTCACCCAGGCTGGAGTGCAGTGGTGCGATCTTGGCTCACTGCAACCTCCACCTCCCGGGTTCAAGAGATTCTCGTGGTTCAGCCTTCCAAGTAGCTGGGATTATAGGTGCATGCCACCATGCCTGGCTAATTTTTTGTATTTTTAGTACAGACAGGGTTTCACCATGTTGGCCATGTTGAACTCCTGATCTCAAGTGATGTGCTCACCTCAGCCTCCCAAGGTGCTGGGATTACAGGAGTGAGCCACCACGCCAAGCCTTAGGTAGTTCTTTATAGCAATGTGATAACACACTAATACCCTCCAATACTGCCTTCTTTTTAATTTTTTTTCTAATGTACCATTTTGCTTTCCTCCTCATTTCCTTTTGTGAGTGTTTTAAGGTGTTTTTAGTGGTTACTCTTAGTATTACAATTAACTTTTCTAATTTTTAACAATCTGGTTTGAATTGATACCAACTTAGCTTCAGTAGTGTATACAAATTGCTGATATATAGCTGTTTCTCCCCCCTTTATGTTGTTACTGTCACAAATTATATTTTTGCATGTTGTATGACCATTAACATATATTTATAGTTACTATTTTATGCATTTGTCTTTTAAATCCTATAGGAAGCAAACAGAGGAGACATAATTTAAAAAATATCACAATACCAGCTTTTCTATGTACCTATATAGTTACCTTTACCTGTGTTCTTTATAGCTTCAAATGGCCTTGAATTGCTGTCTAGTGTCCTTTCATTTCAGACTGAAGGACTGCTTGTAGCATTTCTTATAAGGCAGGTCTACTAGAAACAGAGTCCTTTAGCTTTTATCTTGTAATGCCTTAATTTCTTCTGCATTATTGATGGATAGTCTTGATGGAAAAGAATTCTTGAAATAGAATTCTTTTCTTTCAGCACTTTAATGTGTCATCACACTGCCTTTTGGCTTTCACAGTTTCTGTTAAGAAATCTGCTTTAATCTTAATGGATTAATGGATTAATCTTAATGACTGGAGTTGACTGCTTTCAGCTTTTCCATGCTGAGGTTGCAAGTGGCTAGTGGCTCTAGCATTCCAAAGTATGGAGGGCAGTGGTCCCCTTCCCACAGCTCCATTAGGCAGTACCCCAGTGGGGGCTCTGTGTGGAGGCTCCAACCCCACATTTCCCCTCAACATTGCCCTAGTAGTTTCTCTGTGGGGGCTCCATCTCTGTGGCAGACTTCTGCCTGGACACCAAGGCTTTCCAGTACATCCTCTGAAATCTAGGGGGAAGCTGCCAAGCCTCCTTCATGCTTGCATTCTCAGCATCTGCAGACTTAACACTAGATAGAAACCATGAAGGATTACAGATTGTGCCCTCCTGAGCTTTGGCTCAAGCTGTACCTGGACCCCCTTGAGCTGAAGCTGGAACCAGAGCAGCTGAGATGTGGGGAACAGTGTCACAAGGCTGCACAGAGCTGCATTGCCTTAGGCCTGGCCCCTGAAACCATTCCTCCTAGGCCTCTGGGCCTGTGATGGAAGGCAGAGTCCCAAAGATCTCTGAAATGCCTTTAAGGCCTTTTCCCCATTGTCTTGGATTGTTACTTGGCTCCATTTGAGTCATGCTAATCTCTCTAGCAAGTGGTTGCTCCACAGCCTGCTTGGGCTTGGATTCTTTCTGTACCACAGGACCAGGCTGTAAACTTTCCAGACTTTATGCTTTGATTCCCTTTTAAATATCAGTTCCAACTTTAAGTCATTTCTTTGCTCCTATATTTGATCAAAGGCTATTAGGAGCAGTCAGGCCACATCTTGAATGCTTTGCTGCTTAGAAATTTCTTCTGCCAGATACCCTAGGTCATCAGTCTTAAGTTCAGTCTTCCACAGATCCGTAGGACATGCAGCCAAGCTCTGTGCCAGGACAAAACATGGGTGACCTATACTCCGGTTTCCAATACATTCCTCATTTTCTTCTGAGACCTCATCAGCTTAGCCTTCACTGTCCATGTCACTATCAGCATTTTGGTCACGACCATTTAATCCGTCTCTTAGAAGTTTCAAACATTCCCTCAGCTTAGTGTCTTCTTCTGAGCCCTCCAAATTCTTCCAACCTCTGCTTGTTACTCAGTTCCAAAGCTGCTTCTATATTTTCAGGTATCTTTATAGCAATGCTCTACTCCTCAGTACCTATTTTGTGTTAGTTGTTTTTTGCATTGCTACACAGAAATACCTGAGGCTGGGTCATTTATAAAGAAAAGAGGTTTAATTGGCTCATGGTTATGCAGGCTGTACAGGAAGCATGGCACTGGCATCTGCTCAGCTTCTGGTGAGGCCTCAGGGAGCTTTTACTTAGGGCAGAAAGTGAAGCAGGAGCCAGTACATCACATAGTGACAGTGGGAGCAAGAGAGAGAGATAAGGGGTAGGTCCTAGACTCTTTATTTATTTGCTTATTTATTTTTTGAGGTAGAGTCTCACTCTGTTACCCAGGCTGGAGTGCAGTGGCATGATCTTGGCTCACGGCAACCTCTGCCTCCCAGGTTGAAGCGATTCTCCTCCCTCAGCTTCCCAAGTAGTTGAGACTACAGGCGTGGACCACCACACCCGCCTAATTTTTGTATTTTTAGTAGAGACAGGGTTTCGCCATGTTGGCCAGGCTGGTCTCAAACTCCTGACCTCAGGTTATCCACCTGCTTTGGCCTCCCAAAGTGCTGGGATTACAAGTGTGAGCCACCACGCCTGGTGCCAGACTCTTTTAAACAACCAGATCTCATGTGAACCGAATCAGAACTCACTCATTATCAAGGGAATGGTGCTAAACCATCCATAAGAGATACACCCCCATGACCCAAATACCTCCTACCAGTCCCCAACTCCCACACTGGGGATTATATTTCAACATGAAATTTGGAGGGGACACACATCCAAACTGTATCAGTAGGCCAGTAAGAAAAAAGTGCCACACATTTTCTCCCCAAAATTTAGCAGCCTCTTTCTTTATTAAGTACTCCACTGAGGCTGGGCACAGTGGCTCTCGCCTATAATCCCAGCACTTTGGGAGGTTGAGGCAAGTGGATCTCCTAAGGTCAGGAGTTCTAGACTAGCCTGGCCAACATGTGAAATCCCATCTCTACTAAAAATACAAAAATTAGCTGGATGTGGTGGTGGGCACCTGTAATCCCAGCTACTTGGGAGCCTGGGGCGGGGGAAGTGCTTGAACCCGGGAGGCAGAGGTTGTAGTTGCAGTGAGCTGAGATTGCACAGTTACGCTCCAGCCTGGGTGACAGAGCAAGACTCTGTCTCAAAAAATAAATAAATAAATAAATAAATAGAAAAGAAAAAAAAAGTACTCCACTGGTTGATGGTTTAAAAAAAAAAAAAGATTCTAGAGTTCCAAAAAGTTTGATTCTATCAGTTTTTGTCAGCTTTAATGGTTGCCTCAGTGGAGGGACCAATTCTTAGAGCTCCCTAAGTCACCATTTCTCAGGAAATCACTCGTGTTGAAAGGTTTTTAACTACAGATTCAGTTTATTTAATATAATTGATACTAGGTAATATTATTTATCTTAGATATTTCTTCCTGAGTGAGTTTTGATAGTTATCTTCTTTCAAAGAATTAATCCATTTCATCTAAGTTGTAAAATTTATGCATATAGACTGGTTCTTAGTATTCTTTTATTATCCTTTTACTGTTTGTAGGGCCTATTGTAACTATTCCCCTTTTCATTTTTGATATTGTTAACATGTATTTTTTATCTTGGTCATTCTGGATATAGGTTTATCAGCTTTCTTAGTTTTTTCAGAGAACCAACTTCAAATGTTATTTTCTAATAACATTAAACAAAGTGCTCACCTATTATTTTCAAGTATTTGATGACATTCCAGATAAGTTTCTGTTACTGATTCTAGTTTGTCTACTGTGTTCAGAGAATGTATTTGGTAGATTTCAATTCTTTCAGTTTAAGATATTTTTCTGGCCCAGAAAATGGTCTTTCAGTGAATATTTGATGAAAAGATGTGAGCACTTTGTTAACATATTTAGAAGTATCTTTGAAGGACAGTTTAGTATACAAAATAGTCTTTTCCTTCTCACTTCTTCTGTAAGCAGTCCGTTTTAAATTTTCTAGTTTCCTGTTAAGGCTATATGAGAATTAAGTTCTTATTCTTATATATCCGTTAGCTTTTTTTTTTTTTTTGAGATGGAAGTCTCGCTCTCTCGCCCAGGCTGGAGTGCAGTGGCACAATCTTGGCTCACTGCAACCTCTGCCTCCTGGATTCAAGCAATTCTCTGCCTCAGCCTCCTGAGTAGCTGGGATTAAAAGCTACTCAGCCTACCACCATGCCCTGCTAATTTTTTGTATTTTTAGTAGAGATGGGGTTTCACCATGTTGACCAGGCTGGTCTTGAACTCCTGACCTCATGATCCACCTGCCTCAGCCTCCCAAAGTGCTGGGATTACAGGCATGAGCCATTGCACCTGGCCATCTGTTAGGTTTTTTTTTTTTTTTTTTTTTTGAGATGGAGTTTCAATCTTTGTTGCTCAGGCTGGAGTGCAATGCCATGATCTCGGCTCACCACAACATCCGCATCCCAGGTTCAAGTGCTTCTTCTGCCTCAGCCTCCTGAGTAGCTGGGATTACAGGCATGAGCCACCACGCCTGGCTAATTTTGTATTTTTAATAGAGACGGGGTTTTTCCATGTTGGTCAGGCTGGTCTCGAACTCCCGACCTCAGGTGATCTGCCTGCCTCGGCCTCCCAAAGTGCTGGGATTACAGGCATGAGCCACCACACCTGGCCCTATTAGCTTTTATATCTGATTTGCCATGTGATTTTTTTTTTGTAGTTTCTTTTAAGTATATTCTAGAATGCCTTGCAAATATGGTGCATCGTTTGTATGCTTTTAACATTTTTGTATTTATGAAAACATCTCTTTTTATCATCCTTGAATGAAAAATTTGGCAGGGCATGGAATTCTAGGTTCAAAACCTTTATCCTTTGTGGGCATTTTTTCTTTGTCTTTTAACATTTGGTTCTACATATGAGAAGTCATATGTCAGTTTTGTCCTTACCCTCTTAGGTAGTCTCTTAATTGCTGAAATAGAATTGCTGTCATTTAAGAAACTAGTACTTGTATGTTTTCACAGAAATAGAAGTGTTGCTTTAAAAAAATACAGATGTATTTCAACGAATAAAATGTCCATGTGTGTATATAACACAATCTTGTGTTTCTCTTTTTGTATTGTGCCCATATTTAGGGACCCTGGTGAAGTAATCATGTTGCCCAATTGACCCTGGTAGCATTATGTGGTAGGGTCTTTTCATCAGCTCTTGGTTTATACTGGATGCTCTTTGGTTTTTGTTGTTGTTGTTTTTTAAGTGAGGAGTCTTTAATTAATTTTCCTATCAGTCATCCTTCTGTCCTTAACAAACCCCAGCCCTTTGACTCTGAGCATAGAAGTTTACATGAGCTCTTGTTAGGATGTGTGTCCAAGAGCTGGATTCTCTTATCTGCTCTTAGGAATTCTAGATATTTCCAACATTTCTCAAAAGGCCTGCTTACTTATTACAGTTTTCACTCCTTTGCTGTGCTTGTGTGTGGTTATGCTAATTTGGACTCTTTACATTTGGATTTTGAACTACAGCTGTCCCTTATTTGTAAGTCTCCCTTTCTTTGGTTTCCTAGATACTCCTCCTGGCTTACTCTTATGTTTAGAGAAGTTCTCTCAGGCTCCATGGTCTGGGCCTAGTCTCCTGCCATTATCTCGGATACTGGTGTTCCCACAGCTTCTTTGTTTTTTTTTTTTTTTTTTTTTGAGATGGAGTCTTGCTCGGTCACCCAGGCAGGAGTGCAGTGGTGTGATCTCAGCTCACTCCAACCTCCACCTCCTGGGTTCACGTCATTCTCCTGCCTCAGCCTCCCGAGTAGCTGGGATTACAGGCGCCCATCACCACGCCCGGCTAATTTTTTTTTTTTTTTTGTATTTTTAGTAGAGACGGGGTCTCACTGTGTTAGCCAGGATGGTCTCGATCTCCTGACCTCGTGATCCGCCCGCCTCAGCCTCCCGAAGTGCTGGGATTACAGGCGTGAGCCACCACACCCGGCCCCCACAGCTTCCTTTTTGGGCTCTTCTAGAACTCTATTTTTTATATATTTGAAAATTCTGTTTGTGGAAACTTACTCATATGTGTATCTGCAAAAATGGACAATTCCAGCTTTATGTTCCACAGTCACTTTAAGCCCAGAATGAACAAAATTCAACTCATTAACTCCTGCCCAACTTACCCTTTTCCTTGTATTCCTGTTTTCATTTACAGACTTCCTGGTTGCCACACAATAATGTTAGTTTATAAAAAATTAGCCGAGCATGGTGGCGGGCATCTATAGTCCCAGCTACTCGGGAGGCTGAGCCAGGAGAATGGTGTGAACCCGGGAGGCAGAGCTTGCAGTGAGCTAAGATCGCGCCCCTGCACTCCAGCCTGGGTGACAGAGCGAGACTCCGTTTTAAAACAACAACAACAAAAAAACCGGTTGGGCATGGTGGCTCAGGCTGGTAATCCCAGCACTTTGGGAGGCCAAGGTGGGCAGATTACCTGAGGTCAGGAGTTCGAGACCAGCCTGGCCAACATGCTGAAACCGCATCTCTACTAAAAATACAAAAATTAGCCAGGCGTGGTGGCGGGCGCCTATAGTCCCAGCTACTCAGGAGGCTGAGGCAGGAGAATGGCATGAACCTGGGAGGCGGAGGTTGCAGTGAGCCGAGATTGCACCATTGCACTCCAGCCTGGGAGACAGAGCCAGACTCCATCTCAAAAGAAAAAAGAAAAAAAAAATGAACCAAGAATTTATATCCAGCCAAGATGTTCTGCAAGTAAAAATACTGCCTTTCAGATTTCATGGAGTATAAATAAAGCAATAATTAGAGGAAATTTCATAGCCTTAAACAGTTCTACCAATAAAAGTGAAGGAATGAAAATAATTGGCACTATAACTGTACCCACGAGCGAGACATACAGACACTATGGGAGCTGCCCTCCCCCTTTCTCCCAGTGGTTAGTAACTAATTTCCAATTAATTACAAAGTTGTGTTATACTTCTTTCCCCCACTGCTGTTGCTTTCATATAAATGTTTTTCTTATTTTTCTAATGTGCCATTTGCCACCTCTATATTAAAATTTTCTCCTATACCACTCATTTACCCCTATAACTCCAGTGCTTACTTGACACATCTCTTCAGTGGCTCCTGGTTTCTATATTTTCATCTACACAGTGAATGGTGAGCATCCCAGAGATATATAAGACATTTCACATAGTATGAAATGACAGAATATCTATTTGTGTTTTGTCTTATATAAACAAAAACAAACTTGTTAAATTTATTATTATTTTTGAGATGGAGTTTCACTCTGTCACCCAAGCTGGAGTTCAGTGGCACGATCTTGGCTTACTGCAACCTCTGCCTCCCAGGTTCAAGCCATTCTCTTGGCTCAGCTTCCTGAGTATCTGGGACTACAGGTGTGTGCCACCACGCCCGGCTAATTTTTGTATTTTTTAGTAGAGATGGGGATTTGCCGTGTTGGCCAGGCTGGTCTCAAACTCCTGCCTTCAGGTTATCCACCTGCTTCGGCCTCCAAAAGTGGTGGGATTACAGGCGTGGGCCACTGTACCCAGCCTAATTTTTTTTTTTTTGATAGAGTCTTACTGTGTCTCACTGCAGCCTTAACTTCCCAGGTTCATGCGATTCTCTCATATCACCCTCTCAAGTAGCTGGTGTTACAGGCCTGAGCCACCACACCCACCTCCTTAATTCTTAATAAACATTAATACATGCAAAGGTATGTATTATATTAATAAGCAGAGATGTATTTGTTAAGTGTGTATGTAAAATATATTTTACTGGTCCAAAAGACAGATTCAGAATTTCTTCTTGTCCTGTCCCTTGACTTTTCACTGTAACCTTCTAACTAATCTTGGTCCTATGCCTTACCGTAAGTACATACCTACCAACCTATGGTATATACCTACCATTATGTACCCACAATAGGTATCATACCTACCAAATTATATGTGGTTTCCTAAACTTACCATTTCTCATGCATCCATGCCTTTGCCAGTTGTGTTTTCTTTATTCCTAAAGTTAGTCAGTTTGACCACCTAATAAAATCTAACATGATAATATGAAATGCAAATAATTACCCCCATTTGTGACCATCTCATGTTGTATACATGTTTCTGTAATGGCACCTGCTTCACATACTGTATTTTAGCATTTTCACCTTTGTCTCCCTGGCAAAAATATAAGCTCCTCGATATCAGGAATAGAGTCATGTGTCACTTAGTGACAGGGATATGTTATGAGAAACATATCATTAGGTGACTTCATCGTGCAAACATCATAGAGTGTCCTTACACAAGCCTAGATGGTACAGCTGACTGCACACCTAGGCTATGTGGTGTAGCCCATTGCTTCTAGGCTACAAACCTGTACAGTGTGTTACTGTACTGAACACTGTAGGCAACTTGTAACACAATGGTAAGAATTTGTGTATCTAAACATAGAAAACAGACAATAAAAATACTATATTTTTTTATAGGATCATCATCATATATGGAATTTGTCATTACTGAAATGTCATTATGTGGCATATGACACTCATTTTTTTTCTTCATCTTTGTATCTTCAGCAGAGTTCCAGGCATGGAGTGGGAGCTCAGTAAATATGTAATGAACAAATATTCCTTCTATGAATAAAGCAGGGTACAGCATGGCAAATATCCTAACTCTCCAGAATGAACTTTGCAGTTAGTACACTAAGAGCTAGTTCACATGTCTTTTCAATGGTATGCAATCTATTCTGGTTACTTCAAATTGAACTGAAGTATGTTATTCCAGGGACCCGTGACATTAAAGGATGTTATTGTGGAATTCACCAAGGAAGAATGGAAGTTACTGACCCCTGCTCAGAGGACTCTGTATAAGGATGTGATGCTGGAAAACTATAGTCACCTTGTCTCAGTGGGTGAGGAAAACTTCCCCAGGTGTAAATCCCAGTAGTTTGCATCTATCTTCTCAGTTACTGGAGTATAAAATGTCCCTATAGGGTTGAATGATTGACATTATCTATGATTCAGAGGTCGAAGTTAATAAATCCATTTTGGGTACTAGAAAAAATATTTGTGTCCCTCTCTCCCCGCTGAAAGAATCTAAATTTGCCAAGCCTAACTGGAACCTTCATTATTATCCTGAAACTCCACTTCCTCATCTTTCACAGTCCCTAAATTCCAAGCAATTTGTATCATTTCCTTGATATTTTCCATTCATAGGTTACCATGTGAATAAGCCAAATGCAGTCTTCAAGTTGAAGCAAGGAAAAGAGCCATGGATATTAGAAGTAGAATTTCCACATCGGGGCTTCCCTGGTGAGTTAGAAGAAATTATATCCCATGTTACTGGTGAGTAGTTGGTGCCTCTTGCCTTCTGAAGTACTTTTCGGCAATCTCTCACTTTTTTTTTTTTTTTTTTTGAAACAGAGTTTCACTCTTGTTGTCCAGGCTGGAGTCCAATGTTGCCATCTCAGCTCACTGCAACCTCCACCTCCCAGGTTCAAGCAATTCTCCTCCCTCAGCCTCCCGAGTAGCTGGGATTACAGGCATGTACCACCAGCCTGGCTAATTTGGTACTTTTAGTAGAGATGGGGTTTCTCCATGTTGGTCAGGCTGGTCTTGAACTCCCAACCTCAGGTGATCTGCCCACCTCGGCCTCCCAAAGTGCTAGGATTACAGGTGTGAGTCACCGTGCCCGGCCTCAGCAGTCTCTTTATAAATGCCCTGTAGTTTTGGAAGCGATTAAGGACACTTTATTTGCACGTGTAAAAAAACCTAATTCACACCTCCAATTTTTGTTCTCTCCACTTAAATTCTCTTCTTTGCTAGACATGTTTTAAATAGATTTACTTCTCTTTCCTGTATACAAACTCTTATCTCTCCTTACCCTTGTAAGACTTTGTCTTTTTGTCTAGAATCGCCAGTTACTCCCTGCCATTAGAGTATGCAACTATAAAGTGTTTGTAAATCTGACTTATAACGTTTTTAAATGGCATCGCCTTCCTTTTATTAACAATAAAATACCTCAGTTATTTTGGCACCACTTTTAACTTCCCATTTTTTCTTTAAACTCTGAGCTCAGATTAAAAATCGGTATGCTGCTCATCAATTCTTTCATTTTGGAGTTGCTACTTCCTGCTATACAGTGTTTATCCTTCCCACAAAGCACTGCTTATCCTCCCTAAACTTATTTGGATAACACTAAGACAATCTCATCCTGCCTTCTTAAATGTTTGTCACGTATTTTCTAACTTGTGCACAGATGTGTTGCCAGTATCAGGAACAATGCCTAGTACATATTAGTTGCTCGCTAGATATTTGTTGAAAGAATGAATATTAATTAACAAGAGACTGGCTGGGAGTGGCGGCTCATGCCTGTAATCCCAGCACTTTGGGAGGCCAAAGTGGGTGGATCACTTGAGGCCCGAGTTCGAGACCAGCCTGGCCAACATGGTGAAACCCTGTCTCTACTAAAAATACAAAAATTAGCCGGGCTTGGTGGTGCACACCTGTAGTCCCAGCTATTCGGGAGGCTGAGGCTTAGGCATGAGAATTGCTTAAACCCAGGAAGCAGTGGTTACAGTGAGCCAAGATCGCCCCACTGCACTCCAGCCTGGACAACAGTGAGACTCATGTTCATGAAAAAAAGAAATAATAAATATATAAAATAATTAACAACAGACACTTTCTACTTTCTGCTCTGTTCCTTTTATTAACTCCTGTAGAAGCTCATCCATTCTTAAAGCCAATGCATTGGTTTTTATGATAAGGATTCCTAAAATTGACCTCTCCAGCATCTTTGCCCTATTTATATTCTGATCCCATATTTTTACCTTCTTGTAAGATAGTTCTGCTTATTCTACTTCCTTCCTTGTTAGGGTCAAAACAAAAATTGTTGATTTAAATTCCCACAGTAGTTGTGTAATGCAGCAGATGTACATTGCCAGAAGCCTGCATGGTATACTTAATACTGACTCAGTATTAAGTCCTTTAGACAAAATAAAAGTCTTACAAGGGTAAGGAGGTATTAGTAATATTCATTTAAATGAATTTTTTGTCAGGAACTAGTCTGGCCCTCTCTTGCCTATGCAACTTATTTCTCCTTGTGGCCCCCAAACACCTGTTAATCTCCATTTTACTATGCTCTTAAATGTTTTCCAAACATAAGATTTTTTTTTTTTTTATATGGAGTCTCACTCTGTTGCGCAGGCTGGCATGCAGTGGTGCGATCTCAGCTCACTGCAACCTCCACCTCCTGAGTTCAAGTGATTCTCCTGCCTCAGCCTCTTGAGTAGCTGGGATTACAGGTGCCCACAACCAGATCCAGCTAATTTTTGTATTTTTAGTAGAGGTGGGGTTTCACCATGTTGGTCAGGCTGGTCTCGAACTCCTGACCTCAGGTGATCCACCCACCTCAGCCTCTCAAAGTGCCGGGATTACAGGCATGAGCCACCGTTCCTGGCTTATACATATGATCTTATTTCATGTGTTCCTGAGTTAACGTCGCATAAGTCACTATGAAGTGACTTTTCTTATGTATTCCCCACCATTGCTATGAAATTCCAACCCCAAGCATCTGCTGATAATCTTTCACTTGCTTTCATGCATTTAAAGATGCATAAATATGAAGGTCACTAAAGATTCTAGAATGATGTTCAATAATTGGACCTTTAAAGATCCTGTAGTAAATTGGAAGCAGAGATGGAGGAAGCAAGATATGAAAATGAAATTCAAGACTAGTGTTGAGTCATGAGTAACAAGTGCGTTAGAAGTGCAGGATTTGATGGTCAGGATGAGTTCAGGATTGAAAATCTCTGGTGGTACAACTAGGAATTCATCCTTGTATAGATGGCTTATCCCAATGCTTTTAAGAAAATCCTTCCTTTTGGATATATGTGGTCCTCTGTCTTCCTGTCCTGAAAATAAAGCCAACTAGATGGAGAGTGAAAGCCCAAGCTACAGGACTCTTCCTCTAAGCATGAGGAAACTGATGTTCTGAAAAAGTCACTTTAGTAATTGACACCTAGATTGCTGTGGATGGATGAAGAGGAAATAAAGTAGAAGTTTGTCTGCTAAATGCTAGGAATCCTAGCACAGTAATCTAGGTTTGAGGGAATAAAGACCTATACTTCAGCTCCTTCTTTCAGTTTAATCTTTTCCATGTATTCCAGGGGACACTGTTGTCCAGTAGTTTTTCTTAACTTGCTTACTGTTCATGGTCCTTAAGGGGCTCACAGTATTCTCTATACTTCCCACACTCCCGTTCAGCAACACTTCGAATGTCCTATGTTCTCCTCTCCCGGTTCTTTTTTTGTCTTTAACTTTCACCTCCAAACTCTTATGGTCACATTTGTAAAAATGTCAGAGTACATGGGTCTACAAGTAGAATCCTCCTTCTGTGTGTGACAGCAGTTTTCAGTGTTTGTTTTAGGTTTTTTTCCCAAAACAATGGGCTAGAGGAAATTTGCATTTGAGGTTCTTTCATTATGAGAAATTGGCCTGAAGCCTAAGAATCAATGCTATGACAATATTAATGTGTAGTATTTATAAAGTATTACATTTTTGGTTCCCTTGTAGAAGACCTATGGAGCATTCATGATCTAGAAGCAAGATACCAGGAAAGCCAAGCTGGAAATTCAAGGCAAGTTCAAGAATTAATGTTTAAGATAGAAGATTTGTAAGCAAGAGTCTTAAAGGAGTTACTAGAAATGGGAGGGCACTAGTTAATACTAAACGTGAGAAAACTAACACTGCAGAGCAAATCCCAAGGAATATAATCCAAATGGGACTGCCCCTTTTCATAGAGACCTTGTGCAGGATCGGGAGATTGAAACTTTGAAGTGGTCTTTTTACTCTTCTGAATTAAGTAATGAAAGGGAGTCTCTATTACACAAAATAGAATGCAGGCAATTGAGAGACCCTGTGAATAGAATGCAAATGCAGATTCACCTTACCAAATGTTAAACTACAGTGCAGGTCAGAGAATGCTCACAGTGGAGAAACCCTATGGATCCAGTAAATATGGGAACATCTCTAGAAATCGGTCCTCAGAGGTACTTGGAAAATACGCCCAGTGGAGCAGGGGGAACAAAAAGCCTTAAAAGTCTTACACATTAATGAATGTGGAACTTTCTGTCTAGGAATGGAGAACTCACAAAACATCAGAAAACTCATACCACAGAGAAAGCCTGTGAATGTAAGGAATGTGGGAAGTTCTTCTGCCAGAAGTCTGCCCTCATAGTACATCAGCATACTCACTCAAAGGGCAAATCCTATGACTGTGATAAATGTGGGAAATCTTTCTCTAAAAATGAAGACCTCATAAGACATCAGAAAATTCACACGAGAGATAAAACCTATGAGTGTAAAGAATGTAAGAAAATATTTTACCACCTATCATCTCTCAGTAGACATCTGAGAACCCATGCAGGAGAGAAACCCTATGAATGTAATCAGTGTGAAAAATCCTTCTACCAGAAACCACATCTCACAGAACATCAGAAAACACACACAGGGGAGAAACCTTTTGAATGTACTGAATGTGGGAAGTTCTTCTATGTGAAGGCATACCTCATGGTACATCAGAAAACACACACAGGGGAGAAACCCTATGAGTGTAAGGAGTGTGGGAAAGCCTTTTCCCAGAAGTCACACCTCACAGTACATCAGAGAATGCACACAGGGGAGAAACCCTATAAATGTAAGGAATGTGGGAAATTCTTCTCTAGGAATTCACACCTCAAAACTCATCAGAGAAGTCACACAGGAGAGAAACCCTATGAATGTAAGGAATGTAGGAAATGCTTCTACCAGAAGTCAGCCCTCACAGTACATCAGCGAACTCACACAGGGGAGAAACCCTTTGAATGTAATAAATGTGGGAAAACATTTTACTATAAATCAGACCTCACTAAACATCAGAGAAAACACACAGGGGAGAAGCCCTATGAATGCACAGAATGTGGCAAATCTTTTGCTGTGAATTCAGTCCTCAGATTACATCAAAGGACTCACACAGGAGAGAAGCCCTATGCATGCAAGGAATGTGGGAAGTCCTTTTCTCAGAAGTCACATTTTATTATACATCAGAGAAAACACACAGGGGAGAAGCCCTATGAGTGTCAGGAGTGTGGGGAAACCTTTATCCAGAAGTCACAACTCACTGCACATCAGAAGACACACACAAAGAAGAGGAATGCTGAGAAGTAAGATGAGTTGGGAAATTCTCTTGACTGAATTAATCCTTCAAAACAATCAGATAATTCACACAAGAGGTACACCTTATGAATCGCATCAATAGAGGGAAATTTTCAGCTACAATCTTTGCTCTCTCTGTGTATCAGCAAATACATAGAGAGATTCTGTACATTTATTTGGGAGAAAATTTTATCATATTTTAGGCTTTTCTAAATATTAGATAATATAGATGGCAGAAGTCATGCAAATTGTAAAACAGGAAGGAAACCTTTCAGAAGTCATACTTTTGTTTTGCAACATAGAAGTCACACAGGAGAAAAATCCTGTAAGTAAAACGAATGTCAAGACATTTTCTGTCAGGGCAGCCAGCTGTAGACATCCAAAAGCTCACAAATGAGAAGCTCCTTGAGTATCTAGAAATCTCTTTACACAATTGGAGCTCATGTACTAGAGAATTCAAAGGGATAACTGCAAAGACACTGGTAGATATAGAAGCCTTTATTAAGAATTGATGTTTCATTCAATTTCAGATCACTGGTACTTGGATAGATATTTTAAATATTTGGAAGGTGTTCAATAAAAATTCAAATAATTTGTACTGAGGGAAACAGTTATACTACAAATCATGTTGCAGATCTGATGCCGAGATTGCTCTATTTTAAAAGGAAACCTGCAAATGTCTACATATATGAAGCTTTTAAAAAGCACAAGTTATCAGGCAACATCATTAAACATACATTAAATGTCTGTTAGCATATAGGATTTTGTGCGTATGTGAGTGTGCTATAACATGTAACTTGCGGATGTTCAGCGTGCATGTGGAATCCATCCATAATGGTACATAGCGAAATAATATAATCTTAGTTCAGTAACTATTATGTGTATGAAGATGTTGCACATTAAGTCTCAGTAGTGACTCTGGTTGTTAATATTTGTATTGTAAGTGTAATATTCCTTTTAAATTATAAGGCATCTTTTTATCCTTTTTTGTGTTTGTAAATGGATATAGACAGTGGTAATAACTAATCCTTCAAAAATAAGTTAAAATGTTTTTGTAAAATTTTCAAATGTCAGTCAAGTTTTGCATTAGGGACACATTTATATATAGCAAAAGCCTGAGCTGTTTTTAAACAGCTAAAAACAGTAGTATTTATTACAATCTCCACAATGAAAACAAATAGTGCAATGTAAGAAATATTATGTATCTTACTGTTGATGTGTGAGCAGGGAGCAGAGCTATCTGCATTTGTATTTAGTGTGAGAGTCCTAAATGTTCTTCACCAACTTTTTCTTCCTCATAGAAGCAACATGGCATAGTTAAGGGTGTGGACTCTGGGCTCCTGCTGCCTGGGCCCCGATTCCAGCATGGGGCATGCTACTTAATATCTCTGTGCCTCAGTTCCCATCCCATAAAAGAGTAGTGATAGTGACAACATCTTAGGATTGCTTTGAGGTCTAAATGAGTTAACATTTTCAAAGCACTTAGAATAGTGTCTGAGACACAAGAGCTATATGTTAGAGGTTATCATCATTATTTGTATTTTGTGAATTACGCTGCAAAAAAAAAAAAAATGTTGGCTACCCAACATTCATTCCCCACCTTCTTGCTGCCAGTGCCTTGATTTGGTTGTTTGTTGTTTGTTTGTTTTCCTACAAGTGATTTAGGGGCAGATCCTGACTACACTAAGTCAGGGTTTGACAAATGACAGTCCATCAGACAGATCTGGCCCACTACCCATTTTTGTATCCTGCAAGCTAAGAATGGTTTTATATTTCTAAATGGTTGAAAGAATCAAAGAATATTGTGACACATGAAAATTATATGATATTCAAATTTCAGTGTCCATAAATAAAGTTTTGAAAACATGAATACAAACAAAAAACACCTATTTATGTTTGACCTGTGGCTGTCTTTGCACTACCCCAGCAGAGTTGAGTAGTTGTAGCAGACACCACATGCCCTTGAGCCTAAGATCTAGCACTTTACAAAGTAAGTTTTTCTGTTACTTAGAGCTGAAAATAAAAGCAATGTAGAGTTACGCTTTTATAAGTATTTCATGTTTCAGAAATGATGCATACAGCAATTTGTAGGTGGGTGGTTTTTTGCAGTATATTTATTTTGTGCATTATATTTATATGTTAAGAGCCTGAGCTTAGAAGTATTTTTTTCAAAGAAATGTGTTTTTTACTTGCTAAATTGTCATAACATCAAAACAAGAAATTTCTTGATGGAATGTAGCAGTAAACATATGAAATAAACATTGTCTAAATTAAGTCGAATTGTTCATTGATACTGCCCCACAGTATTCCTTTGTTTTCTCCCAAATCAATGGCCAGTTTTCCCTGTATCATTTTATAATTTTCTTTCTATCCCATAAGATACCATTGGTAAGTCATACTTAGCTAACGTAACCCAATAACAAAAAACTTACAATACCCAATTCCATCAGCTACATTACTAGTAATCTATAAAATTATTGCCTGCACTTCATGTAATTGTCATATGCTGCTACAATCTAAACCTGCCAGCGTCTTACTTCCCCTTCCTAATAAAGACTTTCATTGATGTTCAGCTTCTTTTTGTATGTGTGGCGGGGTCTTGCTCTGTCACCCAGGCTGGAATGCAGTGATGTGATCTCGGCTCACTGCAACTTCCACTTCCCAGGCTCAAGCAATTCTCCCACCTCAGCCTCCCGAGTAGCTGGGACTACAGGCACGCACCACCACACCTGGCTAATTTTTGCCTTTTTTTTTTTTTGGTAGATATGGGGTCTCCCCATGTTGCCCAAGCTGGTCTTGAACTCCTGGGCTCAAGCAATCTGCCTGCTTTGGCCTCCCAAGGTGCTGGGATTATAAGCATGAGCCACCACACCCATCTAATATTAAGCTTCTTAATCATGCCTTGTTGTGACGTTCTGACCTGTCTGATGTTTAGCATTTATGAACCCCTAATATGATATTTACTGATTACTTGTATCTCAAGAAGGTATACTTTGTACTTACATGTTATACCTTCTGAATACTTTATGGGAAAATATTTTTACCAATATTTCATTCTACTCAGCATTGCCGCGAGAATGCCGTCTTGATGGAGGTTTGAGGTAACATCTATCTGTAGATAAGCCTTTAGGGTGGTTCTTTATTTTACTGTGAAAGAAAATACACTTTCTAAATCCTCAGGCTTCTCAATAAAAAAATTAAATAAAAATGAATACTTTCTGGGTACAGTCCAATAACTGTGACAAATCTGTTATCAAGAATAAAGCCAGTTGGGTGCCGTGGCTCATGTTGGTAATCCCAGTATTTTGGGAGGCTGAGGCAGGTGGTTCACTTGAGGTCAGGAGTTCAAGACCATCCTTGCCAACATGGCAAAACCCCATCTCTACTAAAAATACAAAATTAGCTGGGCGTGGTAGAACCAGCTACACAGGAGGCCATGGCAGGAGAATTACTTGAGCCTGGGAGACAGAGGTTACAGTGAGCCAAGATCATGCCACTGCACTTCAGTCTGGGTGTCAGAAAAAATAAATAAATACATAAATAAAGCCCGTACTAACAAGAACACTTTAATACTCTTAATGATGAGAATACTCACGTTCTCCATAGTCAAGCCTGAGAGTTTCTTGGCCATAGTCTCAAGCCATGAATGGGTAACCACAAAAATTGATAGGAGACAAGTAATCAGACATTGAAAGCAATTAGTCAGACAATCTCTCCTCAGTACACATGCTTATGAAAGTCACCCAATCTGACAGCTATGCATTTCTGAAAGCCAGTCAGCACCAGCCTTCACTCTGACCATGCTTTGGCAAGTTAGCTTTTGGCTCAGGCCGGTGACCATGCTTTTACCACCAAAAGAAAGCCAGTCCCTCAACACTCTTTCTTTCAAAAGCTGGCCAATTCCTGAATCCCATGTTTCCTAAAGCTCTGTATCGTCTTATACTTTGGCTGTGATTTACAAGTACAGAGTTCCTTTGGTTAGTGAAGGCCACAGATACACTTATCAATTCCTTCCTGCCTGCCACTCTGGTCACAAGAGGGAGATTCTTTTCCCCATCTTTGAATCTGGGCTGGCCTGGGACTTGCTTTAGCCTACTACAACATGGAGAAGTTCCAGGCCTACCCTTTAGGAAGTGTGGCAGCTTGAAGCTAACCATCATGCAAAAAGTTGGACTAGTTCGAGGCCATGTCATGAAGAAACCCAAGCAGCCCATGGTGAAGCCCCTGGTATCAAGCATGCTTATGAAGCTCCCTTAGCTCCTCCAGCCCAGCCCCTCCACTGCTGAATGTACCAGTGACCTGAATGAGACACCAGCCACAGCCAACTGAAGCAGAATTCCCAGTACACACAGAAAAGTAATACATCAGTCATTGTTTTAAGCCATTAAGTTTTAGGTATTTCAAAGTGAATCAGAGAGTAAGCAACAAATCAAAGCAAAAAGCTTAAACAAAAAGTTTAAGAAATTGAATGGTTAGTCTCTTGCACAACAAGAGTTATGCCACCTAAGTGGCCCTTAGAAGTTTGCCAATATTTGAAATGACAGTTGTTTAATCTGATTTCTAAAAAGGACTTACCCAGGCTGAGCACAGTGGCTCATGCCTGCAATCTCAGCACTTTGGGAGGCTGAGATAGGTGGATCGCTTTAGGTCAGGAGTTCAAGACCAGCCTGGCCAACATGGTGAAACCCAGTCTCTACTAAAAGTAGAAAAATTAGGTGGCCGGGCACGGTGGCTCACATCTGTAATCCCAACACTGGGAGGCCGAGGCAGGTGAATCATAAGGTCAGGATTTCAAGACCTACCTGGCCAACAGTGAAACCCTGTCTCTATTAAAAAATACAAAAAATTAGCCAGGCGTGGTGGCAGGTGCCTGTAATCCCAGCTACTCTGGAAGCTGAGGCAGGAGAATCGCTTGAATCTGGGAGGCGGAGGTTGCAGTGAGCCGAGGTCGCACCATTGAACTCCAGCCCGGGTGACAGTGCGAGACTCTGTCTCAAAAAAAAAAAAAAAAATTAGCTGGGCACAGTGGTGGATGCCTGTAATCCCACCTACTCAGGAGGCTGAGTCAGGAGAATTGCTTGAACCCAGGAGATGGAGGTTGCAGTGAGCCAAGATTGCGCCATTGTACTCCAGCCTGGCGGACGAGCAAAACTCCATCTCAAAAAATAAATAAATAAATAATAAAGAGGACTTACCCAAATATAACAGTCTGTCCCCATGAAAGAGAGGTAGTGTTGGCTAAATTGGACTGTCTTATACTGCAAGTTGTCACCCAAAACTATATCCAGACCTTGAAACTTACATAACAAAGAATAAACCCTAATAACAGGAAAAACTTGTCCATTTTTTTTAATGAAGATTTTATCCAAGATATTTAACAAGCGACCAAATCTTGCCTCATCCATAAAGTTTACAGATGGCTTAAGACACTCTCTCATAGAGCATTTAGATATTTACAAGTGAGTATATTCAGCTACTTGAAAGCATTAATCCTCTTTAAATGGTTCGTATAAATTGTATTTTGATTATACTTTCCCTTGTGAAATAACTATTATTTTGATTCAAAAGCTTTTTTGTTTTTTGTTTTGTTTTTTGAGATGGAGTCTTGCTCTGTCACCAGGCTGGAGTACAGTGGCATGATCTCGGCTCACTGCAACCTCTGCCTCCCTGGTTCAAGCGATTCTCCTGCCTCAGCCTCCCAAGTAGCTGGAATTACAGGCATGCACCACCACACTCAGGTAATTTTTGTATTTTTAGTAGAGACCAGATATCACCATGTTGGCCAGGATGGTCTCGATCTCCTGACCTCGTGATCCACCCACCTCGGCCTCTCAAACAGCTGGGATTACAGATGTGAGCCACCATGCCTGGCATTTTTTTTTTTTTTTTTTGAGATGTAGTCTTGCTCTGTTGCCCAGGCTGGAGTGCAGTGGTGCGATCTCGGCTCACTGCAACCTCTGCCTCCCAGGTTCAAGCAATTCTCCTGCCTCAGCCTCCTGAGTAGCTGGGATTACAAGCATGCACAACTATGCCCGGCTAATTTTTGTATTTTTTTAGTAGAGACGGGGTTTCACCATGTTTGTCAGGCTGGTCTCGAACTCCTGACCTTGTGATCTGCCAACCTCAGCCTCCCAAAGTGCTGGGATTACAGGCGTGAGCCACAAGCCTGGCCCAAGAGCTTTTTAATTTTGTTTCCAACCTTGAGAATCCATTTCCCAGTGAAACACTTAAACTATATGATATTCTCATTAAAAACAAATTCCATCACCTACATTGTCCTAAAAGCTCTAAGACGATCAAATAAGTGAATTGCTTCAGATTCAAAACTTTTGGACAGGCTCAGTGGGCTCAGGCCGCGCGCAATGGCCTACGCCTGTAATCCCAGCACTTTGGGAGGTCGAGGTGGGTAGATCATTTAAGGTCAGTCTTTCAAGCCCAGCTTAGCCAATATGGTGAAACCCCGTCTCTACTAAAAATACAAAAATTAGTCAGGCGTGATGGTGGACACCTATAATCCCAGCTACTTCAGAGGCTGAGGCAGGAGAATCACATTGAACCCGGGAGGCAGAGGTTGCAATGAGCCGAGGTCATGCCACTGCACTTCAGCCTGGGGTGACAGAGCAAGACTGTCTAAAAAAAAAAAAAAACTTTCTCTGTGTTCTAAGAATGTAAATGTTGGACATAATTTGGGAAAGCTTGTGCAGCTACAGGAGGAAATGAGAACAAGACTTGGAAGTAAGAAGTTTCTTACACTCACAGGTCCCAGACAGGGGTCATCACCGTGTGCCACACAGGGCCGTGGAGCACCAGTGTCAGTCAGGAGGCAGAAGCAAGATTCAAGGGAAAGCCTAGGCTACACCCTTTATTGGGTTTCTGTGGGAAGGGCAAGGCAGGGCAGGGTGAAGAGTTTGGGATGGGCTAGTCTGAATAAGGCCAGCAGGCTCTAGATGTGGTCTCTAGTCATCTGGAACCTGACCCTGGGATGATCTAGGGTAGGAGAAAACTTGCTTGGAGAATTAGATAAAGAAATGATTGAGCCTGTGATTGTTGGTTTGCAAATCAAAGACCTGCTCCAGGCTGAGCCCTTTGCTATCTGTAGGAACTGGCTAATCCTGGGAAGGGCAGTCTCTCCCAAGCCAGCAAGATGTCAAAACATCATAGACAGAAAAGCTTTTAAAACATAATTAATACACAATGCTTTTAAAAAAAACTTCATATTTCTTGGCTTATAGTTCTACAGCTATCCCTAAGGATGACAACAATGTGATCTAAACCTTAAAATACCTGTAAACTCATCATATGAAATTGTTACTGAATAGGCTGGGTGCTATGGCTCACATCTGTAATCCCAGCACTTTCGGAGGCTAAGACAGGCAGATCACCTAAGGCCAGGAGTTGCAGACCAGCCTGGCCAACATAGTGAAACCCCATCTCTACTAAAAATACAAAAATTAGCCAGATATGGTGGCACACACATGTAATCCCAGCTACTCGGGAGGCTGAGGGAAGAGAATTACTTGAACCCAGGAGGTGGAGGTTGCAGTGAGCTGAGATCGCACCATGGCAGTTTAGCCTGGACAACAGAGTGAGACTCCATCTCAAAAAAAAAAAAATGTTACTGAACAACCTGGAACTTGGCTTGAATTTTCCCCTCACAGATTCTAAATTGAGATTACCAGATATTTCATGTCAGATACACAGTCATATGCCCAACAGATAACACTGCCTTTCCAAAGAGAAAGTCACCAGAAACATCTGTACATATTACATAATCAGAAGACTAAGTACATGCAGAGACATAAATGAATGTCAGCTGTAAGTGAAGGACATTTCATACAGTGAAATGTATGTCACTGTAAGTGAAGGCCTTATCATACAAGGCCCCATGCCCTTACACTAGGAGACATGTCAGGAAACGCCTCCCGTATAGTTAGCGCAGGGTATAACTTATCTGCTTCTCCCTTTCAGACTACCTGTAATCAGTCTCTACTTACTTCCTTAAATGCCTCAGTCTCCTACCAAGCACCCAACAATACCTGGCTGGCCTGCACTTCAGGCCTCACTCACTGCATCAGTGGGACTGAACCTGGACCTCTCCTGTGTGTGTTGGTTCATGTACTGCCCCAGGTCTACGTGTACAGCGGCGGGGGTTGGGCGGGGGCTGTAAGTGAAGGAACTAAAATAGAGTGTGTCCGGCTATCTCAGCTAAGAGAAACAATCAGGTTAAAACAAAGTAGGGTATCACATTCCCCACTCGTGTTTAGGGGAATCAAATCATTGATTCCTCGGTTATAACAAGGGGGTTATATTGGGTTCTAAGATGCATAAGTTTGACAGAAGCTATGCACTGCTTTATAAAGTTAAGAAACCAATTTAATATACAAGGCCCAAAGACTAAGCCAAACAAGAGGAGGAGAAGGGGTCCCGCCAATCCAGTAATTAGAGTAGTTAGCCATGGATTCCAGTTAAACATGTTTTGGTACCAGGGGTGTTATTTTCCTGTTTCTGTTGGCATCTATCTAGATTTGTTTGAACTCTTTGGAGTGTATCTTTTATGACCCCAGACTGATTGGCATAGAAACAACTTTCTCCTAGAGCTGTGCATAACCCTCTTTGGGAGAGAAATAGCAGATCTAAGCCTCGGCAGTTTTGAAGTACTACTTCAGCTACAGACTCTGCCTGAGTATACAGTATATTTACGGCTGAGTAGAGATTGCTTAAATCAGCATCTACTTATTAAGACAGGGATATTAGTCCAGTTTCTCCCTGAACCAGGGCAGCTGTGCCAATGGCTGCTGATTCAGCTATGCTAAGGCCGGCCAGAAGGGGTATGAGGAGTGGGGTGGCTCAGTGAAACCTGGAATGTAATTCAGGTGGAGCGATGAGAAGTCGCCCTTCTGGCCTGCTGTACACGTAGACCTGGGGCAGTACATGAACCAACACACACAGGAGAGGTCCAGGTTCAGTCCCATTGATGCAGTGAGTGAGGCCTGAAGTGCAGGCCAGCCAGGTATTGTTGGGTGCCTGGTAGGAGACTGAGGCATTTAAGGAAGTAAGTAGAGACTGATTACAGGTAGTCTGAAAGGGAGAAGCAGATAAGTTATACCCTGCGCTAACTATACAGGAAGCGTTTCCTGACATGTCTCCTAGTTTAAGGGCATGGGGCCTTGTATGATAAGAAGAGAGTTAATTTTGAACATGGCTTCTATTCCTAACCCAACATAATATGGGGGTTTGGCCTTTAGGCACAACCAGCAATCTTGGGCTAGTTTAAGCTGGGTGAGATTAAGGAGGTGATGTACCCCATCCAGAATGGACATCAGGCTGGGTTGGAGATGTTGTCATTGTAACTGAGATCTGGGAACAAGGAGTGGTGGCGGGATGGTTAAATCAACCCTGTCTGGGTGTCTTTACAATATAGGGTCACCTAAATCAGTTAAAGGTCCGATTGACTTAGGAGGGCTCCATGGGACCAGGACATTTTTCTGGATGGTGAACATAGTACCAACATCAAATCCCGAGATATAAAGCCTTAATCCCCATGACATGCCTTAATACCATTGAGCTGAATTAGGGCTATGGACAGTTATAGTAAGAGGATTGCAATTTTTTACAGTACACTGTCTAGGACGGGAAGTGCGAGTTCTGGAAAGTGTTGAGGACCAGGTCAATCCTCCAGGGTATGTGGCCAGGGTTACACATGACCAGTGAGGGCAGAAAAACTGATAAGAATCTAGACAACTAGAGTCAGGGTGATTTCCAGGACAGAGGTAAAAGTCAACGCTCTGGAGTCCTTTTTCTGCACCTTTAGAGCTTCCACATCTAGTCCGGCTTCCTGTGTGTCTGGACCCTGCAGCGAGGTTGACATTTCCTGCTCCCATAACCGGCAGGTTGGGTTGTTTTTCATGGGTTTGGGCAGGCTCTGGGAACAAAGCACATAAATCGACTGCAAAAGAGACTTCCTTGGAGGTTCCTGCCTTCCAGGTGGTGTTTGCAAACACACATACTGTCGTGAAAGAAGTGAGGAGAAAAGAGTAGAGAGGGGCAGAGGGCGTAATAGGCGGAAACAAACAAAAGAGGTAAATAAAAATGATTAATCCGATGGCTTCACTTGACTTATGCGCAGTTTTAAGGGGCATGGCCCAGGCTTGGGGATCCATGTTTCTTGCTGGGCTTTGTTCGCCTTTTTGATGTGACAGTGATGAATCCAAGAAGGAATGCCATCCACTTTCAGAGCCATCGGCGTGGTGAGGATGACAGTATGAGGTCCTTTTCAGGCAGGAGTGAATCCTTCCTTCTGGAACTTTTTAACCTATACTAAGTCACCTGGCTGGAAAAAGTGGCAGGGCCCAGTCTGGTCAGGAACTGGATTGGAGTGTGCTCCCTGGACAAGTGGCTGGATGGTGTCTCATACCTGTTGGAGAGACTGCAGGTACTGAACAAATTAGCTTGTGAGATTTCTGCTAAATTGGTATCCCTTAGCTTAGGCAAGATAGGCGGAGCCCTTCCATACATGATTTCAAAAGGTGAAAACCCAGCCCAGTAAGTGGTGTATCTTACTCTAAGAAGGGCTAAAGGAAGGAGCTTTACCCAATTCTCACTGGTCTCTAGGATTAACTTAGTAAGAGTACTTTTTATTGTGTGGTTCATGCGTTCTACCTGTCCAGAGCTCTGGGGTCAATAGGTGCAATGGAGTTTCCATTTAATGTTTAATGCCTTGCTGACTGACTGAGCCATGGACGAGGTGAAGGCTGGTCCATTATCAGACCCTATGGCAACAGGCAGCCCATGTTGAGAGATGATTTTAATGAGTAAAAGCCTAACTACCATGGTGGCAGTTTCGTTTCCAGTGGTAAATGCCTTAGTCCATCCCGAAAAGGTGTCTATTAGCACTAGGAGGTATTTATACCCTGCCCAGTGTGGTTTTATTTCTGTAAAGTCAACTTCCCACCTTTCTCGGGGAGAGCCTCCCTGGAGGCGGTGGACTGAGCTGGGCTTAGGACCTTGTTTGGTGTTTACCTGAGCACAAGCCATACACCAGAGAGCTGCTTGGTTAGTTAAGTCCTGAAGGTGGGGGATGTTGAAATGGCTCCTTAGAAGCTGGGCCAGTTTTATTCCTCCCAAATGGGTGGCAGAATGCAGATGATTGATTAAAGTTTCCCCAGGGGCTTGGGGCATAAAGATTCTGGAATCAGGAAGAATCCACCAACCTTCCTGATATTTACTGGCCCAAAGATCTGAAGCTTGTTTTTCTTCCTCTGGGGAGTATTGTGGGTGGTCTGGTAGGTCAGGTTGCGGAAAGGACACAGTGGGCAGCAGGGTCAAAGGCGTGACTGGGAGCCAAGCTGCCTCTCGAGCTGCAGAGCCTGCTTTTTGGTTACCACAGGCAATAGCCATGCCTTCTGTTTGATGACATTTGCAGTGAATTACAGCCACCTGCGGAGGAAGCCAAACAGCTTCAAGCAGGGCCAAAATTTCTTCTTTGTTTTTAATAGTCTTTCCTGGTGAGTAGCCCTCACTCTTGATAGATGGCTTTGTGTACATGTACAGTAGGAAAAACATACCTGCTGTCAGTGTAGATGTTAATACGTTTGTCCTTACCCCATCAGAGAGCCTGAGTGAAGGTGACCAATTCAGCCTTCTGTGCTGAGGTACCTGCCGGCAGTGCCTGGGCCCACAGTACATCTGTCTCCATAGTAACGGCTGCACCAGCCTTTCCTACTCCCTGTTCAAGGAAGCTGCTGCTGTCAGTAAACAGAGTGGAGTCCACCTCCTTTAGAGGCACATCTTGGAGATCAGGTCGGCCAGTTTATGTAGTCTCTAACAGTTCTTGGCAGTCATGGACAGGTGTGGTAAGGTCTGGATCAGGGAGAAAGGTAGCTGGATTTAAACACCTTGTGGGAGAGAAAGTTAACCAAGGCTGATCTAACAGTAAACTCTGATACTGCAGGATGTGAGCATTCGACATCCATTTGCCAGAGGCCCTTTGTAGCAAAGTCTCTATGGCATGAGGAGCCATAAGGGTTAAATTCTGGCCCAGAGTCAGTTTATCAGCCTCCTGGACCAGGCTTGCTTTTGCCGCTATGGCTCACAGACAACTTGGTCACCCGGAGGCCACAGGGTCCAGTATCTTAGACAAATAGGCCACCGGGCATCACCATGGTCCTAAAGTTTGAGTGAGTACCCCTTTAGTGACTCCCTGGCTTTCATGAACAAAAAGATGAAATGGTTCTGAGATATTTGGGAGGGCAAGAGCAGGGACCTCAGTTAATGCCTTCTTTAGATTTTGAAAAGCCTGTTCTTTGTCAGTCCAAACTAGTGGGCCATTCCCTCTGGTAGTGGTGTACAGGGGCTTGGTGATTTCTGCGAACCCCAATATCCATAAACGACAGTATCCCACAGCCCCTAAGAATTCATGTACCCATCTCCTAGTGGTGGGAGTGGGGATTTGCAGGATGGCTTCCTTTCGAGCAGTGGCAAGTGCCCTTTCTCCCTTGTTTATCTTGTATCCTAGGTAGAAAAGTCTGGGAAGACAAAGCTGGGCCTTCTTGGCTGAGACCCAATACCCGAGTTCCTGAAGGAGGTAAAGTAGGTCCCTAGTATGTTGCAGGCAGCTGTCAGTGGTTTCAGTAGCCAAAAACAGGTCGTCTATGTACTGGAGAAGCGTGCAGTTAGGGTGACTGGCTCAGAACGGTATAAGATCTTGTTGGAGGGCTTCCCCAAAAAGGGTGGGGGAATTTTTTAAACCCTGGGGTAACCAAGTCCAGGTTAATTGAGTGGTGTCTCCTGAGCCAGGGTCCATCCATTCAGAAGCAAATATAGGTTGGCTTTTAGGGGCCAGAGGAATAGCAAAGAAAGCATCCTTTAAGTCAAGAACAGTGTATGCTGTATGTTCTGGTGGAAGCAGGCCGAGTAAAATATAAGGGTTAGGAACAGTTGGATGGACAGTGACTGTCCACTTGTTAACTTCCTGCAAGTCCTGTACAGGCCGGTAATCATTTGTTCCAGGTTTCTGGACCAGCAAAAATGGAGTATTCCAGGCAGACTGAATATGGGGATTGATTCCCTCTCTAGCCCACTGACTCATAGGATATTGTTTTACCTGGACTGGCAGGGCAGTGGCCAGGAGTTCTACAACTACTGGCAGATGGTGCTTTGCCAGTCCTGGGGGGGTTTGACTTGGCCCAGACTTGAGGAAAGAGAGTCTGTAAATCCAGTAGGAGAGGATTAGTTTTATTCTCCAGCGGTTGTGAGGGTGAAACTAAGAGATATTCCTCTGACAAAGGGGTGGTTAGCAGGAGCTGGGTGGTAGAGGGTGTTGGGTCCCCTAATGTGAGGTGAGCTTATTGGGCTGAGAAGGAGATGGATGCCTGCAGCTTATGAAGCTTATGAAGTCCCTTGCACAGCCACCTTTTTTATTAGAGACACTGCCCAAGGGTGTTTGCAGTACCAAGTCTTCCGCCCCAGTGTCGATTAGGAAGCATACAGGCTGGGCCCCCACTGTGGCAGTCACCAAGGGCTCCTGGGGGTGAAGGAAGTGGCAGCCCCGGCCCTGTCAATCTTCAGATTCATCCACAGCAGGGAGGGTGAGGACCTTTTTCTTCTCTTGTTTTTCCTCTGGTTTTAATGAGCATTCTTTTTTCCTGTGTCCAATTTGTTTGCAATAAGCACATTGGTTTCTTTGTAGGGGAGCCTGCTCACCTTTTTGGCCTTTCTGGTGGGGACCTGGGGTCCCCTGGCTGGTGCTCTGTGATGGGGGCCCTGCCTTCTTGCTTCCTTGGATGGCAGCCACTAAGATCTTTGCCTGTCTTTTTGATGCTTTGTCAGCAGCCTTTTCAGCTGCCTGAGCTACCTGTTTTTGCCTTTCAAACTCTCAATTGTCAAAAACTTTCTGGGCTATTTGAAAAGTTGGCTGCTGTTCATTCCAGCAAATCCTTCCAGCTTTTGTAATTTTCTTATAATATCAGGGGCTACCTGAGTCACAAATGCCAAATTAATAGCATGGCTATTCTCGGGAGCCTCCGGGTCAAAAGGGGTGTAAATCTGATAGGCCTCCAGGAGGCGTTCTAGAAACACTCCTGGTGACTCATTAGGCCCCTGGACAGCTTCAGTTGTCTTGGACAGATTCATGGGTTTTTGAGTGGCTCCCTTGATACCCACAAGGACATACCAGTGAAAATTATCCAAAGCTCTCTTCCCACCCGAGGATTTTGTATCCCAATCAGGCCAGGTAGAGGGAAAAGTCTCCTCAAGGAGGTCCCGGGCTTCCTCCTCTGGTCTACCAGCTGATGTGAGGAAATACTTTCTGACCTTTCTTCGGATATGGTCCCTCTCTTCAGAGGTGAAAAGGGTTAAAAGAAGTTGCTGACAGTCATCCCAGGTGGGCCGGTGATTCCGGAGCACGGACTCCATCAGTGAGGTCAAGACCTGGGGCTTTTCAGAAAAGGGGGGATTATGAGCCTTCCAGTTGTACAGGTCAGAAGCAGAGAAGGGGACATAAACTAAAAATGGAGCAGAGCGCTCATTGCCCAGAGGGATTTGGGCCTCTGTCAGTGGGAGAAGGAGGGCCACCTCCTCCAGCCGATGCCGTAATTGGGTGGCTATAGGTGGAGAGGCCACAGGGGATGTAGTCGAGGAGACAAGGAAATATTCTGGGGCGGGGCGGGGGGTGGGCAGGAGGGTTATAGGGAGGCAGAAATGGGTGAAGAGAACTTTCCTCTTCTTCAGAAGGAGACTGTACAGGAGGAGCCGAAGGCGCTGAGGGTTGGGGCAAAAGTGTGGTCCAGCTCAAAAGGACCTTGGAGGTGGGATCATGAATGGCACGTGAGCGGAGCCATGGAGGAGGGCTCTGGACCAAATCTAGCCATTGATCAATGTAAGGAAACTGATCAGGGTGTCCGGGAGTTCCAGCCATGACCCGCCACACAGCCTGAACAGTTGTGAGGTTTAATGACCCTTCTGGGTGCCACCCAGTTCCAAACTGTGGCCATTCTACTTCACAGAGTGTCTGGAGTTTGCCTTTCTTAAGGTGGACTCCGTAATCCTCTGAGAAGCCCAGAGAGAAATTCTGCAACATACATTGGAGAGGGCTGTAATCTCTACGGGGCCAGGAAGAAGAGTTTCCCATTCTGGAGGCAATTAACAAGGTTTAAGCAGAAATATTAAACCCAGCACAGACAGAGATATTCATGGCCTGGGGGGCTGTAGTATTGGAAGAACAGAAGTATTATAACCAGAAGAAGTAGGAAAACAACTATAGCCAACATTTCTTGCCACATAAGATCTGTCTCTTTAAGCTTTGAGATCTAGAGAGAGGACAAGAGGTGGGTCTGAGGCCAGTGGGACCTATGTGACCCCCCCCTTCCTTTTTGACTTATAGCCAAATATCTTTGGTGTCTCCCCGACTCAAAGGCAAAAAGTTCAAACTCAGCCCTTTCTTTTAAGGGTTTTAGGATGGAGAGCAGAGCCAAGTCTTGGAGGTGCTGGACTTGCTGTGACACAGGAAAACGAGCTGTGTGGGTTAAGGGATGGGGGTAAGGAGGAAAGGGGCCACTCAGATCTTTCCTAAGGTAGGAGAGTAGCCACAGGGGGATAGAATAAGGGTCCAGACAGAGTAAAGCAGCACAGGCATAGGTTTCTCTACATAGTGTGTTATTTAAGGGCACTGGAAAAGTTATGGGATGACAGAAAAGGTGAGCAAGGAAGTCCGCAGGGTGGCTATTTTGGATCCATCACTGGTCTAAGGAGGAGGTAGACCAGTCATTGGGGCATGGTGTATGGCAATCTAAATGGCAGCAATCTTTATGATGCCAAAATCCCAAATGGGCGAATGTCTTCCACACCCCTCCCCATAACAACATCTGATTAGTTTCTGACAGAAAAGGCAGGACTGGGATGGCCAGCCCAAATGACTGATGAGAGACTTGACCTCCTGGGATAGAAAATCTGTACTGAGGACCTTGAAGAAGTCCTTGCCCAGTCATCATGGGCAGTATTGGCGACCGGACATATAAAATTCAGACAGACACAAAACAGGACAATAGACACTAGGGTATAAAAACAAGTATGACAATTTTTATACACAGACAAGGGGAGGGAGTCTCATGATGGGATAATCAGATGCCCACCTGGCCACTCTCCTTGCAGGGACTTAGGCTCCTCTTGGCATTGGCAGACTGGTATAAACCCCTGGCTCAGATCGAGCTATGCCCCATGCTGCCCTAAGGCTTATAGGTCACCACAGAACTGCAGGTGAGGGCCCTCTCGAACTCCATAGCTTTTGCTGTGGAGCTACAAACTGGAAATTCAAGCACAAGCCCTTGAACTCCAAATTCACTCACTCACTCACACAGAGTTTATTACAATATTTTTTATTCCCATTCTAAAACAGATCTCCTAGAGACCTGAACAAGAGAAGGAGATAGAGAAAAAGAGAGAGAGACAAAAAGAGAGAGAGAGCAAGAGACTAGACTTAACAGAGAAGCCTGACGGAAACCAGGACCCTGCCTTCCAGCATCCTGGAGTGTGGACAGAGTCTGAGGGAGGACCCTCGTCAGGGCCATTTCCCTCCCAGAGAAACAGAGTCAGATCTGACTTACCTTTCTGGGACCAGAGACTGAGCACTCAGGAGTTGGATTTGGTTGGGCAGTCAATCCCGGCAGTCAATCCACTCCCCTCCGGAATACAGTGGCCCACGGGGCCCTGGAACGTCTTCAGGGGGTGCCTCCCCTATAAGCCCTCCATCTGTCCAGGGGAGCCCGGAACAAGTCTGGTCTTCACCCGGTGGCGCATCTCGCTGGGGCCTCCAAATGTTGTAACCGAGTGAGTTGTAGAGAAACGCCACACTCTGAGACTAATTCAGGAGTCCTTTATTGCTGGTGACCGAGAGACGGCTAGCACTCAAAATTCTCTCGGCCCTGAGGAAGGGGCTAGATTTATTTTTATACCTTGGTCTAAATAGGGGAGGGGGAGTTTAGCTGAAACAATTTTTACAGAAGCAGAGTAGGCAAAAAGTTAAAAAATTAATGGTTACAGAGATAGTTGCAGAAACATAAACAGTTCCAGATGCAGGGGCTTAAACTATCATAAAGAGATGATGTAGGGGCTTTGGGTACCATCCAACAAGCACGTCCCCAGGAGCTGCTTATACAGCTTGCCTCTATATCTTATCAGCAAGTGCATTCCTGGATGTGCTTGGAGTCAGCTTGCATTCGTCATACCTTTAAGGAAGGGGGGCTGTAAGTGAAGGAACTAAAATGGAGTCTGTCTGGCTCTCTCAGCTAAGAGAAACCATCAGGTTAAAACAATGTAGGGTAACACAAGATGACCATTTCCTATATTTACATCCTTAATCATGAATAAATATGTTACAAGAATAAAACCATGGCTAAAAATTACCACAATGTGTGGTCCATTATTTATTTCTTACTTTGGAACAAATAATAAAACAAGTTAAATTGTAAAGGCCCTTCAGATGAAAATAAATTCATTGACTAAAGTAATCCTTAAAAAATGAAATTGAGGACTGTACTGAGGTGAGGGTCAGATGACTCTAGTCATGGACATTTTATAATGGTTTTACTACATAAGGGTAGAGGACTCCTGACTGATGTGCTACCCACAGGGCCCAGGGGACACCAAAGTGATAAAGAGTGCACAAGTGCGTTGACTGTCTTCTATTGGCCACAATTCATAGTGACATGAGATGCGTTGTGAAACGGACTCCCAAATGCCAGTGGAGATGACAAAATTCTATTAGGAAGCACTAACAGTCAAAAGCAAAGTGGGTAGAAATACTATAAAGGACAGCAGGGCCAGAGTGGTAACTATGGGGACAGGCAGTAGCCAGTGAGGACATTGCTTATGTGACTGAAAAAGATCAACAATGCTTCACTTGGGTGAAGAGCAATATATACTTATCGTCTTGTCCCATGACTATGTTAACTCTCCTTTTCTCCATCACAAATTATCCCTCAAGGACCTTATCATGCAATTTTTCAGAGCATCAGGATCCAAGTACTAATGACATTACATCAATCTGACCTGAGATACAACAAGTGGCAAGTACTCTAGATGCTGCAGACAGAAACAGGAGCAGCAGAGGGTGGGGAATAGATGCTAAATATAGTCTGGGGCTTAGCACATCAGTGAAGCTTTCAGAGATACAGGGTTCTAGGACCTGCTAAGACATCCATCCAAGGCAAAGGACAAGTCACTGCACCTGCACTGTCTACTACTAAGAAAGAGGCAGGGCGATTGACAGGCCGCTTTGGACTTTGGAAACAGTGTGTGCCACTCTTGGCAATACTGTCTCAGCCCATTTACTGCCTGCTATGAGGCAAAGAGGACTGTTTCAGAAAGGAACAGGCTGTGCTGTAAGCCACTTTACCGCTCAGGCCATAGATCCAGTGGTTTTGTTAGGTAAGAATGCTGTCTGGAATCTTTGGAAACCACAATAGGGACAGTCACAGTGCAAACTCCTAGGTTTCTATGGCTGGTTCTTTCCTCAAATGGAAAAATCTCCATTTGAAGAGCAGCTCTCGGAGTACTACTGGTACTCTTAGTGTTTGACCAAGACAAGAAGTGACGCTGCAATGACATGCCATCATGCACTGGATATTGTCAGAGGCACCCAGCCTTATGATAGAGCTCATAGATGAAGCAGTAATTTATTGTATGATGGAAATGGTACACTCTGGAGGACAATACATTAAGTAAAAGACAAATACCACATAATATTACTTACATGCAGAATCTAAAAAGTTGAACTCATAAAGTAGAGAATAGAACAATAGTCACCAGGGGCTGCAGTGAGGGTTGGAGTGTGGTTAGGGAGATGTTGGTCAAAGGATACAAAATTTCAGTTAGTTTGGAAGAATAAGTTCAAGAGATTGACTGTGGCTGGGCGTGGTGGCTCATGCCTGTACTCCCAGCACTTTGGGAGGCCGAGGCGGGTGGATTGCTTGAGGTCAGGAGTTCAAGACCAGCCTGACCAACATGGTGAAACCCTGTCTCTACTAAAAATATAAAAATTAGCCAGGGAGGCTGAGGCAGGAGAATCGCTTGAACCTGGGAGGCAGAGGTTGTAGTGAGCCAAGATTGCACCACTGCACTCCAGCCTGGGCGACAAAGTAAGACTTCGTCTCCAAAAAAAAAAAAGAGATTGATTGTAAAACATAATAACTACAATTAATAATATATTGTCTTCTCAAAAAATGCTAAGAGAGTAGATTTTAAGTGTTCTTACCAGAAAATAATATCTATGTGAAGCAATGCATGTTAGTTTGATTTTGCCATTCTACAATGTGTGTGGGTGTAAACGCACATATATAAACATATATATACACACACGTAAATGTATATGTGTATATATACACACACACACACACACATATATGTTTCAAAACATCATTTTGTACACTATAAATATATACAATTTTGGCCAGGCATGGTGGCTCATACCTGTAATCTCAGCACTTTGGGAGACTGATGTGGGTAGATCACTTGAGTTCAGGAGTTGAGACCAGCCTGGCCAACATGGTGAAACCATGTCTGTACAACAAATAAAACTAGCCAGGCGTGGTGGCACGTGCCTGTAGTTCCAGCTAATTGGAAGGCTGAGATGGGAGGATCAATGGAGCCCAGGAGGGCAATTTTGCAGCGAGCCATGATCACTCCACTAAACTCCAGCATGGGCAACAGAGTGAGACCCTATATTAAAAAAAGGGGCAGGCCGGGTATGCTGCCTCATCTCTGTAATCCCAGCACTTTGGGAGGCCGAGGTGGTCAGATCACCTGAGGTTGGGAGTTTGAGACCAGCCTGACCAACATGGAGAAACCCTGTCTCTACTAAAAACACAAAAAAATTAGCTGGGCTTGGTGGTGCATGCCTATAATCCCAGCTACTCTGGAGGCTGAGGCAGGAGAATCACTTGAACAGGGGAGGTGGAGTTTGCAGTGAGCTGAGATTGCACCATTGCACTCCAGCCTGGGCAACAAGAGTGAAACTTTGTCTCAAAAAAAAGGGGGGGGGAGGGGCCAGGCACAGTGGCTCACACCTGTAATCCCAGCACTTTGGGAGGCCGAAGCAGGTGGATCACCTGAGATCAGGAGTTAGAGGCCACCCTGGCCAACATGGTGAAATCCCATCTCTACTAAAAGTACAAAAATTAGCTGGGCATAGTGGTGGACACCTGTAATCCCAGTTACTTGGGAGCCTAAGGCAGGAGAATTGCTTGAACCCAGGAGGCAGATGTTGCAGTGAGCAAGATCATGCCATTGCACTCCAGCCTGGGCAACAAGAGTGAAATTCCATCTCAAAAAAAAAAAAAAGGGTGGGGAGGTGCTGTGGCTCGTGCTTGTGATCCCAGCACTTTGGGAGGCTGAGGTAGGAAGACTGCTTGAGGCCAGGAGTTAGAGACAAGCCTGGGCAACACAACAAAACCCCATCTCTACAAAAAAACACAAAATAGCCAGGCAAAGTAGCATGTGCCTGTAATCTCAGCTACTTGGGAGGCTGAGGCACGAGAATTGCTTGAACTCGGGAGGCAGAAGTTGCAGTGAACTGAGTTGGCACCACTGCACTCCAGTCTGGGTCACAGAATGAGACTGTCTCAAAAATAAATAAATAATTTGAAAAAAAAACAGTGTTAAAAACAAAAGCAGAAAAGAACTTGATATGGTTTGGCTGTGTCCCCACCCAAATCTCATCTGAATTGTAACTCCCACAATTCCCACCTGTTGAGGTAGGGACCCAGTGGGAGGTAATTGAATCATGGGGGTGGGTCTTTCCCATGCTATTCTCATGAGAGTGAATAAGTCTCACGAGATCTGAATGGTTATAAGGGAGTTTCCCTGCACAAGCTCTCTTCTCTTGTCTGTTGCCATGTGAGACGTGTCTTTCACCTTCTGATTGTGAGGCCTCCCTAGCCACGTGATACTGTGAGTCCATTAAACCTTTTCTTTTTTTTTGTAAATTGCCCAGTGTCAGGTATGTCTTTATCAGCAGTGTGAAAATGGACTGATACAGAACTGATCCACGTCCACAGAGTGCATTACGCAGAGGTGGCCCAGTCCATGTTACCTACTACTGCTGCCTCACCCCTATCTCACACTCACACATGTGGCCTGTAGGGGTTTCCTGTGACAGCTGATGGAGAAGGGACTCAGGCCTAATTTATGGATGGATGAGTTCAATGGAATAGTGAGGGTTAGATAATGAACTGTTGCTGTCCTACAATCCTCTGAGGGCTGAACCTGACAGTGGTGAGGAGATGTCCTCTCAGTGTGCATATCTTTCAACAGTAAACCTTGTTATCAACACTAGGTGTAGGAAAAATTGGTGGAAGTATGAATACACATGAATTGTTTGCTGACTCGGAGTGAAGGAAAAGTAAGTTTGGAAAATTGGAAACAGGATAGCCTGGGTGACTCATAGGAGTGGACACAGGTATATGGTTCTTTGTATCTTATGTCTATTGCCACGAGAAGGCACTCACCAGAGAGGAGACACCAAACAACTAGGTCAACAGAATGGCTCACCCAGTAGGCATCAGCCAGCTGTGTCATCAGCCACCCCAGCATTTGCACAATGAGCCTGTTACATGAATAGTAATGGTGGGAGAAATGAAGGCTGGGCATGGACCTGACAACTTGCACTCTCTCTCACCAAGGCTGATCTAGCCATGGCTGCTTCCATATATCTGACCTAGCTAGTAGCAGAAACCAAGCTCTCAGTATAGTACCATACCGCAGAGAGTCACTAGCTAGACAGTGGGTAGCAAGCTGATTACATCAGACCCCTTCCACCCTACAGTAATTCATTGTCCTTGACTGACAAGTATTTGAGGTATCAGCTTCCTTTTCTACTTGCAGCTTATTTACCGGTACACCTATTGAAGGGCTCACAAAGTACCTCATAGACTGACCTGGGATCCCATGTATATTTTCTTAACCATTGGGCCCATTTCAAAGCAAAGGAGGGACAACATTGAGTCCATGGCTCCATCATCCAAAAGATGCTTTCATAATAGAAGATTGGAATGACTTCTTAAAACCCTGGCTAAGTTACTAATCCCCAATGTTTTGGTATTTAGAGACAGAGTCTTTGGGAGGCAAGGTGGAGCCCTCACAAATGGGATTAGTGCTTTTATAACAGAGGCTCCAGAGAGCTCCCTTGCCCCTTCTATCATGTGAGGTCACAGCAAGAAGGCCACCTATGAAGGCAGTGGGCTCTCAGCAGACACGTGATCTACCAACACCTTGCTCTTGGACTTCTCAGCCTCCAGAACTGTGGGAAATAAATTTTGTTTAAGCCACCCAGTCTGTGGTAATTTGCTACAGCAGCCTGAGATGACTAAGATGCTCATCAGCTGGAGATGATACCCTGCAGGGTCTGTATGTGCTCCTTCAGAATGCAGGATATACATTTAACCTCTGCAACCTTGAACTCCTGGAGCTCAAGAGATCTTCCCACCTCAGCCTCCCAAGTATGTGGGACTACAGGGACACACCACAGCACCTGGCTAATTTAAAAAAATTTTTTTTGCAGAGATGGGGTCTTGCTGGAAAGGCCCAGGCTAACCTTTCTAGATTCGGCTCACCATTTTCTAGCATATCAACTGGTCTAGGTTGCTTGCTTGGTATGATAACCTAGAACTTCATTTCTGAGAGGCAGAGGGCTGGTATCATATTGAGTATCAGTGACTGTATATTTTGCTGTCAGGCTGAGCATTTGGCAGTGGCAGTAGCTTTCTTTGTTTCTGGAAATTTGTTACAGACATATGGGAGCTCACAGCAACCTCTTTAGTGCAAAAAGATTGTCTGATGAATTAAAAGTAAATGGATCCGGCCAGGTGCAGTGGCTCATGTCTGTAATCCCAGCACTTTGGGAGGCCGAGGTGGGTGGATCACGAGGTCAGGAGATCAAGACCATCCTGGCTAACATGGTGAAACCCTGTCTCTACTAAAAATACAAAAAATTAGCTGGGCATGGTGGTGGGTGCCTGTAGTCCCAGCTACTTCAGAGGCTGAGGCAGGAGAATGGCATGAACCTGGGAAGTGGAGCTTGCAGTGAGCCAAGATTGCACCACTGCACACCAGCCTGGGTGATAGAGCGAGACTCTGTCTCAAAAAAAAAAAAAAAAGTAAATGGATCCAATGTTACTAGCAGCATTATTGATTATAGTCAAAAACTAAGACCAATCCAAACATTCATCAGCTGTTGAGAGGATAAAGAAAATGTGGCATATTCATACAATAGAATATCATTCAGCAATAACATGTAATGAAGTACTGACACATGCTACAACATGGATAAACCCTGAGGACATTAAGCTAGTGAAGAAGCCAGACATAAAGTCCCACATATTGTGTGATTCATTTATATGAAATATCCAGAGTAGGCAAATCCATAGAGACAGAAAGTATAATAGATTAGTGGTTGCCAGGGTCTGGAGGCAGAGGGAATGAGGAGTGACTGTTAATAGGTAGGGGTTTCTTTTTTGGGTGGGGAAAATGTTCTGGAATTAGATAATGGTCTGGTTGCACAACTCTGTAAATACCCTAAAAGCCACTGAATATCACACTTTAAATAGGTGGGCAAGATAGCCATATGTGTGTCATACTTAGGGTACTCAACTCTGCCCAGTTTGCCAAAATTTCCCCAGTTTTAGCACTGAAAGTCCTGAGTCTTGGGAAAACGTTTAGTCCCAGTAAAAATGGGACAGTCATCCTAGGCTGGGACTTAGAAGACAATTCTAGAAAATCTACTTCTTGGGATGAGTTTTGCGGACCCAACTGGAAATTTTAGAACATAAAAATATAAAATATAAAATTCACTGGATAAATTTAATAGTATAATAGAAATGGCAAAGCAAAAAGTAAGTAAATTTGAAGCACAATCAACAGAAAATGCCCAATGTATAGATGAGATAGAAATAAACAATTAAAAAAATAGAACATTTAACTCTGGAACCAACCAAAAGGTCTAATTTATACGGAATTAGAGTTCTAGGAAAGGAGAGAAAGAATTGTACAAAAATAATATTTAATCCCAAACAAGATGAATGAATATGAAGAAACCCAAGACTAAAAATATGAGAGTTAAACTGAAAAAAAAGGAAAAACATTTAAATCATAGGTAGAAGACAGTGCAAAAACATATTTTTAGTTCTAAAAGAATGAAAGGTTGATCTAGAATTATATAGCCAATAAAAGTATCTCTAAAGAATGAAGGCTAAAAACAGACATTTCAGATAAAGGAAAACAGAAAATTTGTATCCAGCAGATCTTCACTATATGAAATGCTAAAGAAAGTTCTTATAGATGAAAAGAAATGATATTAGAAAGAGACTCAGATTTTAAAGAACTAATAAACAGCATCAGAAACAGTACATGTTTGGGTAAATATAAAAGGTTTTTTTCTTCTTGATTTCTTTAATATGTATATGACTTTAAAGCAAAGAATATAATATTATCTTTGGTTACTCCACACATTTTGATAGGTTGCATTTTCACAATTCAATATAGTTTTGAATTTCTCATAAGACATTTAATCCACATATTATTTAGAAGTCTGTTTTTTTATTTTTATTATTTTTTACTTCATGAATTTTTTTTCTTTTTTTGAGATAGAGTTTTGCTCTTCTTGCCCAGGCTAGAGTGCAATGGCACGATCTCAGCTCACTGCAACTTCGGCCTCCTGAGTTCAAGCGATTCTCCTGCCTCAGCCTCCTGAGTAGCTGGAATTACAGGTGCCTGCCACCATGCCTGGCTAATTTTTTGTATTTTTAGTAGAGGCGGGGATTCACCATGTTTGCCAGGCTGGTCTCGAACTCCAGACCTCAGGTGATCCACCTGCCTCAGCCTCCCAAAGTGCTGGGATTACATGCATGAGTCACTGTGCCCGGCAGAAATTTTAATTTCAGTTGCATATATGAACTTAGTTATTGTAAGATATATGTAAGAGAATGTAAAGTATATTTCTTCTACACACCTTTTTATTGTGGTAAGAACATTTAACATGAACTATACCCTGTTAATATTTTTTTTCTTTTTTTGAGATGAAGTCTTGCTCAGTCGCCTAGGCTGGAGTGCAGTGGCGGGATCTCGGCTCACTGCAACCTCCGCCTCCCGGGTTCAAGCGATTCTCCTGCCTCAGCCTCCCGAGTAGCTAGGATTACAGGCAAGCAGCACCATACCTGGCTAATTTTTGTGTTTTTGGTAGAGACGGGGTTTCACCATGTTGGTCAGGCTGGTTTCAACTCCTGACCTCATGATCCGCCCACCTCGGCCTCCCAAAGTGCTAGGATTACAGGTGTGAGCCACCGTGCCCAGCCGACAAATTTTTAAGTGTACAATACAGTATTGCTAACTGTGGATACAATGTTGCATAGGAGAGCTCTAGGATTTAATCATCTTGCATACATGGAACCTGCTGCATAGCATCTCCTCATTTCTCCATATCCCCAAACCCTGACAAAAAAAAATTCTACTCTTTGATTCTATGAATTTGACTATTTTAGATACAGTAAGTCCTCAATGTCATTGATAGGTTCTTGGAACTGTGACTTTAAGTGAACCGAGGTACAGAAGGTTCTTGAATAGTTGTTCCCCTACAATGTTGATGGGAAAAAAAAAAACCCAAAAACTGGCTTTGTTATACGTCCTTTACCTTAATGTTACATTTTCCAAGTACCTATCAATGATGTTAAGGGAAGACTTCCTGTACCTCAATATAACCGAAATCATGCCATATTTGTCCTTCTGTAACTGGCTTATTTCACTTAGTGTAATGTCCTTACAATTCATCCATGTTGTTGCATATGGCAGAATACCTTTCTTTAAGGCTCAACAGCATTCCATTTTATGTATGTACCATATTTAAAAAATTTATCTGTCAATGGACATTTAGGCTGATTCTACATCTTGGCTATTGTGAATAATGCTGCAATGAACATGGGAGTGCAAGTATCTCTTTGAGATCTTAATTTCAATTTTTTGGATACATACCCAGAAGTGGAACTGCTGAATCATATGGTAGTTCTATTTTAAATTGTTTTAGTAACCTCCATGCGGTTTTCCATAGTAGCTGCACCATTTTACAGTCCCATCAACAGTGAAAAATTGTTCCAGTTTCTCCACATCCTTGCCAAAACATGCTATCATTTTTTTAAGCTTAGTAATCCTAACAGGTGTGAGACAATATCTAATTATGGTTTCAATTTGTATTTCTTTGATGATTAGTGATACTGACCAGAAGTGTCTTAATTAATCACCAAATACTTTAGGATTTCCTACTTTTCTGCTATTGATTTTTAGTTTAATTCCATTGTGTTGTGAAACCATATTTGGATGTTTATCCTTTTAAATTTGTTGTATATTTTATGGTTCAGAATGTGATCTATCCTGGTGAATATGCCATGTGAGCTTGAGAAGAATGTGTATTTTGCTGTTGTTATATGAAATATCTTGTAAATGTAAATTAGTTAGTTCAACAATACTCTTACTGTTTTTCTGTCCACTGGATCAATTACTGATGAAAGAGCACTGAAGTCTCCAATTATAATAGTGAATTTGTCTTTCTCCTTGCAGCTCTTAACAGTTTTTGCCTCATGTATTTTGACACTCTTGTTAGGTGCATACACATTCAAAATTGTTATGTCTTCTTGGACAGTTGAACCCTTTATCATTGTGTAATGCCCCTCCTTTATCCCTGATAATTTTCCTTGTTCTAAAATCTACTCTGAAATTAATATACCTACTCCAGCATTCTTATGATTAATATTGGCATGACATAGCTTGCTCCATCTCTTTACTTTTAATTTATCTCTCTTCTTATATAATGTGGGCTTCTTGTAGTTGTTTCATGATCCACTCTGATAGTTCCTTAAATTGCTGTATTTAGACCACTCACATTTAAAGTGATTATTGATATAATTGGATTAATATATACCATATTTCTTTCTTAACCTTTTAGCATCAGAGGTACATGTACAGGTTTGTTACACAGGTAAATTTCATGTTGCAGGGGTTTGCTGTACAGATTATTTTCTCACCCAGGTAATAAGCACAGTACTTTACAGGTAGTTTTTCTTTCTTTTTTTTTTTTGAGACGGAGTCTCACTCCGTCACCTCAGGCTGGAGTGCAGTGGCACAATCTCCACTCACTGCAACTTCTGCCTCCGAGGTTCAAGTGATTCTTGGGCCTCAGCCTCCCGAGTAGATGGGATTACAGGCACATGCCACCACGCCAGGCTAAGTTTTGTATTTTTAGTAGAGATGGGGTTTCACCATGTTGGCCAGGCTGGTCTCCAACTCCTGACTTTAAGTGATTTGCCTGCCTCAGCCTCCCAAAGTGCTGGGATTACAGGTGTGAGCCACCACGCCCAGCAATGGGTAGTTTTTCTACCCTCACCCTCATCGCATCCTCTACCCTCAAGTAAGCCCTGGTGCCTATACTTCCCTTTTGTGTCCATATGTACTCAATGTTTAGCTCCCACTTATAAGAGCATGTGGTATTTGCTTTTCTGTTTCTGCATTAGTTTGCTTAGGATAATGGCCTCCAGTTCCATCCACGTTGCTACAAAGGACATGATCTTATTCTTCTTTGTGGTTGTGTAGTATTCCACAGTGTATACTGCCACATTTTCTTTATCTAGTCTACCATACATGGGAGTTTGATTCCACATTTTGCTATTGTGAATAGTGCTGTAACAAACATATGCACGTGCATTTTTTTTTAAGTTTTAAAAAACTTCTTTAATTTTTGTGGGTACATAGTAGGTGTATATATTTATGGTGTACATGAGATGTTTTGATACAGGCATGCAATGTGAAATAAGAACATCAGGGGAAATGAGGTATCCATCCCCTCAAGCATTTATCTGTTGAGTTGCAAACAATCCAATTACACTCTAAGTTATTTTAAAATGTAAAATTTCTTATTGACTATAGTCACCCAATTGTACTATTAAATAGTAGGGCTTATTCATTCTATTTTTTATTTTTTTTTGAGACAGAGTCTTACTCTGTTGCCCAGGCTGGAGTGCAGTGGCCTGATCTCAGCTCACTGCAACCTCCGCCTCCCAGGTTCAAGTGATTCTTCTGCCTCAGCCTCCTGAGTAGCTGGGACTATAGGCACATGCCACCAGGCCCCCGCTAATTTTTGTATTTTTAGTAGAGACAGGGTTTCACCATATTGGCCAGGCTGGTCTGGAACTCCTCACCTTATGATCCAACTGCCTTGGCCTCCCAAAGTGCTGGGATTACAGGCATGAGCCACTGCTCTGGGCCTGTTTTCTGGTTATTAATCCTTTGTCAGAGGGGTAGTTTGCAAATATTGTCTACAATTCTGTGGGTTGTCTTTTCACTTTGTTGATTGTATTTTTTGCTATGCAGAAGCTTTTAAACTTGATGTGGTCCCATTTGTCCATGTTTGGTTTGGTTGCCTGTGCTTGTGGGGTATTGCTTAAGAAGTCTTTGCCCAGATTAACATCATGGAGATTTTCCCCGATGTTTTCTTGCAGTAGTTTCACAGTTTGAGGTGTTAGATTTAAGTCTTTTATCCACTTTGATCTGTTTTTGTATATGATGAGAGATAAGGGTCTCGTTTCATTATTTGCATATGAATATCCAGTTTACCCAGCACGATTTGTTGAGGAGACTATCTTTCCCCCAGTATACATTCTTGGCATCTTTGTCAAAAATGAGTTTACTGTAGATGTGTGGATTTGTTTCTGGGTTCTCTATTCTGTTTCATTGGTTTAAGTGTCTGCTTTAATGCCAGTACCATGTTATTTTGGTTGCTATACCTCTGTAATATAATTTGAAGTCAAGTAATGTGATTCCTCTAGTTTTGTTCTTTTTGCTTAGAATAGCTTTGGCTATTCCAGGTCTTTTGTGGTTCCATATAAATTTAAAGATTGTTTTTTCTTTTTTCTTTTCTTTTTTTTTTTTTTTGAGACAGTCTCGCTCTGTCACCCAGGCTGGCATGCAGTGGCACGAACTCAGCTCACTGCAACCTCCGCCTCCTGGGTTCAAGTGATTCTGCTGCCTCAGCCTCCCCAGTAGCTGGGATTACAGGGGCCCACCATCACACCCAGCTAATTTTTGTATTTTTAGTAGAGACGGGGTTTCACCATATCGGCCAGGCTGGTCTCGAACTCCTGACCTCAGGCGATCCACCCACCTTGGCCTCCCAAAGTTCTGGGATTAAAGGCGTGAGACACTGCACCTGGCTGTTTTTTCTATTTCTATGAAGAAGGTAATTTGTATTTTGATAGGAATTGCATTGAATCTGTGGATTGCTTTAAGTAGTATGGACATTTTAACAATATTGATTCTTCCAATCCATGAATATGGGATATTTTTCCATTTTTTGGTGTCCTCTTCAACTTCATCAGTGTTTTATAGTTTTCATTATAGAGATCCTTCACTTCCTTGGATAATTCCTAGGTACTTAATTTTATCTGTGGCTATTGTAAATGGGATTACCTTTTAAATTTCTTTTGCAGATTGTTCACTGTTGGCATATAGAAATGCTACTGATTTCTGTATGTTGATTTTCTATCCTGCAACTTTACTGAATTTTTTAGTCCTGTCAGTTTTTTGGTGGAGTCCTTAGGTTTTTCCAAATACAAGATCACATCACCTGCAAACAAGGATAATTTGATTTCTTCCTTTCCAACTTAGAGGCCTTTTATATCTTTCTCTTTTCTGATTGCCCTCGATAGAACTTCCAATACTATATTTAATAACGGGGTGACAGCATGTGTCCTTATGGTAGAATGATTTCTATTCCTTTGGGTAGACATCCAATAATGGGATTGCTGGATCAAATGGTAATTCTGTTTTAATTTCTTTTAAAAATTGCCACACTGTTTTCCACAATGGCTGAACTAATTTACTTTCCTATCAGCAGTATATAGGTGTTCCCTTTTCTCCACAACCTTGCCAGCATGTTAGTTTTTGACTTTTAATAACAGCCGTTTAGACTATTGTGAGATGGTATTTCATTGTGGTTCTGATTTCTTTTCTCTAATGATTAGTGATATTGAGCATTTTTTCATATGCTTTTTGGCCACAAGTATGTCTTCTTTTGGAAAGTGTCTTTTCATGTCCCTTGACCAATTTATAATGGGGTTGTTTGGTTTTTGCTTGTAAATCTGTTTTAAGTTCCTTACAGATTCTGCATATTAGACCTTTGTCAGATGCATAGTTGGCAAATATTTTCTCCGTTTCTGTAGGTTGCTATTTGCTCAGTTAATAACAGAGTTTCTTCTACTGTGCAGAAGCTCTTTAGTTTAATTAGGTCCCATTTGTCAATTTTTGGTTTTGTTCCAATTGCTTTTGGAATCTGTCATGAAATCTTTGCCCTGTCTTGTGTCCAGAATGATATTTTCTAGGTTATCTTCCAGGGATTTCGTAGTTTTAGGTTTGTGTTTCTAATCTATCTTCAGTTGATTTTTGTATATGGTGTAAGGAAGAGCTCAAGTTTCAATCTTCTGCATATGGCTAGCCAGTTATCCCAGCACCATTTATTGAATAGGAAGTGCTTTCGCCATGACTTGTTTTTGTTGACTTTGTTGTAGATCAGATGGTTGTAGGTGTATGGCATTATTTCTGGGCTCTCTATTCTGTTCCATTGGTCTATGTGTCTGTTTTTCTACCAGTACCATGCTGTTTTAGTTACTGTAGACTTGTAATATAATTTGCAGTCAGGTAATGTAATACCTCCAGCTTTGTTCATTTTGCTTAGAATTGCCTTGGCTATTTGGAGTGTTTTTTTTGTTGTTGT